>NC_000014.9:57490500-57793531 GCF_000001405.40 Homo sapiens
ATATCTGGCCTCTGTGAGTCTTTGGGGGTAGTTACTGAACTCTCTGACTAGCATGTATAAAACAAAGATAATTCTTCCTTTTTCATAGGTGGCTAAGAAGATTAAATGAATGACATAGATTGAATTGCCTAGTATAGTATCTGACTTGTAGTAGGGTGTAATTAAATAGTAGTAGCTGTTATTATTTATTACAAGTTGTTTTCCCATAGTCACCCAACTAATCAGTGCTAGATTCAAGCCTCTTGAATTCCATGGTATCTATGTCCTTGCTACTAGCTTCTTTCGGTGGCTGGTCTTAAAAGCGAAATCATTGCTAAAGGAAATCTTAAAGTAATAGAGTATTTGCGATTGATGACATTTTTCTTTAAGAACATTCTCATTAATAGCTTGGTCCTTATCAATATCCCTCTTTGATGATTATAGTTTAAAAAGGGATGTTACCATTTTATCCAAGAAATTCCTTATGAAGCCTTTTAAATTCATCTTACTTGAAGTCTTTGGGGTGGATGCCTTTTAATAATACTTGTTTCTCTGTGTTCCAGTGGGATGTCAAAATACATGTCTCTGGATGCTTGAAGGATTGGGGAAGAAACAGGAATAAAACATTAAATATAATTTACTATTAAATCAGGCAATCATTAGTTACTAGACTTTGTCAACACAATTTTGTACCTTTTCAGTTATATATGTCTAACCTGTGGGTTGAATGTGGAGATGAAACACAGAAAGCAGGGAACCTACATTAGTGCACATGACACTATTTTAGTCTGGACCCAGGATTTAATATCTGCTCTCCTAACTTCCTACTCAGGTTCATACTTAGGGGGAGAGTTACAAAATTACCAATATGTTGACTGCAAATATTTTTCAAACAGAATTTGGCCTGGAAAATAGAAATTTATTGACTTATTTTAATTCCATAAAATCTCCTCCCTGAAATATAAGACATCAGAAAAATATATAACTTTAAAAAATGAAAACAATCTTCTTAGATGAAATAGATGATAGATAGATAGGTGATTATACAGAGATGAGAAAGAAATGGAGTACGTGTGAACACAATTCAATAGCCCCTTTAGTGAAAAAAATTTCCACAGGTTGCCACTGTAATACAGCATATCAATATTCTTTCCTGATGAAACAAGCTGGGGATACAGAGTTAAGCCTCTATTAGGAAACAGAGAGGCTCAACAGATCCATTATGGATTTTATTTTCCAGCTTGATTATCCTGAGCTCTTGGGAGTGCTACCATGACCAGCGCTGCATGAATGAAGTTCTTGTCCTTCCCTTTTAACAATCTGGACACATTCTGACTTCTAGATTGTTTCATAGACTATTTTACAGTCCCACTTTGCATTTTAAATGGAAAAATCCCTGGGTAATTATGCATCTCTCTCCTTAAGACATGTGAATAACCACTTCAAGGACTTTGTTCTCTCTAACTTTTAGTGGGATGGAAACTATGTCCTTATTTTCTTTTGAAAAGATGCCAGCATATTGAGCAGGATGGAAACAACAAACATACTGGATTTAACAATGTAAGTATTTTCAGCTATTTTTTCAGAAGGCTTACTAATCCTTATTTTTTTTATTTTAGTGACATTACTCCATTATTTAATTAGATTTTCCTCAACTGGCATAGGCTGTGTCAGGCATTTATTTTTACCCCTGATTACAAGTGAAAAAAATTGATGAAGTAACTTGCCCAAGGTCATTCGATTTGGTATTTGATGGAGCTGGGGTGAGAATATGGGAGATCATGAGGATTCTCATGATCTTGTTATTTATTTTTAAATGTGATTTTGTCACTTCAGACATAAGCTCACCATTTATTCAGTTACCTAAATCTTTTTTTTCTTTTAATTGAGACAGAGTCTCTCTCTGTCACCAAAATCTTAAAACTCTCAATGGGGGTTTGGATAAAAAGGGAATTCCTCAATAGGAGCATTGCATACTCTTAGTACACATTCACGCTCCATTTTTTAAATCATGTCTATCACCTATCCCTCTATCTATCATAAAAAAATTCCTAAGGGGAAAATTCCCATCCATGTGCTTAAGAACTTGAAGAACATAAAGAACATAAAAACAGGCCATATAGAAACAACCAAACGTTATCAATTCTGCAGACAATAGCCATGAAAAATCATTCCAGGCAAGATTTGCTAGGTACCAAAAGAGAATGTGAGGCTTTCTGAACAAGGCATCCAATAAGGGAAACTTATTTGTGTTATTGATCCAGAAGGTGAAGAAAAGGGAAAACAATATACATATATATATGTATATAATAAACATATATTTTTCTAAGTGAGAATGTCTGTTTAATTATCATTGTGGTCATCATAAAACATTTTACATGGCTTATAAAATATCCCAGGATTTATGGCCACTTCAGGCTCAGAGCTTCCAATCATAATGGGAAAGAATTCTGTTAGTTCTGCAGATGACCATGAAGAATGTGGGGTTGGGAAAAGGGTGACTCATCCACTCCTCTGTACTGCAATAAATCAATACTGTTTAGGGTGGTTTCAAAATTCATGTTAGAATTAACTCACTCTTAAAGTGTTGCTTTCAAAACCACAAAGTCTGGTGCATTAAACTATACTGGAGAGAATGATTTAAATTTAGAATCTAACTGAAACGCGATTGCTATCATTTATCACTAGTATCTATATAATTTTAATGGTCTGGCAAAACTAGGTATAAACATTGAAAGCATTACAAACTGAGCTGAAACAAAATGATTTATCCTTCTCATATGGAATAGTGAAAAGTCCTTTGTACAGTTTATACTCCCATTCTAATGAACCCAGAATACTTTCAACTGATGTTCAATCCTCATTGAAAGATTTGAGTTTTCAAAGATAGCCTAAATTCCTTTACATTTCAGGAATTTAGAAACTTTCTGAGATCATGGAGACAGTCAGATAAACCTATTAATAATGCTCCTTGGTCCAGATACACACATCTCATGCTGGGTTTTATGTTTACCTGTAGAATATCTTCCATACCAGTTTTCTTGTAAAGGTGGCAGCTGCCCTTCCAAGGCTTTATTCTGGTCCTGCAGTCTTGCCAGTGAATATGAAGTCTTTTCTTCCAAATTCTGATTGAATGCAAAGTCCACACGGCCAGCCGAGGGAGTCTCTACCTCTTTGTTTTGCAAAGGTGCTACTTTGATCACCCTAAGGTGAGTCTTAGAGTGACTCAGGCCCATTTCATGTGAAAGACATTCAGAGGAAAGCTGCGAGGGAAGTGGTTTTGGGGTCTTTAATATAGCTTATTTTAATCAAAGCATTTCAGAAGTTTACCCTCGCTTTACAAAGCAGTCATTTCCTTCATGGCATCCTTCTAGCTCTGTTTCACTGCACACTAACCCTTTTGGCCACTTCCTGGGAGGCTGGTTTCCATGGAGACTTCCCTTCAACTTTGCCGTTTCAGACCCAAAGAATCCAGTTAAACATTGACTTGGTTATGCTACTTTCTGAAATACTCAGTGATAGGAATAGAAGCCACTGTTGATCATTAAACAAATATCGAACACCAGGAAGGTTATTAACAGAGAGAGATGTAGAGCAGAGGTTTAGAGAAGTCTTAAACTTGACCCTTTCATTGCAAGTACCTTTGTAAAAAAACTAACTGCTGAGAATAGCTAAGCCATCTTTGCAATTAAGAGGATGCATGCTGATTGCCAAGGCTTTGTTAATCTTTAATTTAATTAAAGAATTTATCCCCCAAATAGGAAAGAAAGCAGCGGAGCGGCTAAAGCGTCATTTGATTTTTCTGTCGATGACTTGAGTTGCCTTTGAAGGGGGTGAATACATTGCAGGACAGGAGGATAATAGAAATTTTTTTCCTGGGGATAAGGGGAAAAAATTCTTGAATAAATGGTCTAAGTAAACCTTGAGTTTTTGAAGATAACCTATTTACTATGTTTTTAAACTAAATTAAATTAATTTATTTATTTTTGAGACAGAGTCTCACTCTGTCACCCAAGCTGGAGTCACCCAAGCCCAGCGATCTTGGCTCACCACAACCTCCGCCTCACCAGTTCAAGTGATTCTCCTGAGTCAGCCACCCAAGTAGCTGGGATTACAGGCACCTACTACCACCACACCTGTCTAATTTTTGTATTTTTTAGTACAGAAGGGGTTTCACCATGTTGGCCAGGCTGGTCTCGAACTCCTGACCTCAAGAGATCCACCTGTCTTGGCCTCCCAAAGGGCTGGGATTACACGCATGAGCCACAGTGCCTGGTCTATTATGATTTTTAAAGTAGAAAAAAAGACTGGAAGGAAATGTGCCGAAATATTGAGTAGTGATTTTTGAATGGTGGGATTATGGGTGATTTTTATTTTATTCTTTATACTTAGAAGTGGGACTAACTTTCAAGCTCTAATTGTTCATGAGCACAGATTACTTGTGTTTTCATCACATCTCCATAAAGAAATTAAAAGAAAATTTATTTTTCATCTTTGCAGAATCCATTTCCTAAGGGACTAAGGTGATGTTTGGAAAGTCTTGGTAGACAATCACGTTTATCTAAAAAGATGCCTGAATTTAGTTTTTTCCTTACTCTCTTTGCATTTTCCACATCATTTTCTCTGCAGCAGAGAGGTTTATAAGTAAAGACTAATATATTAACAGTATCTGCAAACACAACAGCCTCTGGTAAACAGACTAGCTTAATTACAAGGATAATAATACTTGAGTAAGGTCTAGTAAGATTTATTTTTTAGTACAATCAGTTTAAGTATTTCTAAGGGCAGGGGAATGTATTGCGAACTAACAAATGAACTAGACATTGTACTGAAAACTGTGGACTTCATGGATCTGGACCAGTAAGAGGGATTCAGCTCTTATGTTTTGTTTTATTATTATTTAATTTTCAGACAATATTTGTGGAGAACATGAGCCTTTGTTGAGGAAATTGGTTAGTTGTTGAAGGAATAATTAAAGAAATAAAGATGCATTTCTGTGCTTCTTTCTCTTTTCATTACTAGTGACTATCAAGCTTTGTGACTTTCCTGATCTGTGAAATGGGGTTAATAACAATACTTTGTGGGAAATGAACCTGATTCCATTTATAGCTCTTAGACTAATACCTGGCATGTAGTAAGCTCACAGTAATCATTAGCCAGTATCCTCCTCCTCTGAGGAAGTATTGCTACATATCTACATGTACATAGGATAGTCTTTATTGCCAGTTGGTCAGAAATTAAAATAGACATATTCCTGTCTAAAGGAGTTTGCCCCTAGGTATAGAAAAGACCAACGAGGGAAGCGTAAATTCATCTGGCCAATTTAACTGGGAAAACCACCATGTCTAAGGATTATCATTAGAAAATATTCATACACTGAAAGGATTTTATTAAAATTTGATAGTGAAACATTTTAATTTTATTAAAAGAGAAAAAGAGTTTAATTTCACTGATAGAGTTAGATATAAGATGTAATTTCTTATTACCAGAGTTGTAAAACATTAAAAAGCTCTCACCCAACTAAAACCTTGACTACTTCCCAAACACTTTGTGATACTTTATAATGACCACTCCCTAGTTCAAGAATGACTATGACTATACGTTATTGTGTGTAAAAATGATAAAACATGCTGTTATTTGTAACAGTCAGAATTCATGAATATGGAATGAGAATATTAATTTATAAAACTCTTAAGATTAGCTAAACTTTTCTAAAGCTGAAGGTAGCATCCAGAGAAAAATGTACTAAGAGAAAGTGGCGAGGCCCCAGAGGAGATGGAGAGAAGCAGGAACTCACAGCCAAGTGTACTATTTCTGCCAGGAAGAATCAAAGCCCTCAGCCTGGAGCATCTCCACAGGCAATGTGACCTTGAAGTTCCCAAGAAATAGCCGTGTACAAGCTCCTGGTGCTTGGACCTTTCTTGCCTTCTGTAGAAAATGCCTTCCTTCAAGACACAGAGTGAACCAAGCAATAAGGAGAAGGCAAAGTATAATGTCTATTTCAAAATATACATTCATTTTGAAGTTAAAAATCCTAGCTTTTGTTCTGGGTTCACTCCTAACTAGCCTTGGGGACAAAACTATTAAGGAATATTGTTTAGTGAATATAAGTTCTATAGAAACTCAATACACATTCATTATGAGATATGTGGATTTTTCTGCTCTCTAATAAGAGAAAGTTTTACACTTGAATGATGGGAGGCAAGATCCAGGTCTTTAAGTGTGAGTCTGCTATCATACTTAAGAGAGTAGGTGCTCTCTAAGTTTCCTTACAACCTCCTATAGCTTGATTTACACTGTAATATCTATTTAGAGCCAGCATAAGGAGAGAAGCTTTCCTTCCTGTGTGGAAACATTACCTACCTTTTTCCATCAGATTGTGATTTGATAGCTCTTGCCTTAGTTTTGATGGATTTCCCAGAGTCATCTACAATCTCTTTCCCCATACCTTGGTAAGATGACTGCCTGGAGATAAGGAAAATGCCTGGGATGAACAAAGACATCTATTTTCTGCAAGTAGCTTACCAGCTAACAGGAATTCATGACTGCAGTAGCACTATGTTCTGAGAAGCTACCTAGAGAAAACCATGCAAACACTTGAGGAATAGTAAATCTTAAAGTTTAAACAACCTAATATCGGATAAATGAGTTTCTTTTTTTAATGAGCTGTGGGTAATTTCGTTTGGATGTTTTATATTAAGCAAGTGACAAAGGCTAAGGTGATATTCCTTAGGACTGGATGGTGGTAGTCTGGAGTCGGGTTGGTTAAATTGCCTTTTGATCCTTCAGCATACGGTTTTCTTGGAAAGGCTTCAGAAGGGATTTAAATCAACATGTGTATAAATATTCCATACAGTTGGACTTCATTCAGTCAGTGGGGCTTAAATTCTAAATGTTTATAGGTTCTTAAATTAGGCTTCTAATAAAGTTACAGCCTTTTTCTGCAATGGATCTGTAATGGATAAGCAATCACTGGAGGCTTTTCAGCAGCAGTGTGAATTATAGGTTTGCATGCTAACTAAGCAGAGTTGATGTATGACCCGAACCTTAATTTTCCTTCCAGTGATTATTTTCCTCCCGATTTATTTATATATTGATGTAAAGGTGACAGTGTAATCAGACCTACTGGGTTTGGAAGTGCTCAAGCAAAACAAATGGAAAAAATGTTAACTGAAGCGTCTTGTATAACCTCTTCCATGAGATCAGTTGTATACGATTTGTCTCTTTACCCTTTGAATGCAATCTGCAAGTACATCATTGAATGAAATGCTAGAATCATGCCTTCGCACACTATACTACTCTGAAGACAGCCAGTGCGTGGGTTTCTTAAAATGTATTGCCAATGGATTTAACCTAGATAAAATAATATTTGTATATTGTATCTCTAAAAGGAACATCAACCTTTGGTTATCATAATCCTTTTTATCTTTTAAATTTTTATTTTATTTTAAGTAGACAAATACCTGTGAATGTTTATGGGGTACAGTGTGATGTTCCGATACATGTATACCTTGAAAATGATTAACTCAGGGTAATTATATCTATCACCTCAAATATTTATCATGTTTTCTTAGTGAGAACACTTAACATCTTCTCTTTTAGATATTTTGAAATGTACATTATTAACTGTAGTCACCTTGCTGTGCAATAAAACACAGAACCTATTCCTCCTAACTGTAACTTTGTACCCATTGACCGATGTCTCATCTCTCCCTGCCCACCCCCTATTGCCTAATCCCCCAACTCCACCTCCCCATCCCCAGCCTCTGGCAACCACCATTTTACTCTCTACTTCTGGGAATTTGACTTTTTAGATTCCACATACAAGTGAGATCATGTGGCATTCACCTTTCTTTCTTTCTTTCTTTCTTTCTTTTTTTTTTTTGAGATAGAGTTTTGCTCTTGTTGCCCAGGCTGGAGTGCAGTAGCGCGATTTCCACTCACTGCAACGTCCACCTCCCAGATTGAAGCAATTCTCCTGCCTCAACATCCTGAGTAGCTGGGATTACAGGCACCCACCACCATGTCCAGCTAATTTTTTGTATTTTTAGTAGAGATGGAGTTTCACCATGTTGGCCAGGCTGGTCTCGAACTCCTGACCTCAGGTGATCCACCTGCCTCGGCCTCCCAAACTGCTGGGATTATAGGTGTGAGCCACTGTGCCCGGCCAGCATTTACCTTTCTATGCCTGGCTTATTTCACTAGGTTCATTCACATTGTTGCAGATGACAGAATTTCCTGTTTTTTAAGGCTGAATAGTATCCCATTGTGTGTGTGTGTGTGTGTGTGTGTGTGTGTTTGTGTGTGTGTGTGTGTTTGTGTGTGTGTGTGTGTGTATATGGTATATATATATAATATGGTATATATGTGTGTGTGTGTGTATATATGGTATATATATATAATATGGTATATATATGTGTGTGTGTGTATATATATATACCATATTTTAAACATCCACTCATAATAATCCTTTTGAAGGCATCTTTAGAAAATCATTTTCCTTCCTCCCTGCCCTTTCTTTCCTTCTTTTTTTTTTTTTTATACTTTAAGTTCTAGGGTACATGTGCACAACATGCAGGTTTGTTACACATGTATACATGTGCCATGTTGGTGTGCTGCACCCATTAACTCGTCATTTATATTAGGTATATCTCCTAATGCTATCCCTCCCCATCCCCCCACCCCATGACAGGCCCCGGTGTGTGATGTTCCCCTTCCTGTGTCCAAGTGTTCTCATTGTTCAATTCCCACCTAAAAGTGAGAACATATAGTGTTTGCTTTTTTGTCCTTGCAATAGTTTGCTGAGAATGATGGTTTCCAGCTTCATCCATGTCCCTACAAAGGACATGAACTCATCCTTTTTTATGGCTGCATAGTATTCCCTGGTGTATATGTGCCACATTTTCTTAATCCAGTCTATCATTGATGGATATTTGGGTTGGTTCCAAGTCTTCGCTATTGTGAACAGTGCTGCAATAAACATACATGTGCATGTGTCTTTATAGCAGCATGATTTATAATCCTTGGGGTATATACCCAGTAATGGGATGGCTGGGTCAAATGGTATTTCTACTTCTAGATCCTTGAGGAATTGCCACACTGTCTTCCACAATGGTTGAACTAGTTTACAGTCCCACCAACAGTGTAAAAGTGTTCCTATTTCTCCATATCCTCTCCGGCACCTGTTGTTTCCTGACTTTTTAATGATTGCCATTCTAACTGGTGTGAGATGGTATCTCATTGTGGTTTTGATTTGCTTTCTCTGATGGCCAGTGGTGATGAGCATTTTTTCACGTGTCTGTTGGCTGCATAAATGTCTTCTTTTGAGAAGTGTCTGTTCATATCCTTCACCCATTTTTTGATGGGGTTGTTTGTTATTTTCTTGTAAATTTGTTTGAGTTCATTGCAGATTCTGGATATTAGCCCTTTGTCAGATGAGTAGATTGCAAAAATTTTCTCCCATTCCGTAGGTTGCCTGTTCACTCTGATGATAGTTTCTTTTGTTGTGCAGAAGCTCTTTAGCTTAATTAGATCCCATTTGTCAATTTTGGCTTTTGTTACCATTGCTTTTGGTGTTTTAGACATGAAGTCCTTGCCCATGCCTATGTCCTGAATGGTATTGCCTAGGTTTTTTTCTAGGGTTTTTATGGTTTTAGGTCTAACATTTAAATCTTTGATCCATCTTGAATTAATTTTTGTATAAGGTGTAAGGAAGGGATCCAGTTTCTGCTTTCTACATATGGCTAGTCAGTTTTCCCAGCACCATTTATTAAATAGAGAATCCTTTCCCCATTTCTTGTTTTTGTCAGGTTTGTCAAAGATCAGATGGTTGTAGATGTGTGGTGTTATTTCTGAGGGCTCTATTCTGTTCCATTGGTCTATATCTCTGTTTTGGTACCAGTACCATGCTGTTTTGGTTACTGTAGCCTTGTAGTATAGTTTGAAGCCAGGTAGCATGATGCCTCCAGCTTTGTTCTTTTGGCTTAGGATTGACTTCCTGCCCTTTCTTAAAACAAGGTTATGTTTTAACTGTTAGCCGTGAATGTCTCAAGAATTCACACTGAAATTTAATCTTTAATACATGGTCTCTGTCTGGTCTCAACAGTCACTCAGGATACAGGCCTAAATAGAATAATGTGCATTTTTCCCCTAGGGCAAAACACCCTACTCTTACTGATGCCTTACTTACTAAAAGCAAATTTTAGATTCTTTTTTTTTTCTTTGAGACCTTTAAATTATGGACCCAGAAGCAGAGATCCGAGCTTCCAGCTTCCAGGCAGCATAAAACCAGGGTGGAGAAGAATGTGGTAAATCAGGTGTTCCAACGGTCAGGATTAAAGTGGCCAGAGTGAAGCTTCAGCTGGTTTCATTGAACTAAATGCCAGCATGGCCAGTGCTAGAGCCTGAGCTCCAGAAACCTCAGTTTTCATTATGTGTTTTAAAACACAGCAGCTCTGAGTCCAGCCCAAATTAGGATGTCTCTCTGCTCTGGGAAAGTCTGTACTTAGATTTTTAAAAATTGCATTGAGATGAAATTTAGAGGACACCAAATAAAAAGACCTATCCAAAAGATTTCCCTTTATTTTCATCCCTTCTTTATTCCTCTTATTTCCAACCAAATGCAATGCCAAGCAATATCAAGATATCACCCTCACTGCTCTGGCCCTCTACCTGGCATTACACATTTGTCTAGGTGACCCAGGGCCCTAGACCTGGCTCAGGTCACTAGGCAAAGCAGTGAAGGCTTCCTGTTACCTGTGGCTGAGCTTCTGCAGGGCCAGTTGGATGACTGCTCTGGCCCCATTTCTTAATTTCCTCAGGGCAGAAATTATATGACCATGATGACATCCAATTCTAACTCTATGACCTCTTTTGGAACTCTGTAGGGCAAGTTTCTGCGTGTCTTTGTTGTTTAAACAAAAACAGAAAGCAAATCGGCATGATTGCTAAACAAAGGGATAGAGTCAAAAGATTTGCTAATCTTAGGCTTACTTCCTTGCTACCAATTTGCATCCTAGTGAAGGACACAGATCTTGGGGTATCTAGCTTTAGAACAATAGAATTACAGAACAATGGGCTCAGTCTGTTTATTTCATCTACTTCTCAGGAGAAGGGAGAGAAGTGTCAGGGGATCTTATGTATTACTGGGGAGATTTTCCCCAAGTACCTTCCACAAGAATACCAACTTGGACCCATGCCATTTCTGAAGTATGCAAGTGCAGTATGCAAAGCCTCGCCAATGGTTTGGCCAGTTGTCTGATCTTACTTCTTCCTGGCATGTTGTGGGTCCCTTCAAGCATGCTCATGGGCATGGCTTCCAAAGAGAGACAGAGGGCTTAGGAGTCTCTCTATTAGAGCAGTACAGTCTTCCATAGGTCTTTTTCAGGGCTTTCTCTGTTATCCTGTGGGAGGCAGGTCTCCTTGGTGCTGGACTCACAGTGGCTAGACGCTCCCTCAGACCTTCATCCCTTCTAGATGTCTCCTGCTATTACTGGCATTTTTCCTTCAGCAGGATTTTACACTTAGACTTCAGACATCTTCAAGCAGAAAGCAACAGTTACTTTCTATTTAATTATTTGCAGCCAACGTGGCTATGATGTTTAGGCTCTATGTAACCAAGGTCTCTGTGGGTACCTCCAGCTTTCTTGCCTGTGCTCCTGGTGCAAAGGCTGCTGTCGAGGAGAATCTGAAGGCAGCCTCTGGAGCCAGGCACCAAGTCGGGAGGAGCTGAGGTGAATGAGACACAGCACCTACTTCTCTTACAGGATTCAAAATTGAGCTCTGATGATGGAAAGGCAAAGGGGGAGGACAGAGCTCGGATCTCTATAATGACATTATTAGCCACTGTTTAACAAGCACTTCAACACCTTCCCACTGTCCTTAGGGAAAAATCCAAACTCATTTATGTGGTATCTCAGTTTGGGTTCCCTCAGACATAGCTTCGAGTGCAAATGGTTTGTTTGGGAGGTCATCTTAGGAGACAGAGGTAGCAGGTGAGGAAGTGATTCAGGGGAAAGAAAAAAGGCTGATAAAGGGGTGTCTTCTAGCTTGTTCCACTGTGAGTAGAACTTAGTTCTCCTGCAAAATTCTGGGAAACACTATAGAATACACACTTCAAAGATATCCCACCAGAGGAGTGAGGGAACTGGGATAGCTGTCCCCCAACTATCAGTGCCTGGCTGAGAACTGCTGAGGGAGGGGGCAGAGTGGTCTGAATTTCCTAGCATTTCCTAACCACATGCATTAGGTCAGAGCAGGCCCTAATAGTCAAAGAAAGTCCTAAGGCGGAGAAATGTGAGTGCTGGCAGTGTGCCCTGAAGTGGGAAGGCCCAGGAGACCAGGCAGCATCTGCCAAGTGTGCTTTTACATCTTCCTACACAAGCAGGCCTCTGGCTGCTTTTCCAGCCTTAACTCTGGAAGAGGGTGTATATGACGGGGAAGTGTGCTGGGGAGATGATATTTCCCATAGGATAGGTTAGGTAACATTATGCAGAGAAGCTGGTAGTGGTAAGCCGGAAGGCCAGGACAGCACCAGACCACGCTGTTAAGGACAGGTGCAGCTCGTTCCGCAGGTACAGCTTGTTAGGCAGTAGATCTCTAGGGCAATACCAATGGCTGCCATTTACGAGTGCTTAGTGTGCAGCGTGCACTGTGCTGAAGGCTCTCAAGCACTTCTCAGTGAATCTTCACAATAGCACCCTGAAGCAGAATATGCATTATTCTCTTTCTGCAGGTAAGGAAATAAGGCTTAGAGAAATTATGAACCTGAGGCCACATGCCTGTTTTTTTGTTTTGCTTTTTTGTTGTTGTTGTTGTTGTTTGGGGGAGGGGATTGTTATATTGAAAATGTCAAATATTTCCATCTCAAGCAATCCTCCCACCTTTTTCATGCCACTAACTTGTTATCTAATGGAATATCCTGTGGATTTGGCATCTGATTTGGTTTGGCTCTGTGTACCCACCCAAATCTCACCTCGGATTGTGTAATAATCTCCACGTGTCAAGGGAGAGACCTGGTGGAAGGCAATTGAATCATGGGGGCAGTTTCCCCCACGCTGTTCTCGCGATAGTGAATGAGTTCTCATGAGATCTGGTGGTTTTATAAGTGTTTGGCTGTTCCTCCTTCACTCTCTTTCTCACCTGCCACTATGTAAGATGTGACTGCTTCCCCTTCCGCCATGGTGGTAAATTTGCTGAGGCCTCCCCAGCCATCCAGAACTGTGAGTCAATTGAACCTCTTTTCTTTGTAAATTACCCAGTCTCGGGCAGTTCTTTAGAGCATTGTGAAAATGGACTAATATAGGGTCTGATTAGTTCTCCTCCTGTCATTTTTTTTACCTTGTGTCTCCAGTCCCTAGATTTTCTTAAACTGGGAGGTAGTCTAACTCTAAAAGGCTTCTTAGATGTGGTCATTTAGCAATACTACAACCCAGCTGGTGCTGTATGCGTGATACTGCATGGTGTGGGGAGGCTGGATGCTAAGATTGCTCAGTGGGTTCAGGAGGTAACAGCTGATCCTTTCATTGTAAGACTTCACTTTTTTCCCCTTTACGATCAGTGAGTAATCCATGGGGTGATACTGTCAAAGCCTGTGCTCTTAACCATAATATGCTAGAAGTATCTCAACACCAATGTTTCAAAGTAGGTGTGGGTCATACAATCAGGGTGCCCAGCCCAAGCTGAAAGGGTCCCAGACAGCCTTGGCCTTTTACAAAGACATGAAGAAGAAGCAGGATGCATATGTTCCCTTGACATTTCCCTAGACCTGGCCATGGTAGAGGCCTTATGACCTTATTTTTTCAGGTTACATGTGGAGATAACAATTAGGCTCTTGCTGGCTGCAAAGGTTGAGCAACAACGAGGATGAGACAGGAGATGCTGGCACAGAGCTCTTTACCTACGGACACTAGCCATTGCTCTCACCTTCCTCCCAAGGCCTGGTAAGTGTTAGGTGCAGCCCCTCCTTTCCTGCACTTACTCAGATTTACACCAAATGATGCTGGGCCCCTCTTTGGTTCTCATGCCAGCTGCCACAGGTCCCGAACAAGCAAAGAAACTGCCAGCTTCCACTTCCAATTATGTCAAATGGGCCTATTATGCAATCAAATCTGGTTGAGCCCCAAAATAGACCCCAAAGCACCAAGTGATTTGATGGCATTCACACACACTGTTCTTGTTAACCCTCGCCAGGCCTGGTGAGCTGCTCTAGTACATCCAGGTGTGTCCTGGGGTCTAAACTATGCAGGGATGGTCCAGGGCTGAATTGCTGCAGCTGCTGCCCTGGGGACCCCGAGGGAGTGCCTGTCATTTTCCCTGCACCATCACTACATTTCCTTGACATCTAGGTCTAGGGAAACAGTTCATGGACCCCTTCATTTGAAAAAGCAAGATGCAACCAATAATAATAATTGTGGTTGCCCTAAATGGCAAGCACAGGAGTTTGGAACGTATAAATGCTGGGTCAAGAGAGTCCTAATATTTTTTCTCTCTCATCTCTAAACCTCGCTGGGTCATCAAAGGGCACATGGAATAATCTCTAAGAGAGAAACACTTTTCTAGACTTTTGGTCAAATTTCTGATCTTATTTTCTTCCTGAAGGGCAGGCCCAGTTCTGCCTAAAAGAGGCAAGTTTTAAATAAAAATTTTGAGGCTAAGTGAGAATCCACTGTGAATAGTGAAAAACTGGCATAGGCAGCCGTGTGGTCAGGGTGGAAGGGAAGCTCCAGGAAGACTGCTTTTGTATTTGGATGGATGCAAGTCCGTAAAGTCAGACGCAGAGCTGAGAGAGTGGCCAGCACAAAGACATGGGGGGTTGGGATGTGTGGTGGTCTAGAAACAGGGCTGGAGGAGATTAATCCTTATTTTTGGAGAACTTATAGCTGTCCTTTCTTTTCAAGTGTTTTATAAAATTTCCAATCTTATACGAGGCCAGATCCCTTCAAAGTGTATCTCTATTCAAAGAACTAATTTTCTCCTTTATGAATATCCATTATTAACATGATTTTCGTCTGTTTTTGGTTATTTACGATAATATTAACAACAAATAGCATACAGTGAGCTCCAACTATGCGCTAGGCACTCTACAGAACTTTTTAAATACGTAATTGTTTCATTCCTACAACAATGCAATGATGGCAGTCCTGTCATTATCCGCATTTTAACAATAAGAAAATGGAAGCTTAGATTAAGCAATTTGCCCAGAGTTACACAGCATGTATTCACTAGGATATGAACTCAGGCACTCTGAGTAGTCTGGAACTCTAGCTCTATCTGTGCCTGATTGTGTAGGAAATCATAATTCCTGAAGCATAGCATTATATACTACTCTCATCTTTATACTGTCTCTCACCCCAACCCTCCATACATTTAATGAAGAACCTTCTGTAGATGGGCCCCTGTAAGTACTTATTGGAAGAATAGATATCTTACTCCTACTTCCCCTCTCTTCTGCCTCATGCTCAGGGACAGAACCCTGGGTTTCTAATCAGTGCTAGATCTTTAGAATAACATAAAGAAAAAAAACATCCTTAAATTCTCATTAAGCTTCTCGTGAGTTTTATTATGGGAACAAATACAGAGAAGAAAAGTAGTGGCCATTTTGTATCTTGTAGCTGTTAATCTATAATTATCTTTATTGTTGCATACATTGTAAAGATTCAAGTGAAGCCTTTTGAGTCCCTTCCTTTGAAGAAAATCTCTTTGGAGGCAGAAGCTGCACTTTAGAATCCATAATATGTGCTGGGGAATTGTGTCATGAAGAATGTGGCATGCCCCTTACCCAGAAAGGTGAATGCTTCCATGGTTGGTCTGTGCTACGCTGACCTCCTGTAAGTATTTATTGGAAGTATACGCTGCTTCCTGTGACCTTACTGCCATCTTCAGCCCTTGTACTGAGCCTGCTAACGAGGATATCCTTTTGGCGAGGTGGAGACCTCCTCACTCAGAAGGTGAAAGGGTGCTCCAGTACATTTCACATCCATTAAATGAAGATGATTTCTAGCTGCTCTGAGCTGGATGGAACCTAGTGGAACACCAGCATGGCCTGGACATATTGTATCCTGTTTTTGAATACCCATTGTGAACTACTATAAGATGCATGAATCAATAGTGTTGCAACTGGGAAATTGAATTAAAAAACCCTCCATATGACCAGAAAGACTACCAAATGTTGACTCATGATCCCTCTGTGTTATGCAGTACTTGGGTTAGCTTAATTCCAGTAGAACAAAAGAGCTCAGAACAAGGTGACCAATACAGCATAATGTAAAGGAATGAACCTGGTCACCAGGAAGCCTGCATTCTGGTGCTAGCTATTTCTGTAACTAGTAATCAGAGTTCCTTTTTTTTTTTTTTTTTTTTTTTTCACCATTTGCCACATGTACGTACTTTACATGAACTAAATTAGAGGTAGTGGACTGAGTGATGAAGAACTTGAACTCGGGTCAGCTGTCTGCCTTGAATCCTGGTTCCATGACTTTCTGTCTGTGTAACTATGTCTTTCTAAGCCTCAGTTTCTGGATTCCAAAAAAGGGAATAACAATAGTTCTTACCCCATAGAGTTATTTCGAAAATTAAGTGAGTTAATATTTGTGAAGAACTTTGAAGAGTGACTGGCATGGTAGATGTTTGAGTTCATTAACAACAACAATAAAAATGGAAATAAAACCTAACAACTCTATGAAGTAGTCAGCTTTCACTCCTATTTCAAAGATGAGGAAATAGTGGTTCAAAGCAGTTTCTAAGCTACTAAGACATGGAGTCTGGATTCAAAACCATGATCTTACCCACAACACTTCCCTGGCCTCAGTTTACTCAAGTGTAAAATGGGACAAGGTGGGCTCTGAGGTTCCTTACAAATCCTAACATTCTACAAACTGTCCTCTATCTCTGCCCTCTCCATGACATCTATTACTTATCTCTCTTCAAGGGCTTTTTCCCTTTCAACTTCAAATATACCCAGATCTCCCTTACTCTAAAAATTGTTCATTGTACCTTTTAGGCTGTGCGAGCTTTGATATTCCTGTATCTTTAAAGTCCAAGTTATAGGCATAGAGACCACTCCCACCAATCTCCCATCATCTTCCTGCTTCTGCAATGTTTTTCTCACCTCTGCTCCTCAGCTGGTAGTCTTCTCCTGAAGATCAGATGACTTTCTTCTACCCAAATCCATTTGCCTTTTCTTAGTTTTCTTGACTCAGTATCTTTGCCGTATGCAACATGTCAAAATGTAATGATGTGTAATGGTCTTCCAGGTCCCTCTCCTCCAGAACACTTCTGCATTAGGCAGGTCTCTTTCTCTCTCCCTGTTGTTCATCCCACTCAAAAACATAGACCGTTTCATATAGTTTATAATATCATGCCATTTTTCCCACTCGATTCTACATTATGTATTGGAGATCTTCCCATATTAGTCATTGAACACTACCTCATTCTTTTGCATGGCTGTGGATTATTTCAGTATGGATACACATAATTATTCCCCTACGGATGGACATTAACGTTGTTTTCAATTCTTTGATTGCAAACAATGCTGCCATGAACATCCTTGCATACACTTCTTGTGCAAGGTATAAGTATTTTCCTATGATAAATACCAAGATGGACTTTCGCCTTTTAGCTCAGTCTAGCTCAAATCTAAGACTAAGGTACCCTCCCAGATAGGGATGCTATTATGAGATCCTACTTCAGTTTATGACTTATCAAAAGCGAATTTTGCTGGTGCCTGGCCTCTGCCCATAGGAATTCACTTGTCTAAGCTTCTGCTTTTGTTTGTTTCGTTTTCTGCCTCTGATTTATCCTGATTTTCTCTGTGCTAATGTCTCTGAATCTTATACCTGTACCTCTGAGATATCCAATATCTACCTGTTGGAATCTTCACCAATTACTCCTCTTCTCTCTTCCCCTATCACACTGACCTGGATAGACTCCATCAGCTCTTGGTCTCTGCTCTGACCTTGACTTGCAGGCTTCTGATCCCACCTGTCCTTTTCCCTTACTCTGGTGTACTGGTGTCACAGATCCCATTAGAGTCCATATTCCCCAGCTCCACATGTGAGATCAGCAACCTAAAATGGCCCATTGTGGGCTTCCTGCTTTATTGTGAGGTTCTGTCTGGGCTTAGCCACTTCTTGATCTGGTGGCTGCCCAAGCTCACACACTATTAGGGGGTTCCATATTGTCACACAGTACTGATTATCTTTCATCTCTAACCATATATCTGGGTTTTTCCCTGGTAAAAACACTTTCTATTTCTTTTTTCTTATTCCTTGATATTCTTCAAGGCTGAGTCTTTGCCCTGCTGTTTTTTTAAGCTCTCACTTCTTTAATATTTACCTAATCTTACTTATCTTAATAGACTCAATGTAGTCTATTTCCAAATCTACATATCTTGCCTTCACCATTCCCTGCCTTCCATCACTGCATTTCCAGTTGTCTCCATAATGCCTCCGTTGGGATATTTCCAATCACTTTAGTTTCAGTATGTCTAAACGCAACAGAACCATCTGCTCCCATCCCATCCCATCTGTTCCTTTTCCAGTTTTCCCTATCTCTATAAGTGATACCACATTTTCCTAATGACCCAGACTAGAAATCTTGGAATAATATCTAATTTATTTCTCTTTTTTCCTCTTATATACAATCCATCATTGAATCTTGCTGAATGTTTTCATTTTAAAAATAATATAGTAGGTTACTTGTAGTTGAAAAGTGGATTTTGTACATGCCTTTATCTCTGCTCCTTTCTGAAAAGTCACTAAGATGGCAGTAAAGGTATATTTTTAAAGGCAAACATCTGTGTAAGAAAGGGAAAGGAGAAAACCTCAAGTTGGAAAGTAGATGGATGAGCAATAATTGATTTAGCAAACTTGAAAAAGCTAAACCATAAGCCAAGAACAAAAGAATCTTAGGACCATCTCAATTTTTACATCTCTGAATAACTCAGTGGCCTAGAAATTGAAGACACTCTTATGTGGGGGTACATTAAGTGGGAGTAAAGGAAGAGCTAATCAGAAGGAGAATTTGAAAATCTTTTTAAAAGCAGTTAGAACCCTAGTTACCCTTCCACAGTCCTTCCCATTCCAGAAAGACTAGAGGTTTATTCTCCAGAACAGTGTATTTCTGGCCTGGGAATATCAGTAGCTATTTCAGGTGGGTGCTGATCACCAAATATGGCGTGATCAATTATAAGTTTGTATACTGCGTGCTGAGACCTTTGGTTCTCTTTCCCCAGTATCCCCCAGAGCTCAAGATTCTCTGAGGCAGGAAGTGTCTGGGGACTCTGGCTAACTTAACAGAAAAGACCTGGAGATGCTGACATCAGAGACAATAGCTTGGAAAAACGGAGGCCATGCAGGAAGAAGAAAACTGGGGGGAAAAAAACTCAACCTTCTATTAACATTTTCAAAGATCTAGGAGAATATTTTATACCCATGAAACAAGAATACAGATGCTATGTTAAAAAAAAGAACATTCAGAAATGTAAAAGAGCTGCTCTTAGAAATTAAAGATAATATAGGAGAAATTTTTAAAAGCTCAATAGAAATTTTAGAAAATTCTGGAAAAAAAAGAAAAAGAAGCAGGAGATGGATAATAGGAAACAACAGCAATTCCAGAAAAGAGAGTACCAGAAATAGACAGGAAGAAGTTATCAAAGAAATAATTTTGAAAATTGCCAGAACTGAGGGACATGAGTTGCCAGACTAAAAGGATCTGCTGAGTGCCACGATGGATTAAAGCACTAAGTCCAGTTACTGTAAACTTTCAGAGCACATGGGACAAAGAAAAGATTTCAAAATCTTTCAAAGAAAACTCAAGTTTCAAACACAAAAATAAGATCCACGATAGCACCAAACTTCTCTACAGGATGGTTGGAAGCCCAAAGACAATGAAGCAATGTCTTAAAAACTCAAAGGAATAGGAATTGCAACCTAACCAAACCAGCATAAATTAGTGTGAGAATATAACAATGATCTTTTTAGGCACTCAACATCTCGTATACCCTTTTTAAAGAAGGTAATGGCAGATATGACCTACCAAAATAAGACAGTAAATGAAGAAAGGTAAAAAACTGAAACCCAGCAAAAGGTAATCCAACATAAGAGACAGACAAAAGAAATCCCCAGGATGAAGATGAAAGAAAAACCCAAGATAACAGTTATGCACCAAGCATGGAGCAACCAACTCAAACTGGAGCCAATTCAGAAGGCTCAAGGAGAGATTTCTTCAACATGAAATTAATAGCTACTTTCCTCCTCCTCCTTCTCCTCCTCCTGCTCCTCCTCCCCCCTATTTTCCTTTCCCCTCTTTTTTTTCTTCTCTTTTTTCTTATAAAGTGGTTCCTTTAACATTTTTTGTCATGTAACATTTTTCCTTTATTTCAAAAGCACTGTAAGAAATAAAAATATTCGTAATAGCTAACATGAATCAGTTAGTGCTTGCTAAGTGTCGATCACCCTTAAGTGCATTATGTGTATTGTATCAACCTTCATCCTAACACTGTGAGGCAGAACTATTTGATCTTTATTCACAGATGAGAGAATGAGGCATATAGAAGTTAAGTAACTTGCCTGTTGACACATATGAGAAGGGGTAGAGTTGGCATTTCAACCAAGTCT
The DNA here is from genome assembly GCF_000001405.40 of Homo sapiens. Lineage (NCBI taxonomy): Eukaryota > Metazoa > Chordata > Mammalia > Primates > Hominidae > Homo > Homo sapiens. Next base: position 57,511,095 of record NC_000014.9, read on the forward strand.
AACTCCAAAACCTATGATCTTCATTAATGTGCTGTGTGTTAAAGAAAAACTAACTCTCTTCATTGCCTCAAATCCATGAGGTGCTCCTTGATGACAGTTCAGTGTGCATCTTGACACATATATTTTTTTGCATGTTCACATGCATATATAAACACATATATGGGGGACATTTTCTTTTTTAAAAACCCGAACCATAATACATGTTTTCATTTTATTTCAACTAACATTTATTGAATGTACATTTTGTGCTTGGCACTGTGCTAGATACTGGGATAGAATGAAAATTATGTAGTTCCTGCTTATTAGGAGCTCCTGGATTATTAAGTTAAATATCCTGGTTTATTAAAAGTTGTCATAAAAACATTTTTTCCAAAGAATTAGAGTATAATATATTTGATGTGAAATTATACTAATTATAAGCTTTCCTTTGATTCAGATACCACTTTACACTCTTGAAATGCCTTTGCCTTTTTAGTGTGAACATCAGATATCCTTGAATTACACAGCAAAAAAAAAAATCTGTTTTTGAATTTTCAGGTGTTTGGATGCTAGGGAAGTAGGTCTACACTATGCATTTAATCTGCTTCTCTGCCAGCCCATTTCTCTCAAATGTCATCCTCCTTTACACTGTGCTGATTTAATACCAACATTTTCTTGGCCCGTAGCTAGTTGCCATGTAAATGAAAAAGAAAAACCTTAGGTAATGTTGTCTAGGTTGTTGGTGTGTCTCACTCTTGGACTAGTGACAAACTTTATGGTCTATTTAGTGAGATTTTGCTTCATCACTTTACCATAAGGATACAATGGTAATAACTCAAAAATAAAGCCTGTTTAATTAAAGACAAATTGTTGGCTCAAGATTATGCTTGTTTGCTAAATGTAGCAAGAAGAAAGTAGAAGTTCTTGCAGCTGATTTGTCTTGAGAACTGCCAAGTTTTTTCTTATATGTGTTGGTCAAGTTCAGTTAGAGACAGAGCTTGAGTTGTAGCTATTTTTACTGGAATTTGAACATTGTTTCTTTGGAATTATATGTCTTAGAGAAAATGAGCCACCTGTACATCTGAATACATTTTCTCATTTGTGATATTTACCCTGCCTACCTTTCCTAGGGTTTTGAACTTTGTCTGATAACAGAAGAAAAATTACATTGATGTTAAGCTGTATGAGAGAGTAAGATAATAGATCAGTCTCCAGTTCTTTATCTGTGGAATGAAGTATTTTGTTGTGGGTGGTACTGGGCTATGTAACTTCAGGGAATATATCAAATCCTCCAAACAAGAGTTGAAATATGATCTCTTCAGCGTGACTGATGTTCTGGCGTCTGGGAGCATGTTTACTGGCTATAACAGTGTTCCAGAGGCTGCTGCTGAGCAACTGTAATTGCAATCCACAAATGATTTGTGATGAGTGTCTGAGCATGCTAGGATCATAGCAATTCATTCTGCTTCTTTATTTTTTCCCGATCAAATTTGTTGTGGGGTAGTTTACAAACAACAAAATTTATAAATGTTAAGTGTGCATTTCAACAAGTTTAGACAAATGTATACACCTGTGTAATGGGCACCTCAGTCAATATACAGAATATTTCTAACATCCCAAAGAGTTCCCCTGTGCCCCATCCTAGTCATTCTTCTCCCCATCCCACCCACCCCTGGCTAATGTGCTTTTTGTAGCTAGATTTGGATTAGATTTGTTATTACTAGAGTCTCATGTAAATGGGACCATATAGTGCATACTCTTTTGTGTCTCTTTTCTATAGCTAAGCATAATGTTTTTGAAATTTATCCATGTTGTATGTGTAGTTTGTTCATTTTTGGTGTTAAGTCATATTTCATTGTATGAATATACTGTAATTTATCTGTTTACCTGTTAATGTGGTCATTTGGGGTTGTTTCTGATCACGGGCAACTATGACTAGAGCTGCTATGAACATTTGTGTACAAGGTTTTGTGTGGACACAAGTGTCATTTCTCTTGGGTAAATGCCTAAAAGTAGAATTGTTCAGTAATATGTTGAGTGTATGTTTAACTTTTTAAGAAAATGTCAACTGGCTTTTTAGTCATTGTACTATTTTTCATTCCCACTAACAATATATGAGAGTTACAATTGTTCTACATCTTTGCCAACCCTGGTATTTTCAGCCATTTAAACTTTAGTCATTCTAGTGGGTGTACAGTGGTATCTCACTGTATTTTTTATTTGCATTTCCATTTGCTTATTTTATATCTATCCTCTCTGGTGGATTATCTTTTCAAATATTTTGCCCATTAAAATTATTTTTGGACTTATTATTGACTTCTAAGTGTTCTTTATGTATTCTGGATGATAAAAGTCTTTAACCAGGTATATAATTTGCAAATATTTTCTCCCAGTCAGTGTCTTGCCTTTTTAAAAAATTTTTTTTATTATGCTTTAAGTTCTAGAGTACATGTACACAACATGCAGGTTTGTTACATAGGTATATATATGCCATGTTGGGTTGCTGCACCCATCAACTTGTCATTTACATTAGGTATTTCTCCTAATGCTATCCCTCCCCCAGGCCCCCACCTCCCGACTGGCCCTGGTATGTCATGTTCTCCACCCTGTGTCCCATGTGTTCTCATTGCTCAACTACCACCTATGAGTGAGAACATGTGGTATTCGGTTTTCTGTCCTTGTGATAGTTTGCTCAGAATGATGGTTTCAGGTTTCATCCATGTCCCTGCAAAGGACATGAACTCATCCTTTTTTATGGCTGCGTAGTATTCCACGGTGTCTATGTGCCACATTTTCTTAATCCAGTATATCATTGATGGATATTTGGGTTGGTTCCAAGTCTTTGCTATTGTGAATAGTGCTGCAATAAACATACATGTGCATGTGTCTTTATCGTGGCATGATTTATCATTCTTTGGTTATATGCTCAGTAATGGGTCAAATGGTATTTCTAGTTCTAGATCCTTGAAGAATTGCCACACTGTCTTTCACAATGGTTGAACTAATTTACACTCCCACAAACAGTGTAAAAGCATCACTATTTCTTCACATCCTCTCTGGCATCTGTTGTTTCTTGTCTTTTTAATGATTGTCATTCTAACTGGCATGAGATGGTATCTCATTGTGGTTTTGATTTGCATTTCTCTGATGATCAGTGATAATGAGCATTTTTCCATATGTCTGTTAGCTGCATAAATGTCTTCTTTTGAGAAGTGTCTGTTCATATCCTTTGCCCACTTTTTGATGGGGTTGTTTGTTTTTTCTTGTAACTTTAAGTTCTTTGTAGATTCTGGATATTAGCCCTTTGTCAGATGGGTAGTTTGTAAAAATTTTCTCCCATTCTGTAGATTGCCTGTTTACTCTGAGAATATCTTTTGCTGTGCAGAAGCTCTTTACTTTAATTAGATCCCATTTGTCAATTTTGGCTTTTGTTGCCATTTCTTTTGGTGTTTTAGTCAAGAAGTCTTTGCCCATGCCTATGTCCTGAATGGTATTGCCTAGGTTTTCTTCTAGGATTTTTATGGTGTTAGGTCTTATATTTAAGGCTTTAATCCATCTTGAGTTAATTTTTGTATAAGGTGTAAGGAAGGGATCCAATTTCAGCTTTCTACGTGTGGCTAGCCAGCTTTCCCAGCACCATTTATTACATAGGGAATCCTTTCCCCATTGGTGGTTTTCGTCAGGTTTGTCAAAAATCAGATGGTTGTAGATATGTGGTGTTACTTCTGAGGCCTCTGTTCTGTTCCATTGGTCTATATCTCTGTTTTGGTACCAGTACCATGCTGTTTTTATTTACCGTAGCCTTGCAGTATAGTTTGAAGTCAGGTAGCATGATGCCTCCAGCTTTGTTTTGCTAAGGATTGTCTTGGCTATATGGGCTCTTTTTTGGTTCCATATGAACTTTAAAGTAGTTTTTTCCAACTCTGTGAAGAAAGTCCATGGTAGCTTGATGGGGATAGCATTGAATCTATAAATTACTTTGGGCAGTATGGCCATTTTCACTATCTTGATTCTTCCTATCCATGGGCATGGAATGTTGTTCTATTTGTTTGTGTCCTCTCTTATTTCCTTGAGCAGTGGTTTATAGTTTTCCTTGAAGAGGTCCTTCCCATCCCTTGTAAGTTGTATTCCTAGGTATTTTATTCTCTTTGTAGCAATTGTGAATGGGAGTTCACTCATGATTTGGCTCTCTGTTTCTCTGTTCTTGGCATACAGGAATGCTTGTGATTTTTGCACATTGATTTTGTATCCTGAGACTTTGCTGAAGTTGCTTATCAGCTTAAGGAGATTTTGGGCTGAGACCATGGGGTTTTCTTTTTCTTTTTCTTTTGACAATGGGGTTTTCTAAATATACAATCACATCACCTGCAAGCAGACAATTTGTCTTCCTGTTTTCCTAATTGAATACCCTTTATTTGTACAATCATGTCATCTGCAAGCAGACAATTTGACTTCCTCTTTTCCTAATTGAATACCTTTTATTTCTTTCTCTTGCCTGATTGCCCTAGCCAGAACTTCCAACACTGTTGAATAGGAGTGGTGAGAGAGGGCATCCTTGTCTTGTGCTAGTTTTCAAAGGGAGTGCTTCCAGCTTTTGCCCATTCAGTATGATATTGGCTACAGGTTTGTCATAAATAGCTCTTATTATTTTGAGATACATTCCATCAATACCTAGTTTATTGAGAGTTTTTAGCATGAAGTAGTGTTGAATTTTGTCAAAGGCCTTTTCTGCATCTATTGAGATAATCATGTGGTTTTTGTCATTGGTTCTGTTTGTGATGGATTACGTTTATTGATTTGCATCTGTTGAACCAGCCTTGCATCCCAGGGATGAAGCCCACTTGATCATGGTGGATAAGCTTTTTGATGTGCTGCTGGATTCGGTTTGTCAGTATTTTATTGAGGAGTTTCGCATTGATGTTCATCAGGGATATTGGCCTAAAATTCTTTTTTTGTTGTGTCTCTACCAGGCTTTGGTATCAGGATGATGCTAGCCTCATAAAATGAGTTAGGGAGGATTCTCTCTTTTTCTATTGATTGAAATAGTTTCAGAAGGAATGGTACCAGCTCCTTTTTGTACCTCTGGTAGAATTCGGCTGTGAATCCATCTAGTCCTGGACTTTTTTGGGTTGGTAGGCTATTAATTATTGCCTCAATTTCAGAGCCTGCTATTGGTCTATTCAGACTCAACTTCTTCCTGGTTTAGTCTTGGGAGGGTGTATGTGTCCAGGATTTTATCCATTTCTTCTAGATTTTCTAGTTTATTTGTGTAGAGGTGTTTATAGTATTCTGTGGTGGTAGTTTGTATTTCTGTGGGATTGGTGATATCCCTTGATCATTTTTTATTGCGTCTATTTGATTCTTCTCTCTTTTCTTCTTTCTTAGTCTTGCTAGTGGTCTATCTATTTTGTTGGTCTTTTCAGAAAACCAGCTCCTGAATTCATTTATTTTTTGAAGGGTTTTTTCGTGTCTCTCTCTCCTTCAGTTCTGCTCTGATCTTAGTTATTTCTTGCATTCTGCTTGCTTTTGAATTTGTTTGCTCTTGCTTCTCTAGTTCTTTTAATTGTGATATTAAGGTGTCAATTTTAGATCTTTCCTGCTTTCTCTTGTGGGCATTTAGTGCTATAAATTTCCCTCTACGCACTGCTTTAAATGTGTCTCAGATTCTGGTACGTTGTGTCTTTGTTCTCATTGGTTTCAAAGAACATCTTTATTTCTGCCTTCATTTCGTTATGTACCCAGTAGTCATTGAGGAGCAGGTTGTTCAATTTCCATGTAGTTGTGCAGGTTGAGTGAGTTTATTAATCCTGAGTTCTAATTTGGTTGCACTGTGATCTGAGAGATGGTTTGTTGTGATTTCTGTTCTTTTACATTTGCTGAGGAGTATTTTACTACCAATTATGTGGTCAATTTTAGAATAAGTGTGATGTGGTGCTGAGAAGAATGTATATTCTCTTGATTTGGGGTGGAGAGTTCTGTAGAGGTCTATTAGATCCGCTTGGTCCAGAGCTGAGTTCAAGTCCTGGATATCCTTGTTAACCTTCGATCTCAATCTGTCTAATATTGACAGTGGGGTGTTAAAGTCTCCCATTATTACTGTGTGGGAGTCTAAGTCTCTTTGTAGGTCTCTAAGGACTTGCTTTATTTATTTGGGTGCTCCTGTATTGGGTGCGTATATATTTAGGAGTGTTAGCTCTTCTTGTTGAATTGATCCCTTTACCATTATCTAGTGGTCGTCTTTGTCTGTTTTGATCTTTTTTGGTTTAAAGTGTTTTATCAGAGACTAGGATTGCAACCCCTGCTTTTTTTTTTTCTTTCCATTTGCTTGGTAGATCTTCCTCCATCCCTTTATTTTGAACCTAATGTGCAGCTTTGCATGTGAGATGGGTCTCCTGAATACAACACACTGATGGGTCTTGACTCTTTATCCAATTTGCCAGTCTGTGTCTTTTAATTGGGGCATTTAGCCCATTTACATTTACATTTGTTGTTTGAATTTGATCCTGTCATTATGATGTTAGCTGGTTATTTTGCCTGTTAGTTGATGCAGTTTCTTCCTAGCATTGATGGTCTTTACTATTTGGCATGTTTTTGCACTGGCTGGTGCCAGTTGTTCCTTCCCACATTTAGTGCTTCCTTCAGGAGCTCTTTTAAGGCAGGCCTGGTGGTGACAAAATCTCTCAGCATTTGTTTTTTTGGTAAAAGATTTTATTTCTGTTTCACTTATGAAGCTTAGTTTTGCTGGATATGAGATTCTGGGTTGAAAAATTCTTCTCTTTAAGAATGTTGAATATTCGCCCCCACTCTCTTCTGGCTTGTAGGGTTTCTGCCAAGAGATCTGCTGTTAGTCTCATGGGCTTCCCTTTGTGGGTAACCCAACCTTTCTCTCTGGCTGCCCTTAACATTTTTTCCTTCATTTCAACCTTGGTGAATCTGACAATTATGTGTCTTAGGGTTGCTCTTCTCAAGGAGTATCTTTATGGTGTTCTCTGTATTTCCTGAATTTGGCTGTTGGCTTGCTTTGCTAAGTTAGGGAAGTTCTCCTGGATAATATCTTGAAGAGTGTTTTCTAACTTGGTTCCATTCTCCCCATCACTTTCTGGTATACCTATCAGATGTAGGTTTGGTCTTTTTACATAGTCCCATATTTCTTGGAGGCTTTATTCATTTCTTTTCACTCTTTTTGTCTCTAATATTGTCTTCTCACTTTATTTCATTAATTTATCTTCGATCACTGATATCCTTTCTTCCACTTGATTGAGTCGGCTATTGAAGCTTGTGCATGCGTCACGAAGTACTTGTGCCATGGTTTTCAGCTCCATCAGGTCATTTAAGGACTTCCCTACACTGTTTATTCTAGTTAGCCATCTGTCTAACCTTTTTTCAAGGTTTTTACCTTCCTTGCAATGGGTTAGAACATGCTCCTTTAGCTCAGAGAAGTTTGTTATTACTGACTTTCTGAAGCCTGCTTCTGTCAACTCGTCAAACTCATTCTTCATCTAGTTTTGTTCCCTTGTTTGCGAGGAGCTGCAATCCTTTAGGGGAGAAGAGGCACTCTGTTTTTTGGAATTTTCAGCTTTTCTGCTCTGGTTTCTCTCCATCTTTGTGGTGTTATCTACCTTTGGTCTTTGATGTTGGTGACCTACAGATGGGGTTTTGGTGTGGATGTCCTTTTTGTTGTTGTTGATGCTATTCCTTTCTGTATGTCAGTTTTCCTTCTAACAGTCAGACCCCTCAGCTGCAGGTCTGTTGGAGTTTGCTGGAGGTCCACTCCAGACCCTGTATACCTGGGTATCACCAGTGGAGGTTGCAGAACAGCAAATATTGCTGCCTGATCCTTCCTCTGGAGGCTTTGTCCCAGAGTGGCACCCGCCTGTTTGAGGTGTCTGTTGGCCCCTGCTGGGAATTGTTTCCCAGTGAGGCTACACGGGGGTCAGGGACCTGCTTGAGGAGGCAGTCTGTCTGTTCTCAGAGCTCAAACACCATGCTGAGAGAAGCACTGCTCTCTTCAGAGCTGTCAGACAGGGACATTTAAATCTGCAGAAGCTGTCTGCTGCCTTTTGTTCTACTATGCCCTGCCCCCAGAGGTGGAATCTATAGAAGGTGTAGGCCTTGCTGAACTGCAGTGGTCTCCACCCAGTTCATGCCTCCATGCCTCTTTGTTTACAAGGTGAGCTACTGAAGCCTCAGCAATGACAGATGCCCCTCCCTCTGTCCAGCTGCAGCATCACAGGTCAATGTCAGCCTGCTGAGCTAGCAGTGAGCAAGACTCTGTGGGTGTGGGACCCAATGAGCCAGGCACAGGAGGGTATCTCCTGGTCTGCTGGTTGCTAAGACTGTGGGAATAGCACAGTATTTGTTCAGGAGTGTACCATTTCTCCAGATACAGTCTGTCATGGCTTTCCTTGGCTAGGAAAGGGAAATCCCCCAACCCCTTGCACTTTCTGGGTGAGGCGCTGCCCCACCCTGCTTCAGCTCCCCTCCATGGGTTGCACCCACTGTCCAACCAGTCCCAGTGAGACGAACCAGGTACCTCAGTTGGAAATGCAGAAATCACCCGTCTTCTGCATCAATCTCGCTGGGAGCTGCAGACCGGAGCTGTTCCTATTCAGCCATCTTGGAAGCCACAGTGGCTTGCCTTTTTATCTTTCTAAGAGTATCCTTGGAAAAGCAACAGTTTTTAAACTTTGATGAAGTCTAATTTTTATACTTGTGTGTCATATATAATATGTATTTTTTTGGTATTCTGAGAAATCTTTGCCTGTTTCACTATTTTGAAGTCTTTTATTGATCAAAATAAATTATTCACAGATGAAATGACTCTGTACCTAAAAAGAACAAAGCAATCGACTTAATAATTATAAGAGCTAATGAGAAAATTAAATAAGGGGACCAGAATGAGATTCAGATCTCAACTTTTTTTTTTTTTTTTTAATCCTTGGCCAGGGAAATTATTCATGTTCTCATCTTTATATATTTTTATTTATTTTTTAAGTTTTATTTTATTCTATTTTATTTCAGTAGTGTTTTAGGGGAACAGATGGTGTTTGGTTACATGGATAAGCTCTTTAGTTGGCGATTTCTGAGATTTTGGTGCACCCAGTACCCGAGAAGTGTATACTGTACCCAATGTACAATCTTTTATCCCTCACTCCCTTTACCCCTTCTCCCCACCAAGTCCCTAAAGTCCATTATATCATTTTCATGCCTTCACATCCTCATAGCTTAGCTTCCACATATAAGTGAGAACATACAATGTTTGGTTTTCCATTCTTGAGTTATTTCACTTAGAATCATGGTCTCCAACTCCATCCAGGTTGCTGTAATTCCTGTTATTTCATTCCTTTTTATGGCTGAGTAGTATTCCACGGTGTGTGCATGTGTGTGTGTGTGTGTGTGTATATATTAGTGTGTGTATATATATAGTGTATATAGTGTGTATATATATATATAGTGTGTGTATATATAATGTATATATATATATCACATTTTCTTTTTTTTTTCTTTAAGTTCTGGGATACATGTGCTGAATGTGCAGGTATGATACATAGGTATACATGTACCTTGGTGCTTTGCTGCATCTATCAACCCGTCATCTAGGTTTTAAGCCCTGTATGCATTAGGTATTTGTCCTAATGCTATCCTTCCCATCTCCCCCCACCCCCAACAGGCCCCATGTGTGATGTTCCCCTCCCTGTGTCCATGTGTTCTTATTGTTCAACTCCCACTTATGAGTGAGCGCATGCAGCGTATGGTTTTCTTTTCCTATGTTAGATTGCTGAGGAGTATGGTTTCTAGCTTCATCCATTTTCCCGCAAAGGAAATGAACTCATTCCTTTTTATGGCTGCTTTGTACTCCATGGTGTATATGTGCCACATTTTCTTTATCCAATCTATCATTGATGGGTATTTGGGTTGGTTCCAAGTCTTTGCTGTTGTAAATAGTGCTGCAATAAACATATATGTACATGTGTCTTTATAGTAGAATGATTTATAATCCTTTGGGTACGCACCCAGTAATGGGATTGCTGGGTCAGATGGTATTTCTGGTTCTAGGTCTTTGAGGAATCGCCACACTGTCTTCCACAATGGTTGAACTAATTTACACGCCCACAAACAGTATAAAAGAGTTCCTATTTCTCCACATCCTTGCCAGCATCTGTTTCCTGACTTTTTAATGATTGCCATTCTAACTGGCATGAAATGGTATCTCATTGTGGTTTTGATTTGCATTTCTCTAATGATCAGTGATGATGAGCTTTTTTTCATATGTTTGTTGGCTATATAAATGTCATATTTTGAGAAGTGTCTGTTCATGTCATTTGCCCACTCTTTGATGGGGTTGTTTTTTTCTTGTAAATTTGTTTCAGTTCCTTGTATATGCTGGATATTAGTCCTTTGTCAGATAGATAGATTGCAAAAATTTTGTCCCATTCTGTAGGTTGCCTGTTCACTCTGATGACAGTTTCTTTTGTTTAGCAGAAGGTCTTTAGTTTAATTAGATCCCATTTGTCAATTTTGGCTTTGGTTGCCATTGCTTTTGGTGTTTTAGTCATGAAGTCTTTGCCCATGCCCATGTCCTGAATGGTATTGCCTAGGTTTTCTTCTAGGGCTTTTATGGTTTTAGGTTTTATGTTTAAGTCTTTAATCCATCTTGAGTTAATTTTTGTATAAAGTGTAAGGAAGGGGTCCAGTTTCTATTTTCTGCATATGGCTAGCCAGTTTTCCCAGCACCATTTATTAAATAGGGGATCCTTTCCCCATTGCTTGTTTTTGTCAGGTTTGTCAAAGATCAGATGGTTGTAGATGTGTGGTATACACCACATTTTCTTTATCCACTCGTTGATTGATGGGCATTTGGGCTGGTTCCTTAGTTTTGCAATTGCGAATTGTGCTGCTATAAACATGTATGTGCACGTGTCTTTTTCATGTAACAACTTCTTTTCCTCTGCGTAGATACTCAATAGTGGGACTGCCGAATCAAATGGTAAATATACTTTTAGTTTTTTAAGGAACCTCCATACTGTTTTCCATGATGGTTATCCTAGTTTACATTCCCACCAGCAGTGTAAAAGTGTTCCCTTTTCACTGCATCCATGCCAGCATCTATTATTTTTTGATTTTTAAATTATGGCCATTCTTGCAGGAGTAAGTTGGTATTGCATTGTGGCTTCGATTTGCATTTCCCTGATAATTAATGATGTTCAGCATTTTTTCATATGCTTGTTGGCCATTTGTATATCTTCTTTTGAAAATTATCTATTCATGTCCTTAAGCCCACTTTTTGATGGGATTGTTTGTTTTTTATTGCTGATTTGTTTGAGCTCCTTGTAAATACTGAATGTTGGTCCTTTGTTGCATTCATAGTTTGTGAAGATTTTTTCCCACTCTGTGGGTTGTCTGCTTATGCTGCTTATTTTATTGTCATTTTTTTTTTTTTTTTTTTTTTTGCTGTGTGGAAGCTTTTTAGTTTAATTAAGTCTCATCTATTTATCTTTGTTTTTGTTGAATTTGCTTTTGGGTTCTTGGTCATGAAGTATTTGCCTAAGCCAATGTCTAGAAGGGTTTTTCTGATGCTATCTTCTAAAATTTTTATGATTTCAGGTCTTAAATTTAAGTCTTTGATCCACCTTGAGTTGATTTTTGTATAATGTGAGAGATGAGCCAGTTTCATTTTTCTACATGTGGCTTACCAATTATCCCAGCACCTTTTGTTAAATAGGGTGTCTTTTCCCCACTTTATATTTTTGTTAGCTTTGTCGAAGATCAGTTGGCTATAATTATTTGGGTTTATTTCTGTGTTCTCTGTTTTGTTCCATTGGTCTACGTGCCTATTTTTATACCAGTACCATGCTGTTTTGGTGACTGTAGTCTTGAGGTATAGTTTGAAATTGAGTAATGTGATGTCTCCAGATTTGTTCTTTTTGCTTAGTCTTGCTTTTGCTATGTGGGCTCTTTTCTGGTTGCGAATGAATTTTAGAATTATTTTTTCTAGTTCTGTGAAGAATGGTGGTAGTATTTTGATGGGAATTACATTTAATTTGTAGATTGCTTTTCACAGTATGGTCATTTTCACAATATTAATTCTACCTATCCATGAGCATGAAATGTGTTTCCATTTGCTTGTCATCTATAATTTCTTTCAGCAGTGTTTTCTAGTTTTCCTTGTAGAGGTCTTTCTATTGGAAAGGAGTTGAGTTCTTTATCTGATGCTCAGCTTGGTCATTGTTGGTGTATAGAAGAGCTACTGATTTGTGTACATTGAATTTGTATCCTGAAACTTTACTGAATTCATTGGTTAGATCTAGGAGCTTTTTAGATGAGACTTTAGGGTTTTCTAGGTATACAATCATATTATCAGCAAACATTGACAGTTTGACTTCCTCACTACTGATCTGGATGTCCTTCATTTCTTTCTCTTGTCTGATTGCTCTGGATAGGACTTCTAGAACTACATTGACTAGAAGAAGTGAGAGTGGGCATCCTTGTGTTATTCTAGTTCTCAGGGGGAATGCTTTCAACTTTTCCTTATTCAGTGTAATGTTGGTTGTGGGTTTGTCATAGATGGCTTTTACTGCCTTAAGATATGTCCCTTCTATGCTGATTTTGCTGAGGGTTTTAATCATAAAGAGGTGCTGGATTTTGTTAACTGCTTCTATTCAGATGATCATGTGATTTTTGTTTTTGATTCTGTTTATGTGCTGTATCACATTTATTGACTTGCCACATGTTAAATCATCCCTACATCCCTGATATAAAACCTACTTGATTATGGTGGATTTTTTTTTTGATATGCTGTTGGATTCAGTTAGCTAGTATTTTGTTGAGGGTTTTTGCATCTGTGTTCATTGGTCTATAGGTTTCTTTTTTTGTTGTGTCCTTTTCTGGCTTGGGTATTAGGGTGATACTGGCTTCATAGAATGACTTAGGGAGGATTTTTCTATATCTGTTGGAATAGTTTCAATAGGATTGATACCAATTCTTTTTTGAATGTCTGATAGACTTCAGCTGTGAATTCATCTGGTCCTGGACTTTTTTTTGGGTGGCAACTTTTAAATTACCATTTCAATCTTGCTGCTTGTTATTCATCTGTTCAGAGTTTCTATATTTTCCTGGTTTAATCTAGTCGGGTTGTATGTTTCCAGGAATTTATCCATCTCCTCTAGGTTTGCTAGTTTGTGTGTGTAAAGGTGTTCATAGTAGCCTTGAATGATCTTTTCTATTTCTGATTTATTGGTTGTGATATCTCCTGTTTTGTTTCTAATTGAGCTTATTTGGATCTTCTCTCTTCTTTTCTTGGTTAATCTTGATAATAGTCTATTAATTTTGTTTATCTTTTCTAATAACGAGCTTTTTGTTTCATTTGTCCTATGTATTTTTTTTGTTTTAATTTCATTTAGTTCTGCTCTGATCTTATTTCTTTTGCTGGGTTTGGGTTTTGTTTGTTCTTGATTCTCTAGTCCCTTGAAGTGAGACCTTAAATTGTCTATTTGTGTTCTTTCAGACTTTTTGATGTAGGCATTTAATGCCATGAACTTTCTTCTTAGCATCAATTTTGCTGTATCCCAGAGGTTTTGATAGGTTGTGTCACTATTATTCAGTTCAAAAAATTTTAAAATTTTCCTCTGGATTTCATTGTTGACCCAATGATCACTCAGGAGTAGATTCTTTAACTTCCATGTATTTGCATGGTTTTGAGAATTCCTTTTGGAGTTGATTTCCAATTTTTTTCCACTGTGGTCTGAAAGAGTACTTGATATGATTTCAATTTTTTAAAATTTGTTGAGGCCTGTTTTGTGGCCTATTGTATGGTCTATCTTGAAGAATGTTCCATGTGTTGATGACTAGAATGTATAGTCTGCATTTGTTGGGTAGGATGTTCTATAAATATCTGTTAAGTCCATTTGTTCTAGGGTATAGTTTAAGTCCATTGTTTCTTTGTTGACTTTGTGTCTTGATGACCTGTCTAGTGCTGTCAGTGGAGTATTGGAGTCTCCCCCACTATTATTGTGTTGCCATCTATCTAATTTCTTACGTATAGTAGTAATTGTTTTATGTATTTGGGAGATCCAGTGTTAGGTGCATATATATTTAAGATTGTGATATTTTTCTGTTGGACTAGTCCTTTTATCATTATATAACGTCCACCTTTGTCTTTTTTTTTTTTTAACTGTTGTTGCTTTAAAGTCTGTTTTGTCTGATATAAGAATAGCTACTCCTGCTCATTTTTGGTGTCCATTTGCAGGGAATATCTTTTTCCACCTCTTTACCTTATTTGAGTCCTTTTGTGTTAGGTGAGTCTCTTGAAGACAGCAGATTCTTGATGGGTGAATTCTTATCCATTCTGCCATTCTGTGCCTTTTAAGTGGAACATTTAGGCCATATACATTCAATGTTCATATTGAGATGTGAGGTACTATTGTCTTCATCTTGCTAGTTGTTGCCTAAATACCTTGGTTTTTTTTTTCATTGTGTTATTGTTTTATAGGCCTTGTGGGATTTATGCTTTAAGGAGGTTCTATTTTGGTGTATTTTGAGGTTTTATTTCAAGATTTAGAACTTCTTTGAGCAGTTCTTGTAGTGTTGGCTTGGCAGTGGTGAATTCTCTCAGCATTTATTTGTCTGAAAAAGGCTTTATCTTTGCTTCATTTATGAAGCTTAGTTTCACTGGATACTGTTTTGTTTAGTGAGGCTAAGATAGGACCCCACTCCCTTCTAGCTTATAGGGTATCTACAGGGAAATCTGCTGTTAACATGATAGGTTTTTCCTTTATAGGTTACCCAATGCTTTTATCTCACAACTCTAAAGATTCTTTTCTTCGTCTTGACTTTAGATAACCTGATTACTATGTGTCTTGGTGATGATCTTTTTGCTATGAATTTCCCAGGTGTTCTTTGTGTTTCTTGTATTTGGAAGTCTAGATCTCTAGCAAGGCCAGGGAAGTTTTCCTCAATTATTACCTCAGATATGTTTTCCAAACCTTTAGTTTTATCTTCTTCCTTGGGAACAGCAATTATTCTTAGGTTTGCTCATTTAACATAACTCCAAACTTCTTGGAGGCTTCATTTTTTTTTTTTTAATTTTTTTTTTATCTTTGTTGGATTGGGTTAATTCAAAAGCCTTGTCTTAGAGGTCTGAAGTAACTTCTTCTACTTGTTTGGTTCTATTGTTGAAACTTTCCAGTGTATTTTGTATTTCTCTAAGTTTGTTTTTTATTTCCAAAAGTTTTGATTATTTTTTATTGATGCTATCTGTTTCTCTGGAGATTTTTTGTCCATCTCCTGTATTATTTTTAAAATTTCCTTAAATTGTTTTTCACTTTTCTGTGGTGCCTCCATGAGTAGCTTAATAATCCACCTTCTAAATTCTTTATATTTAATTTTTTATGTCCATAGGTTGACCTTCTGAATTATTTTTCTGGCAATTCAGAGATTTCTTCTTGGTTTGGACCCATTGCTGGTGAGCTAGTATCATCTTTTTGGAGTGTTAAAGAACCTTGCTTTATCATTACCAGAATTGGTTCCTTCTCATTTGAGTAGACTCTGTCAGAGGAAAGATCTGGGATTCTACAGCTGCCGTTCAGATTCTTTTGTCCCATGGGGTGATCCCTTTATGTGGTGCTCTTCCCCTTTCCCTAAGGATGGGGCTTCCTAAGAGCCAGACTACAGTGATTGTTATTGCTCTTCTGGGTCTAGCCTCCCAGTGAAGTTACTGGGCTCCAGGCTGGTACTGAGGAGTGTCTGTAAAGAGTCCTGTGACAGGATTCATCTTCAGGTCTCTCAGCTGTGGATACTAGCACCTGCTCCAGTGGAGGTAGCAGGACAGTGAAATGAACTCTCTGAGGGTACTTGGTTGTAGTTTTGTTTGGTGCACTGTTTTTTTTTTTTTTTTTTTTAAATGCTGGTTGTGTTAGCAGTGAAGTTGTCATGTGGACAGATTCAGGACCTCTGGTTAGCCAGGATGTTACAGGCAGTGGAATTAGCTGTTTTGTCTTTTCTTGGAGAAGTGTTGTTCTGTTTTGAGTTGTGGTAGTGACTTGAGTTAGTTGGCCCTTGGCCAGGAGGTGGCGCTTTCAAGAGAACATGAGCTGTGGTAGCACAGGGGGATACAAGCTTGCCTTAAGGTCGCCTGGACAAGTATTTGGGTTTCTAAGATGATGGGTGGAGTCATAGAGCTCCCAAGAGATTATGTCTTTTGTCTTTGGCTACAAGGGCGGGTAGAGAAGTACCATCAGGTCAGAGCAGGGTTAAGTGTGTCTGAGCTCAGACTCTCCTTGGGCAGAGCTTAGTGTGGCCACTGTGAGGGATGAAGGTGTGGTTTTCAGGCCAATGGTGTTATATTCCCAGGGGAATTATGGCTGCCTCTGCTCCATCATTCAGGTCATCAGGGAAGTTGGGGGAAACTGGCAGTGACAGGCTTCACCCAGTTCCCATGCAGCCAGCAAGACTAGTCTCACTGCATCACCAGCATCAAGTTTATATCCAGGCAGCCAGTGAGCAGGGCTGAGCTCTTGTCCCAGGCTACAAGCCTTGCCACTGAGAAAGCAAGCAGGCCTTTCAGGCCCCACCCTTCCCTGCCTGCTGCAGCTCCTGTGCTTGTATCTACTTCCCATTCTTTCCTGGGCAGAATCTCCCCCCACCCCAGAATTCTGCCCAGGGAAGACTGTGTTTGGTCGAAATTATTACAAAGTTCAGCTATTAGTTTCCTTCTCCTTGTGGTCCTTTCCCAGTTCCACTAGCAGCCCTCCCCAAGGACCTTTGTGAGACAAAATCAGAAATGGCTTTCCTGGGGACCGGGAGTGCCCACAGGGCTCTTCCTACTACTTCTTCTACCTTTATATTTTGCTTGGCTCTCTAAATTCATTTCAGCTCTAGGTAAGGTTTAGATCTTTCTCCTATTATATGGAATTTCCAGGTTCCCCAGTGAGGATGTGTGTTTGGAGGCAGACCTTCCCCCCTCACGCTGTGGGCCCTCAGTTTTTTGTCTGTCTCGTGGAGCTTGCAGGAGCAAGCCACTTTTTTCAAAGGGTCTGTGGATTCTTTTGGTTTTCTTGGTATGTTCCTGTGGTAGTTCTTGGAGCAGAAGTTCATGATATGAGCCTCCACACACTATTCCATCTGTCTGAGTGGGAGCTACAAGTTAGTAGCTGCCTCCTAGTAACCATTTTCCTTGGAAATCCTCAACTTTCTTGTATGTGCATTAGTCAGGGAATTGGGCAGCATGGCCCACATATTCAAAAGGGGTGACTAAAGACAGTGTGATGAAGGGACTGTTCACACAGGGGTGGGCAGGGTTAACCACTCTAACAACAGCAGGAAGCCATTACTAATTCTAGGCCTGAAGGGTCAGAGGAAAGACCTCTCCTATAGGAGAGGTCCACCTGACAGGAGCTTTTCAGTCTTTGGTAGAGGAATACAGCCACCACCAACACATGACCCAGCAGAGACAGGGAGATAGGGGAACAAATACTTCAATCTCTCTCTCCTTCTATCCTTTGACTCTCTGTTGGTGCCTCCCATTAGCCAAACTCACCTGGAAGCCAAATGGCAAGGAAGCCCATCTTATGAGACCCATAAAGATCAGCCTCTCAGAGCTGACTGTTGGCTCATTGGCATGAGGAACCCAAATTGACTAAGGGGAAATCTCAGCTTCTGATTTAATGGAACATTGACTGGGTTTACTGGTGAAACTATTTTGCCCTGGGGCGGGATGTCTTACAGAACCATTAAGTCTAAAGTTGCAGCATTAACATAGGCAGCAAAAATACCTTATGTGGGTTATTAAATTTAATAGTGAGAGTAACCACTCTCACTTCCACCTCTTGCTTCCCAGATAAGGAGCATTCTTGCTATGAGGAGATGGCACTATTTATTTGCCTGTAGGTTAGTACATTTAGGAAGGCACCGTACCTGCAGTATTAGCCTTTAAGCTTGGCTCCCAGAAGTCTCAGCCCTGGGCTATAGGAGATATGGTGTCTTTCAGAGCAGTTATAGAAGTTTACTGACAACCTATGCAGATCTTTAGCTGGAAATGTAAAGCCCTAAGCTCATCATTTTCTTTTTTTCTCTAAGTTCTCTAGCTATCTTAGAAGCAACCAACCAACTCTATAGTCCTTAGACTAGATTCCCACTAAAATGTTTAATAGCAGCAACTACTTGGCCACCCTAAGTCTTCCTTTCTATAGCGACTTGACTTCAGGTGACTAGAGACAGAAATTTAGGTAACTATTTTGTCACTCCATTCCATGGATTATATGTGTACTTTTTACCAATGGAAACATGACCACTGATACTTTTCAATCTTAAAAGATTGGAGAACCAGTTCCAGATTCCTGTCTTCATCATTCTGTTCCCCTGGAACCATTTCTGGTATCAATACCTTTCAATCAAGATTTAGGAAGGAGAACAGAGTACCTTGAAAATGATGGGACAAGTGATTTATTATAGGAATTAGACCTTACATAATTATGGGGGAGATACAGAAATGCAGGTCTGGAAGGATCAGAGAAGGATCACCAACCAGGCAACATTGAGAAGTCAAATACTTCCAGCTGCCAAAGGAGGCCATGAGCAGAAGAGTGCACAGAGAGGTCTGTGGGAGGCAGTTGCCTCTGTCTAGCTATCCCCTCTGCAGGTCTGTCGCCAAGCATTTGGTAGTAGTGGGTCTGGGGTCACTTTTGGTCAGGAGAGCCATCAGGCAGGAAGAATAATTGGATGTGTAAAGCAAGGACAGGAGGGAACCTGCTGGGCACCTCTGTGTCTGTACACACACCTGACCAAAAAATACTTAGGAGAATAATGACTGCAGTTTTACTTCTGCCTTCTGAATTTCACATACATTTTTATTTTTTCCAACTCTTAACTGAAGCCAGATAAGGAACAGCATTTTTAGAAATGTAATTCCCAAAGAGATCAAGTTGACATAGCCAGTGATCGTCAGACTTTTGGTTTTCCAGATCAGTAATGTATTTTTAAAATTGGTGGTAGGAGAAGGGTGGAGAATCATGAAAACTTCTATTATTTTATAAAAGACAGAATGTTGTTAGTGCTAAAACTAATGGAGGCCATGTCAAAATATAAAATAATCTTTTAAATGGGAAAATATATATAGATTTGTGAAACATTCACTACTATTCTCTTTATTTTTATTATTTTACACCAAAACTTCATTTCAGACCAGTCTAAGGGAATTGCTTAGGCAACATCAGGGATTTTTCTTGCCCAGTCCCAAACCAATAACAGGTTCAGTAATATTTCTGCCTTTCAAGAAGATGATTTCTTCAGCCCATGGCTTTCCCAGTTGGGGTAAACTATCTGAACTAATCTGTGTGATTTTAATATTTCCATCTTTAGGGCAGTGGTGAAACTTCTCGTTGAACTAGAGAAGGGCACTGGCAAACAGAGATGATGGACAAACTCCACACCAAACTACTCCAGAGCATGTGATTATGTGGTTTTGTTGCCCAAAGCTACTCAAGGTTACAGGACTGGGGCATTTGAATGGGAACTTCTTTTTCCATGGTTTCCTGACACCATTGATCCCTCCTTGATTGATCTAACTCAGGATTTCTAACTCTACCATAATTAACCTCTTGGGCTGGATAATACTACATTGTGGGGGATTGTCTTGGGCATTCTGAGATATTTAGCAACATTCCTGGTCTCTACCTACTAGATGTCAGGAGTGCCTTCCCCACAATTGTGACAACCAAATCATAGATCCAGGCATTGCCAAATGTTCACTAGAGAGTAAAACCACATCCCTTCCCACATTGAGAACCAGTGATCTAACTTTAAGCTGAATGCAAATATAAAAATACAAAGGATACAGAAATGTCCTAGATAAAGTCAGGAGAAATCCCTTTGGGCTGCTATGCTTAGAGAAAGCAAGCATTGAATGACAGGGAAAGAGCAAACACATGCTTAACTGGTGTAGCAGGCACCTAGATGCCCTCCATTGCAGCCCCTGGCTACATCTGATTTTGATGGCAACTGCAGTGAACGGTTTTCTGTGAATGCCAAGTCACCTTGCACTGATTCCATTACCAGGGGAGCCTGCTGAGCCAGCGCACAAGCATAGCCTATAAGTACTATGTCCTACATGTGTGTGTGTGATGGGGGAAGGATGTTAACACCCTTGGGGGCAGGCAACTAATAGGGATAGAACTCAGGGGGTAAACTCTGTTTCCCCTTTTTCGGGGCAGACCATTCTGGGAGGCATTCAGAATGATTCCTGAAGGGCCTTATGGAATTGAGACCTCATTGTTCACAGTGGGGACCTCAGTGTTGCACCCTAATATCAGCTTTCCCTCTTTGCCACTTCATTCTCCTCATCCCTCATCACCAAACCACCGAAGTGTTTAACCCAAGCTGTGTTTCAGGGATACCTAAACTAAGACATCAGCCTTTCCAATTTTTACAACAAGTTCTATCTACCATCTACAAATACATTGCGTGCAACATCTAGCCATTTAGAAGAAATGGTATTTTGTTGCTTTTCAGTTTGTTTCCACAGCAAAATTAAAGACACTATCAATGAGATAAAAGGACATTGTTTTTCTTTTCCCTTTCAACCTGCTACATATTGTTGAATCTGTTCATTCATTAACAAATATTTCTTAGGCACTTACTGGTCTCGGAGCTGGAGGATATACATTACTAAATACACGGCCAAAAATCCATGCCTTATGGAGCTTTTAATTTTAATAAGGAAAGACTATACACTAAGTAATTCAGTTGTTATAGTAAGTTAGAAGATGAAGGCAAGTGGCTATTGGAAGTGGGACGGATAGTCCTGGAACCTAAATCCCCAAATCGGATGTTTCCGCACCTGGCTTTGTTTGCTTGCCACAGCCTTGCCTGATCTCCTGGACATGCCTTGTCTTTTGCTGTCCCCCAACATAACTCCACATTTCTAGCAAATAAGTCCTTTCTCTCTATTTTTCGAACAAGCCTTTCTTTCCTGAAAATTGAGCATCCCCACTCCTGCAGCAGTTAGTGTTTCCTAGCTTCAGTCACTCCCAGTGCCTCCCTGAAGCCATCCTCTTTGACTGTGGGTTGCGATGTGTTCTTGGCCTAAGCTTTCAGTCTCTTGTATTCCTGGGACATCTCCTCCTCCTGCTACTAGACCCCATCTGCCTCTCCCACATGCACACAGCATTGGTGGTACAGCCATTGTTTCTGATCCTGACTTGCAAGTTTACATTTTCCATGGGGTGAATCTCAGGATGAGTGAAGTGAAGCAATAATATCTCACTCAACAAAAGATGTGTTCGGTTGCTGGGGCACAAAGAATGTGCACAGTTGGGAGGTAGAAATGGAATGGCTGCAGAAGTAGACTGAAGTGAGGCCAGGAGGATGATTTGCACGGGGATGTCACATATTTTCCCTTGGAGAAATTAGTGCATCTCATCCCACAAGATTTGGATATTAATTCTGACTTGGAAACAAAGGATGATTGTCAGGGTACAGATAAAACACCCTTTTCTCCTTGCCTGGAGAAACTGATGTTTTCTGGTTCCTGGGACAAGGACTAGCTCCGTCATGGTTTTGAAATACAGGTCTTAGGAATCACACTTCTCATGTCCCAGGGCCTATGATGGTGATAGATAGGTGCTCTATGTGTGTCTGCAAAGTCCTAGAAGCAGTGCATGGCCCACATCTTTGGAACCCACTGTAAAGCCTGGAATTATGCATTAGATCTTGTCTAACCTTGATACCCAGGGCAATTAGGGGCTAACACTGCCTCAGGAGTGCACCAGTGTGGAGTGGAGTGTGGCACTGAGTCGGTGTGGAACTGCCTCAGGCCTCATGGACTGCCTAACTCTCCCAGCTGCCAGTTCATCCTCAGCAATTCTAATATTTGCTATGGGAGCCCAGGGAAAGGCTCCAGGGCAAGGCATCCAGGCTCATGCTTTCTTTCGAGTAATTTCTAGCCTGATTGTCACAATAGAGGCAAATCTCAAATCCAAGTCAGCTCAGAAAATTCTCCTGGGAGTCCCAAGGAAGCAGTGAAAGTCATAAACACAGGTAACATTTCTATTAATAGTTCCTTTTAATATCTGTGGGGTGCTTTTAGCGGTTTGTAAAGCACTTGCATAATTCAGCCCTAGGAAGGTCTGCCAGATGAGAAATAAGCTCACAGAGGTCATAAAAGAAATACATGTAGGATTCAAGACTTAGATTCAGTTGTTTTGACACCAAAGCCTGTGCTTTCTATACCTTATTACATTTTGCCTAAATATTTGTCAGCCATTTCTTCTGGGACTACTATTTTTCACTAAATTAAAACTCATGAGCCTTGAATTCAAGTCCCAGTTTGGCCACTAGATGGCTGTGTGACCCTGAGCCATCTCCTTAACTTCTCTGGCCTTGGATTCTGTTAAACAAAGGGCTCACAGTTGATGCTACATTGATACTGTTTTACAGCGCTCAAAGTCTCAGGTGAATACCATCCTAAAAGGATGGTGGGACTACCTATTAGGTGCCACTGAAGACAGCCTTTCCAAAAAGTGAGCTCCAATTCTGAGTGCTCCATTAGGGCTTCACTTTTTAAAAAATTTTTTTGGTATTTTTAACATTTAAGTTCAGGGATACATGTACAGGTTTGTTACATAGGTAAACTTGTGTCATGGGCAGTTTGTTGTACACATTATTTCATCATCCAAGCATTAAGCCCAGTAACCATTAGTTATTTTTCCTGATCCCCTGCCTCCTCCTATGCTCCACCCTCTGATGTCCCCACTGTGAGTCGTTCCCCTCTATATGTCCATTTGTTCTCATCACTTAGCTCCCACTTATAAGTGAGAATATGAAGTATTTGGTTTTCTGTTCCTGTGTTAGTTTGCTATGGATAATGGACTGTAGCTCCCTCCATGTCCCTGCAAAAAACATGATATCATTCTTTTTGATGGCTGCGTGGTATTCCATGGTGTATATGTACCACATTTTCTTTATCCAGTCTATCATTGGTGGGCATTTAGATTGATTCCATGTCTTTGCTATTGTGAAGTACTGCAATGAACATACATATGCATATGTCTTTATAACAGAACAATTTATATTCTTTGGGGTTTAGAGTAATGAGATTTCTGGGTCAAATCGTAACTTTGTCTTTAGGTCTTTGAGGAATTGCCACAGTGTCTTCCACAATGGATGAACTAATCTACATTCCCACCAACAGTGTATAAGCATTCCTTTTTCTCCACAGTGTTGTAGAGTTTGACTTTTATAAAGTCAATTCTTAGAGATTTAACCTAAGAATCCTATAGTTCTCACTGACCATAACTTTGTGTGTCTGTTTTAGTTATCTACTACTATGTAACCTAAAAGTAGAGGCTTAAGACAATCAGGATTTAATATTTCTCGCAACTCTGTGTTGAGTGGGTTCAGCTAGGCAGTTTTTCTGCTTTCTCTGGGGCCACTCAATGCGGCTATATTCAGCCGGAAACTAGTTGGGTCTAGAATGTTCAAGATAGCCTCACTCATGTACTGGGGTCTAGATTCTAGCTATTGGCTGGCGATCTCGGCTCTCCTTAACTTGTCTCTCCAGCAGGACAGCTTGGATTTCTTTACATGGCAGCTTAGAGCTTTGAAGAAGGTGAAAATGCAAGCTGCAAGGCCTCTTAAGGCCTAGACTTAAAAGTCATACAGTATCACTTTTTTTTATTTTTCTCATTTTTAAAAAATTTTATTATTATACTTTAAGTTTTAGGGTGCATGTGCACAATGTGCAGGTTAGTTACATATGTATACATGTGCCATGCTGGGGTGCTGCACCCATTAACTCGTCATTTAGCATTAGGTATATCTCCTAATGCTATCCCTCCCCCCTCCCCCCACCCCACAACAGTCCCCAGAGTGTGATGTTCCCCGTCCTGTGTCCATGTGTTCTCATTGTTCAATTCCCACCTATAAGTGAGAACATATAGTGTTTGGTTTTTTGTCCTTGCGATAGTTGGCTGAGAATGATGATTTCCAATTTCATCCATGTCCCTACAAAGGACATGAACTCATCCTTTTTTATGGCTGTATAGTATTCCATGGTGTATATGTGCCACATTTTCTTAATCCAGTCTATCATTGTTGGACATTTGGGTTGGTTCCAAGTCTTTGCTATTGTGAATAGTGCCGCAATAAACATACGTGTGCATGTGTCTTTATAGCAGCATGATTTATAGTCCTTTGGGTATATACCCAGTAATGGGATGGCTGGGTCAAATGGTATTTCCAGTTCTAGATCCCTGAGGAATCGCCACACTGACTTCCACAATGGTTGAACTAGTTTACAGTCCCACCAACAGTGTAAAAGTGTTCCTATTTCTCCACATCCACTCCAGCACCTGTTGTTTCCTGACTTTTTAATGATTGCCATTCTAACTGGTGTGAGATGGTATCTCATTGTGGTTTTGATTTGCATTTCTCTGATGGCCAGTGATGATGAGCATTTTTTCATGTGTTTTTAGCTGCATAAATGTCTTCTTTTGAGAAGTGTCTGTATCACTTTTAAAAAAATTTTTACTTTAAGTTCTGGGATACATGGGCTGAACGTGCAGGTTTTTTACATAGGTATACATGTGCCATGGTGGTTTGCTGCACTTATCAACCCATCATCTAGGTTTTAAGCCCAGCATGCATTAGGTATTTGTCCTAATGCTCTCCCTTCCCTTACCCCTCACCCTCCGCCCCACCCGACAGGCCCCATTGTATGATGTTCCCCTCCCTGTGTCCATGTGTTCTCATTGTTCAACTCCCACTTATGAGTGAGAACATGAAGTGTTTGGTTAGGACCACCCAAGATTCAAGGGAGAGAGAAAATGGTGGCATTTCCTCTTGGTGGAAGTAGTGGCAATGACCAATTGCAACCGAATAAGCAGCAGGTCATCTTTAAAAACAATCTGCAAAAGGAGAAGGAAAATATCTATGGAAGAACTGGTAATTCAAGAAAGTGGCATGAGCAGAAGACTTGGGGTCCCTGGGTGTGCTCTATCTCTCAGAGGTCTCCTTAGATTGCACTGTCACTTCCTGAGGAAATCATGGGCTTCTGGAGAGGCATTTATAGAATGGAATAATTATTACCAGTTGTCTGCCTTCAGCCACCACTGTCCTCCCACAAGGTCCTTCCCCTCTCTTCACTCTCTGCTGTTCCCTGCACCAATCTCCTGACTCTCACCTGCCACTCTTACTGGCTCGTCAAACCCTATATTTGAACTACATCATTTTTCTCGGAAACAAGAATCTGGTTGAGAGTCTTCTTCATCTGCAACTTAAATGTATGTACACATACACATTCAAGGCTGTACCTTTTATGAATCATTAGAGAGTGTGTCATCCAGGAGCCACTACTGGCTATCATAGGTTTTTCTTTATAATTTGGATTTTTGTTTGTTGGCTTTTGTTTGTTTGCTTTTCTACAAAAGCTTGCATTCCCCAATTGTGCCATGGGCCCCAAGAAACTACTGCTTTCCACCAAGGCTATCCCTCTTTCACTTATTCCTTTTATCTGCCAGGCTCCTGAGGGAAATTATGTTTGCATCCTTGACCTAGTTCAACACGTCCAATTAGGTAAGGAAATAAGGCCCAGAGAGGTGGGATGATTTCATTTTCTAAACAAAACAAAATTAAAGGAGCCACCCAACCACTGTTTTCTTGTTTATTATGTTTTCATCTTTTTTTTTTTTGAGACGGAATTTCACTCTTGTTGCCCAGGCTGGAGTGCAATGGTGGGATCTCAGCTCACCACAACCTCCACCTCCCAGGTTCGAGTGATTCTCCTGCCTCAGCCTCCCAAGTAGCTGAGACTACAGGCCTGTGCCACCACGCCCAGCTAATTTTGTATTTTTAGTACAGACCGGGTTTGTACTAAACCCATGTTGGTCCATGTTGGTCAGGCTGGTCTCCCTACCTCAGGTGATCCGCCTGCCTCGGCCTCCCAAAGTGCTGGGATTACAGGGTGACCCACTGCGCCCGACCTGTTTTCATCTTTTTGACAACATAGTGGTAGAGTTCATAGATAAGGAAGTCAATATTTGGGGTGTTAAAAATGGCCTACATCCTAGATCTCCTGGTTCCACTTCCAGGATACTTTTCCATACAGCAGCTGGGGTTGGCCTGGAGCATAAAGAAATGTGTGTTTGCTGTTCCTTATGTTAGACCAGCATTTTCCTAGGATTCTATAGCATCATCTTGATTCTCCCTAGGCTCAGCCCCTAAGTACGGAGCAGACTTCATTTTCTGTCCTTGAATAGCCCTGTGCAAATGAAGTTGTTTATAGATTCATGAATCATTTATTTATCTATTACTTCATTTATCTTATTTATTTTTTGAGACAGGGTCTCCCTCTGTTGCCCAGGCTGGAGTGCAGTGACACAATCTCACCTCATTGCAGCCTCCAACTCCCAGGCTCAGGCAATCCTCCCATCTCAGCCTCCTGAGTAGCTGGGACTATAGGCGTGTGTGAACATGCCCAGCTAATTTTTGTATTTTTCGTAGAGATGAGGTCTCACGATGTTGCCCAGGCTAATCTCAAACTTCTAGACTCAATTGATCCACCTGCTTCAACCTCCCAAAGTGCTGGGATTATAGGCATGAGTCATCACACCTGGCCTTCATTTATATCTTAAAGCAACTTAAAAAAACAAATGTGAAATTCAAGTGAGCAATATCACCTTGTGCAAACACTGCAAGAATGTGTCTTTCATCTTGCATTGTATACTTCTATAGAGTAGGATTCAAGTCATTCATTTGCTTCAGCATCCAAGACAAAGAGAAGAAAGTAGTCAGTGCTCGATAAATAGTTGAAGGCATGAATGGATTTTTAGGGGGCACCACAAGTGAGGCTCCTTTGCTTTCTCCATGGATAAGTAGTTAGAGACTTAGAGGAGGACTGACCTCTTCCTCTAACTGGCTTCATAATCTGATGCAAACAGTTTTAACCTGTCAGCTTCACTTTTCTCACCTCTAAGATGAGAAGATTAGAAAGTATAAACTCTTGTGCTTCTATTTGAAAATGCTGTAACTATTTCATATAATATTGCATCAGGAAATGGGAAAAGTACTTTGACCAAATAATTTATAAGTTTCAGTATCAGTTTCTCATTTTCTGAATTCTGAAGTTTAAACCCTCCTACTTAAAGAAGAAGATGAAGCAGTGGTTCGTAAGAGACATCCTTGGGAAGTTACACTTGAGTTGAAGAAATACATTGCCTCATCCTACGTTGCTATTGAGTGTGGGTCCTTGTGGTTCATTTTTTAAAATTATACTTTAAGTTCTGGGGTACATGTGCAGAACGTGCAGTTTTGTTACATAGGTATACACATGCCATGGTGGTTTGCAGGACCCATCAACCCATCACTACATTAGGTATTTCTCCTAATACTATCCCTCCCCTAACCTCCCCACCCACTGACAGACACTGGTGTGTGATGCTTCCCTCACTGTGTCTATGTATTCTCATTGTTCAACTCCCACTTATGAGTGAGAACATGCAGTGTTTGATTTTTTGTTCCTGTGTTAGTTTGCTGAGAGTGATGATTTCCAGCTTCATCCATGTCTCTGCAAAGAACATGAATTCATCTTTTATGGCTGCATAGTATTCCATGGTGTATATGTGCCATAAATTCATTCTTTCTTTCTTTCTTTCTTTCTTTCTTTCTTTCTTTCTTTCTTTCTTTCTTTCTTTCTTTCTTTCTTTCTTTCTTTCTCTCTCTCTTTCTCTCTCTCTTTCTTTCTTTCTCTCTTTCTTTCTTTCTTTTTAATTATACTTTAAGTTCTAGGGTACATGTGCACAACGTGCAGGTTTGATACATAGGTATACATGTGCCATGTTGGTTTGTTGCACCCATCAACTCGTCATTTACATTAGGTATTTCTCCTAATGCTATCCCTCCCCCAGCCCCCCATCCCTCTGACAGGCCCTGGTGTGGGATGTTCCCCGCCCTGTGTCCAAGTGTTCTCATTGTTCAATTCCCACCTGTGAGTGAGAACATGTGGTGTTTGGTTTTCTGTCTTTGTGATAGTTTGCTGAGAATGATGGTTTCCAGCTTCATCTATGTCCCTGCAAAGGACAGGAACTCATCCTTCTTCATGGCTGCATAGAATTCCAAAGTGTATAGTGCCATAGTTTCTTTATCCACTCTATCATTGATGGGCATTTGGGTTAGTTCCAAGTCTTTGCTGTTGTGAACAGTGCCACAGTAAACATACATGTGCATGTGTCTTTATAGTAGAATGATTTATATGACCCAGTAATGGGATTGCTGGGTCAAATGGTATTTCTAGTTCTAGATCCTTGAGGAATAGCCACACTGTCTTCCATAATGGTTGAAATAATTTACACTCTTACCAACAGTGTAAAAGATTTCCTATTTCTCCACATCCTCTCCAGCATCTGTTGTTTCCTGACTTTTTAATGATCACCATTCTAACTGGTGTGAGATGATATCTCATTGTGGCTTTGATTTGCATTTCCCTAGTGACCAGTAATAATAAGCTTTTTTTCATATGTTTGTTGGCTGCATAGATGTCTTCTTTTGATAAGTGTCTGTTCATATCCTTTGCCCACTTTTTGATGGGGCTGTTTTTGTCAAGTAAATTTATTTAAATTCTTTGTAGATTTGGGATATTAGCACTTTGTCAGATGGATAGATTGCAAAAATTTTCTCCCATTCTGTAGGCTACCAGTTGACTCTGATGATACTTTCTTTTGCTGTGCAGAAGGTCTTTAGTTTAATTAGATCCCATTTGTCAATTTTGGCTTTTGTTGCCATTGCTTTTGGTGTTCAGACATGAAGTCTTTGCCCATGCCTATGTCCTGAATGGTATTGCCTAGGTTTTCTTTGGGATTTTTATGGTTTTAGGTCTTACATTAAAGTCATTAATCCATCTTGAGTTAATTTTTGTGTAAGGTGTAGGGCAGGGATCCAGTTTCAGTTTTCTGCATATGGCTAGCCAGTTTTCCCAATACCTCTTATTAAATAGGGAATCCTTTCCCCACTGCTTGTTTTTGCCAGGTTTGTCGAAGATCAGATGGTTATAGATGTGTGGTGTTATTTCTGAGGCCTCTGTTCTGTTCCATTGGTTTATATATCTGTTTTAATACCAGTATCATGCTGTTTTGGTTACTGTAGCCTTGTGGTATAGTTTGAAGTCAGGTAGCATGATGCCTCCAGCTTTGTTCTTTTTGCTTAGTATTATCTTGGCTATGCAGGCTCTTTTTAGGTTTCATATGAAGGTTAAAGTAGTTTTTTCCAATTCTGTGAAGAAAGTCCCTGGTAGCTTGATGGGGATAGCATTGAATCTATAAATTACTGTGGGCAGTATGGCCATTTTGACGATATTGATTCTTCCTATCCATGGGCATGGAATGTTGTTCTATTTGTTTGTGTCCTCTCTTATTCCTTGAGCAGTGGTTTGTAGTTTTCCTTGAAGAGGTCCTTCCCATGCCTTGTAAGTTTTATTCCTAGGTATTTTATTCTCTTTGTAGCAATTGTGAATGGGAGTTCACTCATGATTTGGCTCTTTGTTTGTCTGTTCTTGGTGTATAGGAATGCTTGTGATTTTTGCACATTGATTTTGTATCCTGAGACTTTGCTGAAGTTGCTTATCAGCTTAAGGAGATTTTGGGCTGAGACGATGGGGTTTTCTGAATATACAATCATGTCATCTGCAAACAGAGACAATTTGACTTCCTCTTTTTATTTTTGAATATCATTTATTTCTTTCTCTTGCCTGATTGCCCTGGCCAGAACTTCCAATACTATGTTGAATAGGAGTGGTGAGAGAGGGCATCCTTGTCTTTTGCCAGTTTTCAAAGGGAATGCTTCCAGCTTTTGCCCATTCAGTATAATATTGGCTGTGGGTTTGTCATAAATAGCTCTTGTAATTTTGAGATACGTCCCATCAATACCTAGTTTATTGAGAGTTTTTAGCATGAAGTTTTGTTGAATTTTGTCAAAGGCCTTTTCTGCATCTATTGAGATAATCATGTGGTTTTTGTCATTGGTTCTGTTTATGTGATAGATTACATTTATTGGTTTGAATATTTTGAACCAGCCTTGCATCCCAGGGATGAAGCCCACTTGATCATGGTGGATAAGCTTTTTGATGTGCTGCTGAATTAGATTTGTCAGTATTTTATTGAGGATTTTCACATCAATGTTCATCAGGGATATTGGCCTGAAATTTCCTTTTTTATTGTGTTTCTGCCAGGTTTTGGTATCAGGATGATGTTGACCTCATAAAATGAGTTACGGAGGAGTCTCTCTTTTTCTATTGTTTGGAATAGTTTCAAAAGGAATGATACCAGCTCCTCTTTGTTCCTCTGGTAGAATTCGGCTGTAAATCCTTCTGGTCCTGGACTTTTTTTGGTTGGTAGACTATTAATTACTGCCTCAATTTCAGAACTTGTTATTGGTCTATTCAGGAATTCAACTTCTTCCTGGTTTAGTTTTGGGAGGGTGTATATGTCCAGGAATTTATGCATGTCTTCTAGATTTTCCAGTTGATTTGCATAGAGGTGTTTATAGTATTCTCTGTGGGATCAGTGATGATATCCCCTTTATCATTTTTTACTGTGCCTATTTGATTCTTTTCTCTCTTTTTCTTTATTAGTCTGGCTAGTGGTTTATTTTGTTAATCTTTTCAAAAAACCAGCTCCTGGATTCATTGATTTTTTTTGAAGGGTTTGTCATGTCTGTATCTCCTTCAGTTCTGTTCTGATCCTAGTTATTTCTTCTCTTCTGCTAGCTTTTGAATTTGTTTGCTCTTGCTTCTCTGGTTCTTTTAATTGTGATGTTAAGGTGTTGATTTTAGATCTTTCCTGCTTTCTCTTGTGGGCATTTATTGCTATAAATTTCCCTCTAAACACTGCTTTGGCTGTGTCCCAGATATTCTGGTATGTTGTGTCTTTGTTCTCATTGGTTCAAAGAACATCTTTATTTCTGCCTTAATTTTGTTATTTACCCAGTAGTCATTCAGGAGCAGGTTGTTCAGTTTCCATGTAGTTGTGTGGTTTTGAGTGAGTCTTTTTTTTCTTTTCTTTTTTTTTTTTTTGAGACAGAGTCTCGCTCTGTTGCCCAGGCTGGAGTGCAGTGGCACGATCTCGGCTTGCTGCAAGGTCCGCCTCCCGGGTTCTCACCATTCTCCTGCCTCAGCCTCCCGGGTAGCTGGGACTACAGGCACCTGCCACTGCATCAGGCTAATTTTTTTTTTTTTGTATTTTTAGTAGAGACAGAGTTTCACTGTGTTAGCCAGGATGGTCTTGATCTCCTGACCTCATGATCCTCCCGCCTCAGCCTCCCAAAGTGCTGCGATTACAGGTGTGAGCCACCGCCTGAGTGAGTTTCTTAATCCTAGTTCTAATTTGATTGCACTGTGGTCTGAGAGACTGTTTGTTATGATTTCCGTTCTTTTGGATTTGCTGAGGGGTGTTTTACTTCCAGTTATGTGGTCAATTTTAGAATAAGTGCGATGTGGTACTGAGAAGAATATATTTTCTGTTGATTTGGGGTGGAGAGTTCTGTAGATGTGTATTAGGTCCACTTGGTCCAGAACTGAGTTCAAGTCTTGAATATCCTTGTTAATTTTGTCTCTCGTTGCTCTGTCTAATATTGACAGTGTGGTGTTAACTTTTCGCACTGTTATTGTGTGGGAGTCGAAGTCTCTTTGTAGGTCTCTAAGAACTTGCTTTATGAATTTGGCTGTTCCTGTATTGGGTGCATATATATTTAGGATAGTTAGCTCTTCTTGTTGAATTGATCCCTTTACCATTATGTAATGGCCTTCTTTGTCTCTTTTGATCTTTGTTGCTTTAAAGTCTGTTTTATCAGAGACTAGGATTGCAAACCCTGCTTTTTTTTCTTTACATTTGCTTGGTAAATATTCTTCCATCCTTTTATTTTGAGCCTATGTGTTTCTTTGCACGTGAGATAGGTCTCCTGAATACAGCACACTGATGGGTCTTGACTCTTTATCCAATTTGCCAGCCTGTGTCTTTTAATTGGGGCATTTAGCCCATTTACATTTAAGGTTAATATTGTTATGTGTGAATATGATACTGTCATTGTGATGCCAGCTGGTTATTTTGCCCGTTAGTTAATGCAGTTTCTTCATAGTGTCGATGGTCTTTACAATTTGGTATGTTTTTGCAGTGCTGGTACTATTTTTTTCCTTTCCACGTTTAGTGCTTCCTTCAGGAGCTCTTGTAAGGCAGGCCTGGTGGTGACAAAATCTCTCAGCATTTCCTTGTCTATAAAGGATTTTATGTCTCTTTTGCTTATGAAGCTAGTTTGGCTGGATATGAAATTCTGGGTTGAAAATTCTTTTCTTTAGGAATGTTGAATATTGGCTCCTGCCTCTTTTGGCTTCTGGGGTTTCTGCAGAGGGATCGGCTGTTGGTCTGATGGGCTTCATTTTGTGGGTAACCTGACCTTTCTCTCTGGCTGTTCTTAACATTTTTTCCTTCATTTCAACCTTGGTGAATCTGATGATTATGTGTCTTGGGGTTGCTCTTCTCAAGTAGTGTCTTTGTGGTGTTCTCTGTATTTCCTGAATTTGAATGTTGGCTTGCCTTGCTAGGTTGGGGAAGTTCTCCTGAATAATATCCTGAAGAGTGTTTTCCAACTTGGTTCCATTCTCCCTGTCACTTTCAGATACACCAATCAAACATAGATTTGATGTTTTCACATAGTCCCATATTTCTTGGCAGCTTTGTTCATTCCTTTTCATTCTTTTTTCTCTAATCTTGTCTTCTTTCATTAAGTTGATCTTCAATCTCTGATATCCTTTCTTCTGCTTGATTGATTCAGCTATTGATACTTTTGTATGCTTCATGAAGTTCTTGTGCTGTGTTTTTAAGCTCCATTGGGTCATTTATATTCTTCTCTAAACTGGTTATTCTCATTATCAATTCCTCTAACCTCTTTTCAAGGTTCTTAGCTTCCTTGCACTGGGTTAGAACATGCTCCTTTAGCTTGGACGTGTTTCTTATTACCCACCTTCTGAAGCCTACTTCTGTCAATTCATCAAACTCATCCATCCAGTTTTGTTCCCTTGCTGGCAAGGAGTGCTGATCCTTTGGAGGAGAAGAGGTGTTCTGGTTTTTGGAATTTTCAGCCTTTTCCCACTGGTTTCTCTCCACCTTCATAGGTTTATCTACCTTTCGTCTTTGATGTTGGTGATCTTTGAATGGGGTCTCTGAATGGACGTGCTGTTCCTTTCTGTTTGTTAGTTTTCCTTCTAACAGTCAGGCCCCTCTGCTGCAGGTCTGCTGGAGTTTGCTAGAGGTCCATTCCAGACCTTGTTTGCCTGGGCATCACCAGCAGAGGCTGCAGAACAGCAAAGATTGCTGCCCGTTCTTTCCTCTGGAAGCTTTGTCCCAGACGGGCACCCAATAGATGCCAGCCAGAGCTCTCCTGTATGAGGTGTCTGTCAGCCCCTACTGGGAGATGTCTCCTAGTCAGGATACATGGGGATCAGGGACCCACTTAAGGAGGCAGTCTGACCCTTAGCAGTGCTCTAGTGCTGTGCTCAGAGATCCGCTGCTCTCTTCAGAGCCTTCAGTCAGGGATGTTTTAAGTCGGCTGGAGCTGAGCCCACAGCTGCCCCTTCCTCAAGGTGCTCTGTCTCAGGGAGATGGGGGTTTTACCTGTAAGCACCTGACTGAGGCCGCTGCCTTTTTTTTCCATAGATCCCCTGGCCAGAGAGGAGGAATCTAGAGAGGCAATCTGGCCTCAGTAGCCTTGCTGAGCTGCATTGGCCTCTGCCCAGTTCAAACTTCCCGGCAGCTTTGTTTACTTCCTACTTAAGCCTCAGCAATGGTGGACGCCCCTCCCCGCACCAAGCTTGAGCATCCCAGGTTCACTTCAGATTGCTGCTGTGCTGGCAGCAAGAATTTCAAGCCAGTGGATTTTAGCTTGCTGGGCTCCATGGGGGTGGGACCCGCTGAGCCAGACCACCTGGCTCCCTGGCTTCAGCCCCCTTTCCAGGGGAGTGAATGGTTCTGTCTCACTGGCATTCCAGGCACCACTGGGGTATGGGGGAGAAAAAAAAACAAACTCCTGCAGCTAACTTGGTGTCTGCCCAAATGGCCACCCAGTTTTGTACCTGAAACCTGGGGCCCTGGTGATGTAGAGGGAATATCCTGGTCTGCAGGTTGCAAAGACCATGGGAAAAGTGCAGTATCTGGGCTGGAGTGCACTGTTCCTTAGGTACAGTCCCTCATGGCTTCCACTGGGTAAGGGAGAGAATTCCCCCACCCCTTGAGCTTCCTGGGTGAGGTGATGCCCCACCCTGCTTCAGCTCACCCTTCATGGGCTGTACCCACTGTCCAAGCAGTCCCAATGAGATGAGCCAAGTACCTCAGTTGGAAATGCAGAAATCACCCACCTTCTGCATTGATCTCACTGGGAGCTGCAGACTGGAGCTGTTCCTATTCAGCCATCTTGCCAGCCCCTTCTGGTTCATTTTTATTTTACAATTAAACCTTGGAACCAATGAGAGTTTTGGGACAGAGAAAGCCAGAATGGCCTATGAGTTTACAGACTAGGTTAGCAATTAAAAATACAGTTCATTTGACAAGAACAACTGTCAAATTGATGAAAAGATGACAAGATATACCAAGAGACTTACAAACCAGGAGAAAATTGTTTCTAATTATTCCTGGAGTAGGGAAACAGGCATTTACTGAATATTCTACTATGAATATGAACAGGTACATCGTACCTAGGATCCAACTGATACTCAGTAAAACTCTGCTGAGTGAGTGAATGCATGAATCAATGAATGACCTATGTTGACTCATTCTTATTTTCTATCTATACAGGACTGAATTCATTCTCTTTTTTTCCTCTCTTCTGGTTTGAAAGTTGTACATACATTTTATATTCATTTAGTGATTGCCCTTACCTTTGATTTACCTTACATACAGGAAAACATGTCTCCTTAAATTTGATTCCCACTATCCCATTATTCCTTACCCCTACCCCTAAAGAGGATGCTACTGTAACAGTCTTATTTTTCCCTAAGATAGGTAGATTTTTCTATGATGCAAGTGAAGCTGAAGTTTAGGGCCTCTTACTTGCATGCTCCAACGTTTTAGTACTTATTTACCAAGTATGAAGTTAATTATTATTGCCGTCCACCTTTCATGAGGAGGTACAATATACATGTAAAGAACTATGATTTTTTTTCTATTTATATAGGTAGAAATCTGGAAAATATATGTGGGAATGGATATTGAGAGTATGTGATTAAGGTAGAAGAAATATGAAATTGAAAATCATTGAAAGCAGAGCTGAGGTTTCTGAAAGAGAGGGAGGGTGGGAGAAAGAGAAAGTGAGAGGAAAGGGAGGAAGGGAAGAGGGGGGACCAGAAGGGAGGAGGGGAGGAGAGAATGCCACTTGTGGGCAACCACTTTGCCCATGCCCATGGGTTCCAGCCTACCCTGATCTTCCCTTTCTTTCCTATGGATTTCAACCTTGCTTAGCCAGGCCCCACATTGTGTAAGCCCATTCCTTATTTCTTTAAAATGAAGCTCTTAATATGTTGTTTCCTATTGGTTCTGCTTCTTGCGTTGAACCCTACTATTCAACCTGTCCCGATTTCAAAGCACAGTTTTTCATACTGTTTCACACTGTTTTGCTTATGGTTCTCTTCTATTCCTTGATTTTTCTCTTTGAACATGTTGAAAGTCTTTATTTGGGAGTTTCTCAAAAACTATTCCCTTATTGAGATTTTTTTAAATTGCAAATTCTCTCATTTGCTGAATCAATACCTCCTTTTTGGTGTAGTGTGTAACTTTTGAGTATGACCTCAGCAGCAGTTATTCTCAGCTGGGCCACAGAGGCATCCTTTTATTGAATTGTCTCTACAGAAAAGTTTAACCAGGGGACCAATGAGTTGTCACTAGCACAGGACCACTTTTTATTGGCCTTGAATGCTCGCATTTTGCAGGGAGTGTGAATTCAGATTCCTCACTCATGTGAGACACGAACTTGTTTTCCAGTATTTATGGTGACTCTCATTTCATTCACCGAGTCCCAGGCAAATGGAAAGATTCCTTCCTTTTTCTTTGGACCAGTAGACAGAGTATTTCTATTTGGCATTTCTGAATGGAGTGCCCACTTAGTGACTCCCAGTTTTATTCAGGTAGCTTCGTTCTAGGTCCAAGCATACATTGAAACTGGGGCTGGAATCCCCTTCTCAGAGTTTTAAGATCTCAGCCCAATATGTTATGAGCTAATCTGATACTTGGTGAGCTGTTTGGATCCAGCTTTTTTTCACACCTTTAACTTTTAGTTCATTATTTCTGGCACCTGAAGATTTCTCTTTCTTGGTTTCAAGCTTATTGCAATGTAGTGTTGGAAGGATAGGGAGAGTTCCCACCTCAATTTAATCTACCATATCGGCTAGAAATGGCCCTAAGTGTAGTTTAAGGAAAATTACAATGCAAACTTTAAAAAAAAAAAGAAAAAGAAAAAAGACTTCTGCTGGCTCAGAATTACATATATGACTCTAACACATCCTTAATACAATTCATGTTCTTTTATGTCTAGAGTCTGCAAATAGATAATATCTCATTTATCTTTTTTTTCTCTTTTTTGAGAAGGGGTCACTCAGGCTGGAGTGCAGTGATAAGATCACAGTTTATTGCAGCCTCAACCTCCTGAACTCAAGCAATCCTTCTGCCTCAGTCTCCCAAATAGCTGGGGGATCAGAGGCACATGCCACCATGGCCAGCTAATTTCTAAAATTTTCTTTATTTTGAAAGATCATTTTAAAGGTTTCCTTGGGGAAACTCTCCTTATTCTCACGGAGAGTCTGCCTCCTTCTCCTCACACAGCATTCTTTTCATCCAGAATCTATTCATTACCCTCAGACAATAAAAAACATGTAGTTTATTTTATGTAGTGAGTATAATCTTTCTCTTGCTTCTCGTGCCCATTCTCTATGAAACTATGAATGAGAGGGGTCAGTGTTCTGGGCATTTGAAGAACTTTTGATCAATTTTATCCTTACTAGGGAGGTCAATTTTGATTCACTTTCACCCTTTGAGTACCTTGTAGTCTAATTTTGTTTCTTTTTCTCTTTGCTTATAAAGGCAATGGCAGGGGAGGGGATGTTGAGAAAACTAGAGGTTGTGACAGGAACTGCTTCTATTTCTCTCCCCCTATCTATTCAACCCCAAATAGAACCCCTCCCTCTGTACTTCCCTGAAAATGAATCCTCCCTTGCTGAATGCAGCTTATCAAGATATAAGTGAATCAGTAGCCTTGAGTCTTGGAAATTTTTTGTCTCTTCTGTTTGTTCCCAAAGACCATCACTTACAAAGCCCATAGTGACAGGTGAACCCTTAGACTGCAGCACAATGGTAGGAAGGAGATACTCTTGGTAAAATGAATTGTATAGGGTGTGCTGGCTGAGGTTCAACCATCATAGCTAAAAAGGGCTAGTTGTCTTTCAGACACTTCATCTGAGGGCTTGTCACCTCTCCTTTACTATAGTAAAGACATGAATTGACCTCTCCCCTTTGTATCAACTGATGGGTCCCAGAGAAAGACACCAGATGACTTATAACTCATATGAAGGTAAGACACAGGAGTGGCAGAACCTGGAAGAGGAGGAAAAGGGGTTAAAAGGGCCAAGGACCTGGGGGTCGTTGGGGAGGTAGACGGTATAAGGGGGAGGGAAGAAGGAGAATCTTTTGATGGGAGGTTAGCTGAAAGGGTCGCCTCAGAGACTAGGACCAAGATCCTGTACCAAGCAGAGAGCTTGGAAACATACTGAACAGACAAGAGATGTCATCCTGTGGCCTTGACATAGTTAGGAAGTTTTTATTGGATTAGAAGTAAAGACATCCTGAACGTTCTCTAGGAGTGTGTGTATGCTTAACTGGCTGACAGTAAGACTATTTTGTTTTAGGTTTAATTACCTCTCCTTTTACACTAAAGAACATAGTAGCAGAATTATAGTTGAAATGTCATATATCAGAGTAAAAACAGCCATAGAGCTGGAAGGTTCTAAGTCAATCACACTGCTTCTACTATCAAGTCCACTTGATTTTCTCTAGCCTTACCATCAACCACAACAGGACAGGTTTCATGGATATGAGCAACTAGAATGGAGCCATTCTTATGATTTATTAACTTGCTGTACCTCCTAGCAGTGTCATGAATAATTTGTGCTGCACTTAACACACAAGAGAAAAAAAATGCAACAGCTCATTTTCAATCAGCCAAACCCAAGAATGACCTTTTTGGCCAGTCA
Source organism: Homo sapiens (assembly GCF_000001405.40). Classification (NCBI taxonomy): domain Eukaryota; kingdom Metazoa; phylum Chordata; class Mammalia; order Primates; family Hominidae; genus Homo; species Homo sapiens. The sequence goes on from NC_000014.9 coordinate 57,549,337, forward strand.
GCTATTATTTGATCAATTGACCCTCGGTTAAACATGCATATGGGTTAAAAGATAGTTGATGGTGAAGTCAAACTGGAATGTTTCATGAATCAAGGCATCCACGCTGATGAAAAACATCTGCTTCACAAATTGCAAAACTTTCATAAATTGCTACTGTGCCAATGGGCACTTTAAAAATGGTGCTCTGGATTCTAGACAAATTCTCAACTTTTCTGTATTTTAGTTTTGTAAGTGGGGTGCTTTGGTAGGAAAAATGGTGCTTCGTTTACATTATTGGGCATGAAATTTCCTTGGTTTATCTGTAAAGCAAACTCTTGTTCTACTTTCTCATCCAGTTAAGAACAAAGGCAGTAAAAGAACAATGATCAGAGGGAAAATAACCAAGGATATCTGCTTATCAATTTGCCACTTTTAAAAAACACTGGTCCTTAAACTCGGTAACGACATGATTCACTAATTTTGGAAGAGAGAACAGATAGAACTACTTATCTGTATCTTTTGTGAAAGTAATACCCTTGCCCAGGATGAGCTGGAAAGTTAACTCTAAGGAAAAGAGAAGTTGATCAGGAGTCAGCCTGGGTTTAGCCCAAAGACTGACCACAAGTTAATGCACAATCTTGGGCAGGCCACTTAACTCCTCTGGGTTTACACTTTCTCACATGTAAGGTGAGGGGGCTGGCTCAGATAAGGTCTAAGATCCTTTCCCACTCTGACATTTTTTAGTACCTTATCAATGATGCCCCTGATCTTTCTCAACACTGAGTAGACTCTGTGTGTGTGTGTGTGTGTGTGTGTGTGTGTGTGTCCGCTTCATGACAAGATGGCATAACCTCACTGTGACAGGCAGTTTTTAAGATAGTCCCTGGTGATATCTGCCTCCTGATGTCCGTATTCTTGTATCATACACCCTGCCTTGAGTGTGGGCTGCACTTACTGAGTCATTACTAAAAAAACAGAATGCAGTGAAAATAATGGGATATACTTTTTGAGATTAGGTTACCAAAAGACTGTGGCTTCTGTCTTTCTTACCTTTCTTGTTCACTGGCTCTGAGAAAAGCCAACTAGCATGTTGTTAGCTTCCCTAGCAGAGACTCATATATGTGACAAGGAACCAATGTTTCTCTCCAACAGACAGTAAGAACATGAGGCCAACCGGGAACCATGTGAGAGAGCTTAAGGCAGATTCTCTGAAGCCACACCAGGATTCCTGACCACAAAGTCTCTGACATGAGAAATGTATGTGTTTGTTTGTTTTTTTGTTTGTTTTATTGTACTATAAGTTCTGGGGTACATGTGCAGGACGTGCAGATCTGTTACATAGTATACATGGACCATGGTGGTTTGCCCCACCCATCAACTAGTCATCTACATTAGGTATTTTTCCTAATGCTCTGCCTCCCCTAGCACCCCACTCCCCAACAGGCTCTGGTATGTGATGTTCCCCTCCCTGTGTCCATGTGTTCTTCTTGTTCAACTCCCACATGAGTGAGAACATATGGTGTTTTGTTTTCTGTTCCTGTGTTAATTTGCTGAGAATGATGATTTCCAGCTTCATCCATGTCCCTGCAGAGGACATGAACTCATCCTTTTTTATGGTTGCATAGAATTCTATAGTGTATATGTGCCACATTTTCTTTATCCAGTCTATCATTGATGGATATTTGGGTTGGTCCCAAGTCTTTGCTATTGTGAACAGTGCTGCAATAAACATGCGTGTGCATGTGTCTTTATAGTAGAATGATTTATAATCCTTTGGGTATATACCCAGTAATGGGTTTGCTGGGTCAAGTGGTATTTCTAGTTCTAGATCCCTGAGGAATCGCCACACTGTCTTCCACAGTGGATGAACTAATTTACACTGTCACCAACAGTGTAAAAGCATTCCTATTTCTCCACATCCTCTCCAGCACCTGTTGTTTCCTGACTTTTTAATGATCCCCATTCTAACTGGCATGAGATGGTATCTTATTGTGGTTTTGATTTGCGTTTCTCTAATGACCAGTGATGATCTTTTTTTCATATGTTTGTTGGCTGCATAATTGTCTTTGTTTGAGAAGTGTCTGGTCATATCTTTTCTCAGTTTTTGATGGAGTTTTTTTTTCTTGTAAATTTGTTTAAGGTTGTTGTAGATTCTGGATATTAGCGCTTTGTCAGATGGATAGATTACAAAAATTTTCTCCCATTCTGTAGGCTGCCTGTTCACTCTGATGATAGTTTCTTTTGCTGTGCAGAAGGTCTTTAGTTTAATTAGATCCCATTTGTCAATTTGGGCTTTTGTTGCCATTGCTTTTGGTGTTTTAGTCATGACGTCTTCACCTATGCCTATGTCCTGAATGGTATTGCCTAGGATTTCTTTTTTTTTTTTTATAGTATTTTATTTTATTTTATTTTTATTTTTTAATTTTTTTTATTTTTTTTTTATTATACTTTAAGTTTTAGGGTACATGTGCACATTGTGCAGTTTAGTTACATATGTATACACGTGCCATGCTGGTGCGCTGCACCCACTAACGTGTCATCTAGCATTAGGTATATCTCCCGATGCTATCCCTCCCCCCTCCCCCCACCCCACCACAGTCCCCAGAGTGTGATATTCCCCTTCCTGTGTCCATGTGATCTCATTGTTCAATTCCCACCTATGAGTGAGAATATGCGGTGTTTGGTTTTTTGTTCTTGTGATAGTTTACTGAGAATGATGATTTCCAATTTCATCCATGTCCCTACAAAGGACATGAACTCATCATTTTTCATGGCTGCATAGTATTCCATGGTGTCTATGTGCCACATTTTCTTAATCCAGTCTATCATTGTTGGACATTTGGGTTGGTTCCAAGTCTTTGCTATTGTGAATAGTGCCGCAATAAACATACGTGTGCATGTGTCTTTATAGCAGCATGATTTATAGTCCTTTGGGTATATACCCAGTAATGGGATGGCTGGGTCAAATGGTATTTCCAGTTCTAGATCCCTGAGGAATCGCCACACTGACTTCCACAATGGTTGAACTAGTTTACAGTCCCACCAACAGTGTAAAAGTGTTCCTATTTCTCCACATCCTCTCCAGCACCTGTTGTTTCCTGACTTTTTAATGATTGCCATTCTAACTGGTGTGAGATGGTATCTCATTGTGGTTTTGATTTGCATTTCTCTGATGGCCAGTGATGATGAGCATTTTTTCATGTGTTTTTTGGCTGCATAAATGTCTTCTTTTGAGAAGTGTCTGTTCATGTCCTTTGCCCACTTTTTGATGGGGTTGTTTGTTTTTTTCTTGTAAATTTGTTTGTGTTCATTGTAGATTCTGGATATTAGCCCTTTGTCAGATGAGTAGGTTGCGAAAATTTTCTCCCATGTTGTAGGTTGCCTGTTCACTCTGATGGTAGTTTCTTTTGCTGTGCAGAAGCTCTTTAGTTTAATTAGATCCCATTTGTCAATTTTGGCTTTTGTTGCCATTGCTTTTGGTGTTTGAGACATGAAGTCCTTGCCCGTGCCTATGTCCTGAATGGTAATGCCTAGGTTTTCTTCTAGGGTTTTTATGGTTTTAGGTCTAACATTTAAGTCTTTAATCCATCTTGAATTGATTTTTGTATAAGGTGTAAGGTAGGGATCCAGTTTCAGCTTTCTACATATGGCTAACCAGTTTTCCCAGCACCATTTATTAAATAGGGAATCCTTTCCCCACTGCTTGTTTTTTTCAGGTTTGTCAAAGATCAGATAGTTGTAGATATGCGGCGTTATTTCTGAGGGCTCTGTTCTGTTCCATTGATCTATATCTCTGTTTTGGTACCAGTACCATGCTGTTTTGGTTACTGTAGCCTTGTAGTATAGTTTTAAGTCAGGTAGCATGATGCCTCCAGCTTTGTTCTTTTGCCTTAGGATTGACTTGGCAATGCGGGCTCTTTTTTGGTTCCATATGAACTTTAAAGTAGTTTTTTCTAATTCTGTGAAGATGGAGTTTTGTTCTTGTTGCCCAGGCTAGAGTGCAGTGGCATGATCTTGGCTCACTGCAACCTCTGCCTCCTGGATTCAAGTGACTCTCCTGTCTTGGCCTCCCAAGTACCTGGGACTACAAGTTCATGCCACCACAGCTGGCTAATTTTTGTATTTTTATTAGAGACAGGGTTTCACCATGTTGGCCAGGCTGGTCTTGAACTCCTGACCTCAGGTGATCTGCCTGCCTTGGCCTCCCAAAGTGCTGGGATTACAGGTGTGAGCCACTGTGCCCAACTGGGGTAGTCTTATTTGGGTCAAATCTGTTTGGTTTTCTTTCTGATCTTCCTATACCTAGATATTTATATCTCTTCCAAATTTTGGAAAGTTTTGAATAGGCTTTCTACCCCTTGTTCTTTCTCTCTTTTGAACGTTAATACTTCTTATATCTGGTCTTTTAAGGTAATTTTCTATATCTTGTAGGTGTTCATTTATTTTTATTCTGTCTTCTCTTTTCTCCTCTGTGTGTTTTCAAATAGCCTGTCTTCAAGCTCACCAATTCTTTCCTCTGCTTGATCTATTCTTCTGTTGAAACCCTCGAATGAATTTTTCAGTTTAGTAAGTATATTCCTCAGTTCCAAGATTTCTGTTTGATTTTTAAAATTAATCTCTTTGTTAAATTTTTCTAATAAATTTCTGGATTGCTTTCCTGCATTATCTTGAAGATCACTGAGTTTTGTTAAATGTTCTATTTTAATTCTTGGTCAAAGAGCTCATATATCACCATCTTGTTAAGGTCAGTCACTGGTTCCTTGCTTTGTCCATTTGAGTAGGTCATGGTTCTCTGTTTGCTGTTGTATCTTGTGGATGCACATCTATGTCTTTGCATTGACAAATTAGTCATTTATTCTAGCCTTCTCTTTCTGGCTTGTTTTGGTTTTCATTGGACATGTTTGCCTAGAGATTCTTTGTAATTTATATATTAAATCTGTTAAATTTCTTTCTTTTCTTTCGTTTTTTTTTTTGTTTTGTTTTTCCAGACTGATGCCTCTTTTTTTGGTACTAGATGACATTTTAAGCCCAGGTTTGATTGGCTTTAGTAACTGGAACACTAACAATCTCAAACTGGGGAGGTCCCAAGGGGGATAACCCAGCAGTGTGGGAAGGCTGACTAGGGATTTGTGCCTCAGGGACCTGTGGCGTGAATCTCCTATAGCTTGGAGCTGCTGAACAGCCACTCTGATTTCGTATATCCTTTGGCTGATTACAGAGCAAAGTTTCCAGGGCTGGAAATGGTAGTCTCACTTCTCCTTTCTCTCTCGGGCTGTCCTCGGGGATATTTCTCCCTTCTGGAACTCATGGAACTTCCTGTAGGTTGAGGAAGGATTAGGTCTCCTGCCAGGAAATCCAAGATGGTGGAGGAGTTGGTCGTCAACTTCAGTCTCTCTTTTTTCCAGTGTAGAAACCATGAGTTGGAGGAAAATTTTCCATGTGCTCGGTACAAGGCAGATTGTAGTGTGAGGCATTGTGGATATGGAAGTCCAATTCTCTTACCGTCCGTTTTTTTGTTTGTTTGTTTGTTTTTGTTTTTTTTTCCACTTCTCTGTGGCCCCAGGAACTGTCTCATCCTCATATTTGAGTTCTGGGATATTGCTGGTGCTGATCTCAGTGCTTTTGGCTTTCTGTGGGTGGGGAAAGTAAAACCAGCTTGCTCCTTGGCTGCCATTTTGGAACCAGAAGTCTCTCATAAGATTTTGACTAATTAGGCCAGGTATGGTGGCTCACACTTGTAATCCCAGCACTTTAGGTGGCTGAGGCAGGCGGATCACTTGAGGTAAGGAGTTCAAGATCAGCCTGGTGATCATTGTGAAGTCCTGTCTCTACTGAAAATACAGAAATTAGCCGAGCGTGTTGGTGGCAGACTGTAATCCCAGCTACCTGGGATGCTGAGGCAGGAGAATCGCTTGAACCTGGGAGGTGGGGGTTGCAGTGAGCTGAGATCATGCCACTGCACTCCAGCCGAGGTGAAACAGTGAGACTCCATCTCAAAAAAAAAAAAAAAAAAAAAAAAAAAAAAAAAAAAAAAAAAAAAGATTTTAACTGCCAGTAGATACCAGAAATTGTATTAAGACTATTTGACAAAATAACTAAATGACTATGATATATTCTATAATTAGAACATAAGCTGTCATTTTAATAGATCAGGAATAGATTGTTTTCATTAAATAAATATTCTAGTTAACATTTGGCTCTCACTTGGAAGAGCAGGATTGCAAGTTTTCTAGGAATCATAGTCAATTCAAATACACCAATTCCAAAACCATATTGAACAGTAGTTTTCCTCGGTTCAGAAGAAATTTTAGAACATGTAGACTCACAGCCTCACCATTATAAATGTGGACTTTTATGTTGCTGGAGACATGAAGAGAGGGGATAAAAATGAAAAGGAGATACAGATATGTCAGAGAAGCCCTTGGAAAACTGAGAGTTAAGCAATAAAAATCAACACAATTAGTAAGATTAGGTAGTAAAAATGGTGTCTAGGCCAGGAGTAGAAAAAGCCTCAAAATTCAGCTTAAATATAATCAATCATGTTAACATTTCTAGGAGAAGGAATCTATCAATTAGAAGAGAGTGATCAACATGAAACAGAAAACACTGCAGTGTCTATTCAGCACTGCTCAGATCATATGTAGAGGTTATTGAAGAAAAGGGCGAACTTTCGGATGAAAGAGGATTTTTCTGGTGATAGTTGACAGTAGTAGAATTATTAAAAATAAAAATTTAAGTAAAGTTTAAAAATTACAAGTCACACAGTTACCTCATGCTCTCACTTATATGTAGGATCTAAAAAAGTTGAAATCATAGAAGCAGAGAATAGATTAATAGTAGTTTCCAGAGGCTGGAATAGGGGTGGGAGTGGGGATTAGGGAGATGGTCAAAGGATACAAAATTTCAGTCAGGTACAAGGAATAATTCTAAGAGATCTGCGGAAAAACGTGATGACTATAGTTAATAATAATGGGTTCTATTCTTGAAAATTTCTGAGAGGAGATTTTAAGTGTTCTTGCCACAATAAAGATAAGTATGTGAGGTAAAACACATGTTAATTACCTGGATTCAGCTATTCCACAGTGTATAAATATTTCAAAATAACATGTTGTATACTATATTCATAGATATAGTCAATTTAAGCAATATATGGGAGTTTAAAATGTTGTATACTATATTCATAGATATAGTCCCACTTAAGCAATAAATGGAAGTTTAAAAATTACATTATAATTGGATTTTATAGGAGGCTTTATGAAAGAAGATGAAAACTGGAAATATTTTGATATTAATATGGGTTAATGCAAATAAAAATATAACAAGGTGGAAATTTTAGCTATATGTGCCCAGATATATTACATAGCCAATAAGATAGAGAAGATGGAGAGTACCTTGTTTCTGCGTTCTTGGGGTTTTAGGAGTGGAAGAGCCAAGGACACTGAAGGAAATAATGCAGAGGTGTTAGTTTCAGTGCGTCACTTATCTAGGTAAATGTAACACCTAATTATATCCGAACAAGAATTATATTTAAGGGAAGTAATCAGGGTATCATGTATACTTGAACTGTTTTGGTCATAACCAGTGTCTGGAAATCAAGTGTTGGCAGCTCTATGATGTCTACTTGTTAATATCTTTTGCTCAGGGGAAGTTCAAACTAGGATTTGGTAGGATACATTCTTCTAGTGGACTTTGTAATTGGCTTGGCATGGTAGCAATTGTACCAGTCATTCCTGATTCTTCTCTTCACTACTTGCTATTGTCCAGCAGAATAAGTCCATCCCCACAAGTGAGTGGAAGTTGAAATGGAAATTAAAAGTAGAAGTGAAGAGTTTGAATCATACATCTGATTCTCATTGCTTTAATTTCAGGTTCACCAAGCAACCTTTTCATTAATGTTCAGCTTCCCAGGGAGATTTGGCTGTTAGGGAAAGATTGTACTAGTCTTACTAATGTGAGAGTTTTAGTACACATGACAGTTCAATTTATGATTATTGATGAATTCATTTTATATTTGTAGCATAGTGGTCATTAATCTAGTGACTTTCACATTTTAGCAGGCTTTCAGATCACCTGCATTATCTGAGTGTGTGCTTGGTTAATACCAAGCAAGTCTTGTTAAAACCAGATTGCTGGACTTTATCCCTAGAAATTCTACTTCACTAGGTCTGGGATGAAGCTGAAGAATTTGCATTTTTACCAAATTCCCAGATGCTGCTTATGCTGCTGATTAAGGAACCACAATTTGAGAATCACTGGGGTAGTTTTTAAAACATTGACAAGACTTAGTTTCTGGCCCCACAATGCAGGGGACCAGATCCAAAACATTGGTAACTTCTCCTGGGTAGATGCCATCTTATGAATATTCCTGATGGCTAGTTAACTAGCCTGTCCCTGGACACCGTTCTATCTTGGGGAATATCTTCTAACCATTGATGAGAGTTGAGTTATTTATATTATCAATAAGCCAGATCTATCCTGATCTTATTAATATCAGAAACTGTTTAATAAATTCCAGATTTCACCTTTATTACTTGCTGTTTTATGTCATAAGAGTAGGCAATCCTATTACTTTCTAAAAAATACAATCTAGCTTTTTTCTGCAAGTTAATTACAATGTCTAAAATTAAAAGTGGTCTTTTCCAAAATAATGCCTTTCTTTCCACTTGAATTCTCATCAGTCTTTTGACTTTCCAGCATTCAAAGCAGATGCTATCACTTCTGCATCAATAAGAGCTGGTATCAGATGAAAGTTCCTTGCCCGTTTCAACCCACTTATTTTTCCAGCTCTTCACAAAGTTTTCCAATTGGTTGCAATTTTAAAATGCTGTCCTTGTCTCTATTTCTTCCCTCTCCTTGCTGGCAGTTATTGCTTGCCTGACATAAGCAATACTCAGTATATTTTGTCTTGACTGACAGAATCTGACCGAATAATTGTCTCTTTCCAAAGCTGGTTTGTCCTCGCAAATTTCTTTCACTGTTCTCTATCCCTTTGCTGTGGTCTGAATGTCTGTGTTTTCGCAAAATTTATATGTTAAAATTTTAACCTCCAAGGTGATGGTATTAAGAGGTGGGCCTTCTGAGAGGTGATAAGGTCATGAGAGCCCACTCTCGTGAATGTGATTAGTGCTCTAAGAGACTTGAAGGAGCTTATTCACCCCTTCTGTCACATGAGGCCACATCCAGAAGTTGCCTTCTAAGAGCCAGGAAACAGGTCCTCAACAGACACCAAATCTGCCAGCTCCTTGATCTGAGATTTCCCAGCCTCCAGAACTGTAAGAAATAAATGTTTGCTTTTTGAAGCCACCCAGTCTAAGCTATTTTGTTATAGCAGCCTAAATGGACTAAGGACGTCCTCCAAGCAAGTGATTCTTAACCTGTTAGAGTGGTGCTGTCCAATAGAAATATAATTTGAGCCACAAATGCAAGCCACTTACATATTAATTAAACATTTTCTAGTAGTTACATTAAAAGCTAAAAAGAAACATGTTAAAATGATTTTATAATACATTTTATTTAACCCGATATATCCAAAACATTCTAATTTCAATATGTAATAAATATGGAGCTATTAATACCAAGCCTTCAAATTTTGGTGTGTTTGACACAACACATCTTAATTTGTACTAGCCACATTTCAATAGCCACATGTGGCTAATGGCTTACATGTAGGACAGTGTGGTTTTAGAGCCTCTGCATTCTCAGAATTTATTCCTCCAGAGTAAAGCGGTGAAGTTCACAGTATTTGATAAACTCTTTCAGGGGATTGTTGGGACAGCCCCTGAAGCCCATTCTTGGAGCTCTGGTAAAGATTTCTTGCTCTTAAGATCCCTCGAGCTCCAAAAGGATACGATGCTCCTGTCTCCAGCAAACAACAATAAAGTAGCCTTTGCATTTGTGGAACACATGTGGAGCATCCTGGCCAATGAGAGCATTGAAGTGTGATGCTTCTCCTCCTGCTTCTGGGGTCTCAGTGCTAGCACCCCAACACCATTACCCGCTACACTCTCCCTGTTCTTATTTCACCTACAATTGCTACAGATGTGGAGGAAAAAAGAAAAAAAAAAAGAATAAAAAGAATTAGAATGAATAGAGACTTCTTGTTCTAGGCTGCCAGATTAACCAGCATGGCCTGTGCTAGGTGTTACAAAGACAGGGGTTTATGGATAAGTAAGAAAGAGGATTTGTACTTAAATATCAGAAATATTCTAATGCTTGCCCGGTTATACTGTTCATGCTTTTATCTCTTACATTGTCCTTCTCCAAATCATTTGTCCTCTGGTGAATCTTGACAAAGCGCCTGCACAAAATTAACAGGCAAGCAAAGCCTGGATGAGCAAAATTGATTTGCCTATAATGTGTTTGTGAAGAGATCAGGACGTGGTTGGAGTGATTTTAATTTCAGAGCCCAAGTCGCTAGTCTGTCTTTTTGTCAGGCAATTAGTTCCACTGACTGGGCAAGAATGCCGTGATGCAAAGTGCCCAGAGGAACCAGGCAGATGGAAAAGGCATATCCTTTTTTTGTTCCTTGGAGCATTCCTCGTGCCAGGCTTCTTTTGTCTCTCTCATTTATTTTGGGTAAAATTCCCTGCTTGACACTAGGCTCTGTGACTTTGCTGGGGCACAGGGCTGTGAAATAAGTGACCAAAAGGACAGGCCTGAGGGCCAAATCTGTAGGTGAAAGTTCTAGATGAGGACCTCGAGGGAGGTGAGCAGTAGAGGAAATTCTGACAGCAGTTACTACTTTCGGCCTGTCCAGCTGTGCATTAAGATCTTTGCACATGGTATTTCATTTTATTTTTTTCAACCATCCCAAATGATACTAATATCCTTGTTTTGCTGCTAATGAGTGAGGGGCAGAGAGAGGTTACTCATTTGCCAAAGTTCCATCTCTAAGAAGTGCAGAGTCAAGGTCGAAGCATGGTGCTCTTCATCCCTGGACTGTGCTGGCCACTCAGGAACCTACAGAAGCCATCGTTTCCTGGACTTTGGGAAAGGAAAATGTGTGGATAAAGAGGCAGGATAACTGTAACCTTAACACGGTGCTCCCTCCCACTCGGGCAGGGTCTTTGTCTTCCTCCCTTGATTATTCTTCATACCTGACTGAGTGTGGCTCATCTAAGGCAGAGCATAGGCACATGGGAGGCACAACCGTATTTGACCAGTGACTGACATACATTATCCTGTCTGATTCTCATAATGACCGTGAGCAGTAACAAGGAAAGGTATTATTATCTTTATATGGAATTAAAGGGACTTTACCTGAATTAAAGGGACTATCTCACATTCCCAAAGCTGATTTAAGTAAATTTCTGAGTTGTTTTAATTGTCAGGGTGACAGCTTACCTATAAAGGGTGCAGCTTTTGGAAGCAGGGATCATTTTCTATACACTTTTGTATCCCTCTCCACAGCACAGAGAATATTTCTGTGAGCACAGAAAGTTCTATCAGACAGTGCTACTCTAGAGGCCAGCAAGGGCCAATTGGTAACAGTTTAACACACTACCCTACTTCAAAGCTAGAGGTTAGAAGTTAATAATTTTTGAATGAGTAAATGAATGAATAGCATAATGGAAGTGTCTTCTTAATATAGAGTGAGATAATTACGGTGATCGGTCATAGGCCGAATTAGTGCTTTCCAGGGTAGCTGACTCAATTTTTCAAAATGAATCATCAAAATGAGCAAAATAACTCATTTCTTAAAGATGTCAAAGTGCAATTTTAAATGTCATATTAAGTAGTGGCAAGATGCTGGAGTGTGGGTTAGTAGTGATTACTACTATTTAACAGCCATTTAAAAACAAGGCAAGCGTAATGTTTGCACCAATATGGCATTTAAATAGTCAAAACTAATAGTCACAACTACTCTACTTTGATAATGAATTAATTTGTAATTACTAATAACATTTTATTTACTTCATAGCATTTTTCATGAAGCTTAAACTGTATCATTGTTATTATTTTAGTTAATATCATGTTATCTATCTATGCCAGGAGACTGGCATTGCCTTTTAAAAAAATGACAGAGAAATCAAAGGCCTGACACATTAAGGTTTTCATTTACCTTGATGCCCAGCTAGTGATATTCTGTGATATTCTGAGTTGTCTTTTCTTACCTTGTTATTGTCTCATCAACACTTCTAGGGACACTCAAATAAAAACAAGTAGCAAAGCAGATGCCACAAAGGCTAGGCTTCTTGCACTAGATTTCCCACAGAGTGCAGAATATCTTGTTAGATGCTCTGCCCAGCCTCTTAGGGAAGAAGTTTATCAGTTCAGCATATTGGTGTTTTGTGAAAACATGAGAAAGGCTGTGACACATCTAACTCCTTTCAGTCCTTCCTTTAACCAGTCTCAGCTATAAGAATGCCTGTCCTTAACTAAGATTAAGCTAATACAGTTTGGGTAGGGGGGCCATATCTCCAGTGTAAAGCCACCCATTCATTCATTTACCATATAAGTGCTAGGCACTGGGAACACAGTGATGAATGCCACACAGCCCCTGCTCTCAAGCAGTTCATGGTCTACTGGTAACTCAGACCAGTAGATCCACAACCACCATGGAGGGCAATCAGCACTCAATGGGGGTAAGCAGAGACTGCCAAGGAAGCCACGTTGTACAGCGTGGGAGATAAGAAAAGACTTCCCAGAAAAATAGCAATGAATAATGTCATGAAGCCTAGATAAAAGTTTTCCAGGAGATGACAGGGGGAGAGAGAGAGAACAAGAAAGAGAATGTGGCTTGATTAAGCCTGTGGGGAGAAGTATAGTGTCATCGAAGCATAGAGATTTCAGGAGGCCACAAAGGGTAGTGTGGTAGAATGAGGCTCTAGAGCTGTGCTGTCCGATATAGTAGCCAATCGCCATATTTGGCTACTTATCTATTTTAGAGGTACGGTCTTGTCCTGTTGCCTGGATAACTTGGCTGGAATTCAGTGCTACAATCATAGCTCACTGCAGTCTCGAGCTTCTGGCCTCAGGTGATCCTCCTGCCATGGCTTCCCAAAGCGCTGGAATTACCGGTGTGAGCTACTGTGCCTGGCTGTACATTTGGCTATTTAAGAGAATGAAAATTAAATACAAATAGAAATGCAGTTCCTCAATTGTGTTAGCCACATTGAAACTGCTCAATAGCCACTTGTGGTTACTATATTGGATCACACAGATATGAAATATTTCCATAATCACAGAGAGTTCTACTGGACATTGCTGCTCTAGAGGCTGGCAGGGGCCAGTCAACGAGGAGCTTTGAATGACATGCCAAGATGTTTGGACCTTATCCTGAGGATAATAAGATGCCACTGAAGCATTTGATATAAGGGAATAGAATGATTAAATTTATGTGTTTAGAAAAGCCACTCTATAGGTCACAAAAGAGATTAGAGAGAGGCAAGGCTAGAAATTAGAGATATCAGTGAAGAAAGTATTGGATTAAGCAGAGCAAGAGATGATGGGGGCCTTGTATGGGTAGAATAGAGAGAAGTATATGGACTCAAGAAATTTTAAGAAATAGAATCAATAGGACATATTAAACAATATGAAACAATATCTAAACAGATGTGGAGGATGAGAAGGCAGAGGTGAGGTTGATCCCTGGCTTAGGCAGCTAGTGAATAATGGTACCGTTAACATAGACAGGGAACAAGGCAGAGGAAAGGAACAGGTCTGGGGAGGACTGATGATAAATTCAACTTTGTTTTTGCTATATTTGAGGTATACAAGGAGGCATCCAAGGGAGCTGCAGAAGACATTTGAATAGTCAGAGCTAAAGCTCAAAGGACAAATCTAGGCTGGAGATTAAAATTTTCATGTCATCACCATGTGGATGACAGTTGAAGCCATGGGAGTGGAGGAGTTCCCCAAGGGAGAGAGTATGGAATGAGATGCTAAGAAGGCCGATGTCTAAACTCAGAGAACCCTGATGGTGATGAGATAAGCCTAGGAAGAAAAGCCAAGGTAAGCAACCAGGGAGGTAGAAATAGAACCAAAAGAAAGTAGTGGGATTCAAGCAAAGAGAGAATATTTAGGAAAAAGGAGTGGTCATCGTGTCAAATGTGTCAGAGGGCACAATAAGATAAGAGTTGAAAGATATCAATATGATTTGCAAGAAAGAGGTTGATCACTGGGGAAAGCACTTCCAGAGAATTGATGAGGGCAGAAGGTGCGTTGCAGTGGGTTGAAGAGTGAATGGGAGTTGAAGTGACGGCAAATATAAACAACTCTTTCAGGATAGCTCATTCCTGTCCATGTCCACTGTGCCGTTTTCAAATGTCTACCTCATAGTAAAGATATTTGTGAACTGTCTTATCCTCCAAACGACTCTAAGCTCATTAAAAGTACAGATGGGGATTCTGTATTTTTACTCCTCATTGTTTCTAGTGTGGGTTTTACATATAGAAAATGCTCTGTTTAAATGTTTAATACATTTCCAGCTTTCAAGTGTGTATTATTTTCACGTGTTATTCTCTTCGACAGCTTTTTTTGATTGAGTAGGAAGAACTCAGTTTCAGTTGAGAAAAAGATAAGTCCATAATTTAATCGACTCTTACAGTTTCCGGAAATTTTGTGAGTTGGGGGAGGGGGAATTTAAAAAAATCAGAAAACAGAACAAGGACAAATGTGTTTTAATAAAAAAATCCATTATGATTATTTACACCAATTCCTTGATAAGCATATAAATGTAAACTTTTATTGTTGGCATTATTTCACATATGATTTATCCAAATTCAGAGTTAATACTGTCGTTTGAGTGTACAGGTAGTGAGAAAATTTTGTTATATTCACAGAATATACATACACGTGCATTCAAAATATGTCCCTCTCTAAGCCAGTGGTATAGACACTGTCCCATTGGCTCTGCCTCTGCCCCGCAGGTGTATGCTGGGATCAGTCACATCATCCACATGCTCCTCACTCTTCTTTTCCTTCAGGCTGTTGATGAACCTCAGGGTGATTTCATCCCATTCCTCAGGCAACAGCATCAGCAGAAACCCAATGCAGATGATGATGGTAGCAGCCAGGCGGACAACATTGAATATCACCTCCTGCTTTAGGAGATCCACAGCTAGGAAAGAAAAATCAAGTCAGTCATTTCCTATGCCTGTTTCTAAGCTTTGAAAACAAGTCACCAAAGTCCATGTTACTTCTAGAGATTTCCAAGAGTCTTCTTTATTCTTCCAAGTTAGTGTTTCCTTTTTCCACATTGCTAGGTTTGCTTTCCACTGCCTGTCTCTAAGTCATGCTTATCCTTCAAGGCTTAGCTTAAATTCCATGTAATCTGACTTAGTTATCTCCCCAGTTTTCTCTCAGTACTTTTCCTCTTTACCCCTTTAACCTTCTCCAGTTTCATTGGACCATTGGAGATTTTTCAAATGAGCCAAACATGTTAGTGTCTAACACTTGTGCAGGCTGTTCTTTTTAAAAATTTAATTGAGGTGAAATTCATGTAATATAAAATTAACCATTTTAAAGTGGACTTAGTGGCACTTAGTATATTCACAATATTATGCAGCCACCACCTCTCTCTGGTCCCCAGATATCTCCATCACTTCAAAATAAAAGCCCATACCCATTAACTCCTCAGCTTCTTATCCCAAATCCCCAGCCCTTAGCAACCACCAATCTGCTTTTTTCCCCCTATAGATTTGCCTATTCTAGTTATTTTATATAAATGGAGTCACATTCTCTGTGTTCTTTCGTGACTGGCTTCTTAGCAAAATATTTTTGAGGTCCATCCATGTTGTAGCACGTGTCAGCACCTCATTCCTTCTTATGGCTGAATAATATTTCACTGCATCATAATTTGGTTATTCATTCAACTCCTGATTCACATTTAGGCTTCTCTACCTTTTTGCTATTGTGAATAGGGCTACTATAAACATTTGCGTATGAGGATATTTTTAATCTCTGTTTTCACTTTTTTGGGGTATACACTCAGGAGTGGAGTTGTTGGTCACACATGTACTGTTCTTTTTAGCATGAGCTACCCTTCACTCCTCATATCTCACTTCATCCAGCTAAACCTCTCCTTAGATCTCTCCCCTTAGGCTTCTTGCAGGAAGCCTTTTGGATGCTCCTCCTATGCGCCCTCGCAGCATTCAGCACATACCTCTATTAAAGCAATTCTATGTTGTAATTACTCAATTTTTTTTCCTTTTGTCTCCCTCTCAATGCTACATGGTCCTGAGGGCAGGGACTGTGCCTTATTCAGGACCTGTCACTAGTGTTAGGACAGTTCCTGGTGTACACTAATTGCTCAGAAATTCTTTGTTGGATGAATGAACGAAACTCCTTGACAACTCCACTCTGATATTTCTTTTCTCTGAATATCTTACAGCCACTGGAGTCTGTCTCACACAATTTGGCATTTAATATTAAATTATTCTGTAGAGTTCCAAGTTGTTTCATGTAGGTTGGCCTTCTTTTACAAATTCAGCCATAAGCATTTTAAGAGAATAATAATGTATTTTTTTCTTTTTTGCTGCCCTGATCACATGATAAATATTCAATAAACATTTGCTGATTGTCGTGGAGGACAGAAAAGTGGCTACTCAAGACTTGAAATTATAAAATTTTAAAGTTAAAAGGACTGTACAATCATCCAGATAATCCATTTGCATTACTTGTTTCACTGGCAGGTTTCTCTAGAAATATCCTGGAAAAATAGCTTCTCTTGTCCCTGAGGTGAGTAAAATTGCTTTTTCCTTATATCTATTCCAGAGGGCCATCTGCTCTGCCCCAGGAGAGCTTTCCGTGGCTCCCCATGGATTGTCTGAGGAGAAGCCAACCTCATGTACATCCTCTGCACTTTCATTAGTGACGGTTACTTGAAAGTCCTATGCTGGGATGCCTTTTGTTTCCATAGGACTTCCTCTAAAAATACCACAAAATTAGGTTGTCAGGGAGATTATATGAAACCCAAATGATACATTTGGTATTTAATTCTAAAAGCACAACCAAGTAAAAACAGTGTTTTTAGCTGCAGATTTTAAATCTGCTGCATAGTTACTCTGTTGTCTGCCACCTTCATGATATTTAAAAACATCTTCCCAGGCAAGGAACATAATTCACAATTTCTAGAAGGAACAACTCAGGACACAGAACAAACACAAGCAAGAGACTTGTAGTGGCCAGGATCTGCACATGTCACATGGTGCCTGTACCTGCATTTCCAGGAACGCTGAGCACTGTCCCAATGGAGATTAGGATTGGGTATGTCAGCACCACCCCAACATTCACCAGGATGTTGAAGGCTGTAAAATAGAGGAGGAAATGCAAGATGAAAGAGAAATAATACGCTGGACTTTTTTCTCCTTATAGTAAATGAATCAATGTCTTTGCTACATGTGCCTTTTAAACTGTCTATACCTTTGATCCTCTAATTTTGGAGATGGATGCATGTGTATTCTACCTGAATTAGTCATTTTCTTCTTTCCTCGTCTGCCACTCTCTTTACCTGAATCTTGCCAATAGACTGGCAAAAGGTATATGGACAAATACAAAGAGGTAAAATAATTGATTCACAGGACTGTTTATTAGCACTATAAAGGTAGATTGGGGCCAGCCAGAGGTTAAAAGCAGGTGATTGATTGAAGATGGTGCCTCATCTCTTTATTGCTGTGCTATTTTGTGCCACATTCATAGACATTAAATGGCTCTAGTGTTACTGCCTAAAGGAAGGTCTATCCAATGATAGCCTATGCTGTTTTATTCCCTCTCTCTGGAGGTCAGCATCATGTGGGCAAACAAGGGTGGGTTTAATGTAATTCACTGAATTCCAGAGACTGTCTCCACATTCTGATTTGTGTACAGATAATCAGAGGGCAGATCCACAGAACCAGCTGAAGGTGTAGCTCCATGCTCTTCAATGAATACCTTTTGGACCTCTTTGGTTAAATATAAAATTAGTTAAAATAATCATTTATCCACTTTAAAACTTATCAAAAACACATTTTCAAAAAGAAAAAAGAATTATAAATTACAAAGCATTATTCTCATAGAGTCTACTCAAATGTTTGTTTCAGGGGATAGAGAGATGAGTGTTAACAATTGTAAAATGTCCTCAATTCAGAGATCTCCATGACAATGAGGCAAGCATGTTGTGTATATCTCTGCAGAACCAAAAAAAGTTCTAGAAGCATTCGAATAAGGATGATGTATGTTCTTCTATTGTCATCTGTAATTCCCGCTTTAAGCCCACTGGGTCACTTTGTGCTTGGTAGTTAGAAACAGTGAGTTTGACTTTTACAAGACTTGGGCTCCTTTATATTGTTCATACAATAGTGGCAAGCAAGGCAGAGGGTCTTCCTAAACTAATAACTGCTCCTCATTCCTGACAAAGCTGCAACATAAATGAATATTCCAGCACTTTGACACTCCCCTCAGACTCAGGGAGTCCAACATCGCAAATTCTGACCAATCAGGAATTTATTAAATACAGCACAGGCTCTGCTGAGCTCCATAGTATGGGGCCTAGCCTGAGTTTAAGTGCAATTCAGACATGCTAGGTGAATGGATGAGGCTGACTTGCATTTGGGCTAACACATTTCCTGAAAGATAGGTCAACCTGAGAGGAGTGAGGCAAAGTAAACATAAGCAAACAAGAAACCATAGCTACAGGAGATGTGGGGTAGTTCAGGGTGCAGATTGATGTGTATCTCTCAGACCTGTGTCTCAGCCAGATCACATCTGATTTCTATGGAGAAGAGAGGGACGGCAATAAACACTTAGGAATAGGAGCACTGAAGACTGTAAGATCCTGGGGTGTGTAACAGGCTGGAGGGAGGCTATCTCCTCGATTGCCACAGCACAACTTTGGCACAGTGAGCTCTCTGCAGTGCACTGGGGTGGGCCTGGTAGAGCAGCTGCAGTGCTGCTTGGCACTGTACCCAGTGGAGTGTGGAGCTCATACTGCTTGGTGGCGAATGCCAGTGTTCAGCTAGCACAGGTGGCGTCCAGCCTCTGCAGGCTTGCTTAGGAGCGCGTATTGGATATGCCAAGGAGTATATGTTGGTGGAGGGCTACTTTGCAGCAGCAAGGTGGAAATCACATGTGCAATGAGGAGGCTAAAGGCCATTGAAATTTTACTTAGGATTGTTCCCATTTATGTTGTTTTTGGCCAGAAAATAATCTAGGTGCTTTTAATGAGGATGTTTTGGTCTTACAGAAATATCACTATTGATTTCTACTCAGCTTAGCAGAGGTTATGAGAGGTGCTAACCATATAATTTTGGCTTTGAAAAGTAGAACTCAAGGGACCAACAATTAATGTTTGATCCTTCTCTTGAGTGTTTTCTGTCGAAGACCTCCCTGAGTCTGAGGGGCTGAGCCAGCATAGAAAAAGATGACCCAATCAATACTCTTGCAGGGATGAAAATAAGAACATTTAGCTCCCAGGAATTGCAGTGCTGCTACTATTTCAAATTATATCACCTCAGTAAAGAAGGTCAGTTGAGGGTTGATGGATGTTCTGCAGGTCGAGCATTGTGGGAAAATGTGGAGTGGGCAGAGGGAGTTGACCTCTGAGTAGCACGTGGAAATAGAAGCGGCATGAAAAGGATTTCTATGGAGAAGAGAGGGATGAGGGATGAGCAACAACATTGGGTTGTTGCTGTTTTTTAACTGCTTGGTGAGAGAAGAGCAGCCTTATTATTTTTCAGGCTCCTCTCACATCAAGTGACAGCAGCACAGCTTAAAAGTCAGATCCTGGAGCTCAGGTGAAGCAGCCAGCCTCAGAGTTATAGGAAGCTGGCAATGAAGACATTACAAGGACTCGAGGTGACTTTTTCTTGGCCATTAACTAGGTACTGTCTACTCAGCCAGGATCACCAAGCCTAGTGCATGCTGCTGTCTCTATATACTGGCAATGTCTTCCTATCACAAATCCATTCTCCATTCTCAGCCAGAGTGAGCTGTTTCATATGCAGATATGAGCCTATCACCAAACTGCTTAAAAATTACTAAGTGGACTTTAAATCCAAACACCTCAAAATGGCTTTCCAGGCTCTTCCCAATCTGCTTCCCTCTTAAATAGCATCTCCCTCCCTCCCTTCCTTCCTTTCTTCCAAACTCAGTGCTCCCACCAGTTTGAACCACTCTGAGTTCTTTGAATGCACCGTCTACTCCCTAACCTCTGCCCAACACAGCATGGCACACATGGAACATTATAACATGATACAGTGTATTAGAAAGAATGAATGAGGCTGAAGAAGAATGGATTGAAGGCCAGTGGTATACAGAGAGGCCTGGGCCTCCAGTGCACACCTTAACTCATGGGAGGCATACTAGTTGGATAGCTTGAACCTAATCAACCAGTAGCTTGCAAAGAACCTTCTAAACATGACCAACGACATTGAACAACATAAGTTTGGGAACTAGAGCACAGAGTTACCCAAGGAAATAATCCTATGATGATAATCTAACTAGCCAAAGAAAGATTGATATAGGGAATGGAAGGCAAAACCCGAGGCCACTTACCCAGCCACAGCCCTGCCATCCCACAGAGACAGCCCCATGGCAGAGCAGCAAAAGAGGACCAGTGCTCCACCTTGGTGAAATACAAGATGACTGGGGTGAAGGAGATGAAGATCAAATTGAAGAAACCCAAGGTGGAGACAAAGTGTGCAGCTTCCCCAAAGTTGGCACTTCCAAGAAACATTTTAAACAAGACCTGGAATGAGAAAGAAACTCTACAGCCACACAGAAACTTAGCCAGAGCAGAAACGTAAGTCTTACTGTTCCATACTGTGAGCTAACTGGCCCAGAGTTTATTCTCCATTTCTTCTTGCCCTGACATCTTCACAGCACTAGATGGGCTGTTGAGATAAGGAATTAAAATACTCCATAGCCTTCATATGAAATAGCAAATGTCATAAAATGAATTTCTTATGGTGCTGAAAACTGCTGGGTAGTGTACATTGTGTTTAGTGCCACCATCAGTGATGGGTATTGGGTGAATGATAAATAAGAGTCCAGACAAGCCCAGAAAAATCTTCTAGGATTGACTGGCCATTAATCCTTAACTTAAAGCATGGGATTTGTTTTATCCTTATTTTGATAGATACTGAAAACTAAATTGGACAGAGAGACCCTGTCATTATGTTGTTGAGAGAAATAGTATTTTTGCCTTGGATTTATAAGCAGTTTTCTTTGTGAGCTCAAAATGACTTCACAAATATGGTGCTTGTTCCCCAGATTAAAAAGCAGTTTTTATATATTATAAACCTGTGTGCAGAGGAAGATGGCAAGGAGAAGCAAATGGCTAACATAAAATCACACAACAGATTACAGAGAAAGCCAGGGGTATAGTCCATATTTCTTAGCTTCTTAAGCCCACCACTCCCTATACTAATCCTGTAACAACACAGAGTGAAGCAGATCTCTTCTGCCTGGAATTATATTATGCTGCAGATATGATTTGGTGCATGTCAGAATGAATACATTCTGTAACCTGGTCAGGGGAAATCCCTCTGTAAGAGTGCCATTCTGGTCATATAGCAATCCCAGGTACTGCTTCTAATTTCAACTGAACTAATTTTTTTTTTCTGTTGAAAGACTTAATCAAAAGAATTTGAGCACGTGGTAGTCTTTGGTCACATCAGACATCTTGGTGGATCTCAGTTGGGGAGCAAGTTAGACAGTAATGGCCATTGAGTGAACATTTGTCAAGCTTGTCACACAGAATCAATGGGCCAAGAAATGTCAATATGGAAATAGACTTCATGCCCTCTGAGACACAGTGTTGGTTAATAATCAGAACAGGCTTCCAGGAGGGACGAAAAGGGTATTTTCGGCCTTTCAGAGTGTGTTTTCTCATTGAAACACCAAGAGAGGTGAAATTGGAACAGTTCTTTAATACATCCAGAAAGTTGACTTTAAAAGTAGAGCTTTGGGGAATAACTTTTTAGATCTGCTCTCTTAGTGCTCACTTCTGAAGTCAGGTGCAATGACTCCGAATAGAATTTTCTTTGATGACAGGGAACTCCAGTGGAGAAAAAAATGGTGGGTACCTACAGCAGACGTAGAGCATCCATCAGAGAGAAAAAGAGCTTCTTCATTTTGCTAGTAACACGAGCTCCTGTGGCATGGGGTTAATATGTGCCAAACAGCTCTCTAGTGACAGCTTATTTCTAACACCTCTTTTGAGTTAAAATAATGACCATAGATAATTAAATTAAAAAACACAGGGAGAGAAGATGCCTTTCTAATGTTCCTGCTATAACTGCCTGATAAATGAGGGATTAGGGCATAGCACATGGGCTTAGAAGTTGGCTAGTCCAGAGTTTAAGTCTTGGCTCTATCACTATTTGGCTCTATGATTTGGGGCAAGTTATGTAATCTTTCAAAGCCTCAGTTTCCTCATCTGGAAAGTGGAAATAAGTATTTATGCCTCATAAGGTTGTATTAACACAGGCAAAAATTTTCAGGCAGGTACCCATCACATAACAAGTAGTTAATTTACTTACTATTATTTCAACACATCTATTTTCTTTCTAATCAATGATTACATCGTACTTTCTTACTTTAGTACTCAAGTCTAAGTTATGAGTGACAGTTGCTTACAAAAGAAAGTGCACAACATACCTTATATAATGCAGATGTAGAGGCTGAGCCCACCGCAAATGCCACTCCTATGATGGAATCAGCGTGGAAATTATCTGCATATGCCATCATGACAATGCCGGTAATTGCCATTATTGCAGCAACTATCTGTCAAATAGGATGCAAAGAAACAGAAAAGCAATGATCCCTCTGTATCCTAGAGCAGGCAATTCAAGACTTCCTGAAAGCTGCTAAGTACTTCCTTAAACCTAATTACCTTTTGTACATCACTTTAAATGTAGGAAGGCTCAGTATTAGAAATAAATCAATATGTTCATGAGATATCCAGGCACAGAATATAAAAGCTGTTCACATTCTAATTAAAGACTAGTAATTTTATTATTTTTAATATATTTTTACTTTTTTAGGCCTAATAATTTTAATTTTTTAGCTCAAGCTTTCTAGGGACTAACATTTGTACTGGTGAAATAAATTTAATAGGAAGTCACTTCTAAGCGTTTTCATCTCTTCTGTATTTCATCTATTCTTTTTCCTCCAATTCAGCATACATTTTAATCAGCTCCTTGGCTCAAGGTATGTTTCTGAAGATCTCCATCTAATCAGGACCTGATTAGAGAAGCATGATATTGATACAGCTAAGAGGCAAACTTCAGGCCAATGGGAAAAAAGAAAGAAAATAAATTCTCATAGAGATGTATAAAGGAGCAAGCTGAGTCTGCACTGTCACTTGGAATGTCAAATGGAAGCCAGTACTTCCTTTTGTTCACATGAAAATTAATTCAGTTTTTCAGAAAAACCACTGAAAGATAATTTCATTTAATTACTCTAGAGCATTAACTGCATAAAGTGAAATATTCATAATTCAACTGAAGTCATCATTGTTCACTGTAAATTGATGATTCTAGCTATATTCAAAACAGGAGTCTACTCCCTTAGTGAATTGCTGCTTTGTGTCATCTCTTTATCTTGAACTAGTTCTACTGGAAAGCAGTTCAGAGCTATAGCAAACAGTAAAATGATGCTGGAACAGGTGACAATATGTCATTTCCTTGTGAAATGGTTTCACTGACTTTAAAATCCAGATGAAAATTGGTGAGAAATTTAAACCTACATGGTGATTAATTTTGTTAAGCTTCAGTTCTGAGTATTCCCAAGTAAAGAAATTCTTCAGTTCTGAGTATTCCCAGTAAAGAAATTCCCAAGTAAAGATAGCTTTTTAACATATGTGATTTTCGGGGGCCCTTTTGAACACTATTAGTGAATTGTTTTTTATAACGTAGATTTTTAACATGTAATTACTGACTCGCTTGAGGCCACTGCAAAGTATGTTCCCAATTACATAGAATTCAGACGCTGCTAAAGCATGTCTTTTGTTAGTGGCCACCAAAAGCAAGGGCCCACTTGGTTTCAGAGTAGCTCCATATTAAAGTGTCCTTAATGAAAAACAGCAGGAGTACTTGAGAATAGACATAGACATGTCAGCAGTGAAAAACCATCTTCATTAAACATTATCCAGGAGGCTGCTTGATGGGAGGTGGTTTTCTTGCTGAGTGAATATCATATTCTCTGAAGCTGCCGGGTGTGTGTTCTGGTTAGACTTGGCCTTAAACTATAAGGAATAGAATTTAAGAATTTAGGTGTCAAGGAGATTTCTAAATAATAAGTAATAGACTCATCAATAAACACAGTGAGGGGGTTATCTAGACCTGGATAAAGGTCTAGACTCATCAATACACACAGTGAGGGGGTTATCTAGACCTGGAAATTCTATGAGGGTTATCATTTTCCTTGATTTGGGGATTTGCAACAGTTCTTTGGGGGATCTGATTTCAGGGAAATAAAAAAGGCACATTAGATATTGGCATATCCTGATTTGGTTTTGTGTTTAAATGATG
Organism: Homo sapiens; assembly: GCF_000001405.40. Taxonomy (NCBI): domain Eukaryota; kingdom Metazoa; phylum Chordata; class Mammalia; order Primates; family Hominidae; genus Homo; species Homo sapiens. Next base: position 57,573,768 of record NC_000014.9, read on the forward strand.
TTCACTGGTTAGTGTTCATGTGCACAAATAGATTTCCTTCATAAGACTGAACTGACGGGATAATACATTTGAGTTAACGTTTGTTTTCTTTTAGCTAAGCATTGCATTTTCTAGGTCAAATAAACAAGCGGTTACTTGAAGCCAAGGCTAACAAAACTGTAAATCCTAACGAACTTTCACATGATGTGCTATTTTATATTTTAAATTATTAAAAGCATTCTATAATACATAATACATGGGTTTAGGCAATTACACACTGTAGTATGTAATTCTGGGTTTAGAAAATTGTGAAAACCAATTAAAAAACCCCAAAGCACAAAACAAAATCCTGTCTAGAAAAGGACAGGCAGTTGGTTTCATTATCCCCAAGATATGACCACAGGTAGGAACTCTTCCTTTTCTGAGTTAGCTACTAGTAAAAATAGATATGCATAAAGTTTCTATTATGTTTCCTCAAGATAGGAATTGAACATGGGTAAAGATTACATAACTCTGTAGCAATTCAAAATTATAACCATAGTGAGCCTCTTAAAGATCTTCATTACTCGTTATATTCAAGTGCTTGTGAAAATATTAGCCTGGACCACTTAAATTGACATGTCAATTACAGCAGTGTCTCTTTCAATTGCCTTCACAGAGAGAAGCATTTTTCACTTTAGGGGGTCAGACAATGCTGTTAAGTTCTGAAAGAATGAAAATCTGAATATTTGAAATGTTAGAAAAATTCTCCATGACATGAGCAGTAATTCATAAGTTATATAGTATGTTCCTGGGGCAGGGTGCGGGTGGAGGGTATAGTGGGAATAGATAAATTATTTGCCACATTTTAGTTTAAATTTCAAAAATATCTGATAGGTCAAATTCTCTATGGCTATATTTTAAGAAATTTTAAATATATTTCTTATCTATACTGTTGTAAGTGAAGGAAGAGATCTCAACTAATCTTGAAAATGAGGAAAAATTGTGGAGTGGTTGTTTGGGTGATCTCAGAATGGCTCTGCTTGGCACCACTGGTTTAACTTTAGAGAGTAAATACTCTTTAGATGTCTGGAGAACAAATATCCTAAGCACGTATCAGTCACACACATTTTCAGAATCAATCAGTCATCAAAGAGGGATTAATACTCTGTTCTTCTCAACAGAAAAACACAAAACGACTCTTCTTGGCCTCAGCTTTCTGGAAATGTGTCTGCAGGAAGCCAGTGCCTAAAATATTGTGTCAAAAATGCTCATATGTGTTCATTCACATGAAGACAACCACTAAAGTGCTCCTGGGACACATTAACATCCATGAGAGGAATTCTTCTGCTGAAAATACACCATCTAGTGGTGCCACCTGCTCGGCTTCTGAAAAATCTGTCTCTTGACAATCTATTCCAGTTCCAGCCTCTTAACCAACCAGAAGTGTCTAAATAAGATGGAAAACTAGGCCAGGCACAGTGGCTCACGCCTGTAATTCCAGCACTTTGGGAGGCCCAGGTGGGTGGATCACTTGAGGTCAGGAGTTCGAGACCAGCCTGGCCAACCATGGCGAGACCCCCATCTCTACTAAAAATATAAAAAGTAGCCGTGCTTTGGTGGCACATGCCTGTAATACCGGCTACTCGGGAGGTTGAGGCAGGAGAATCTCTTGAATCTGGGAGGTGAAGGTTGCAGTGAGCTGAGATCACATCACTGCACTCCAGCCTGGGCAACAGAATTAGACCCTGTCTCAAAAACAAACAAAAAAGATGGGGAAAAAAAAAACTCACCATTACCATTATCTGAACCTGGCTTAGGTGAGAATGTTAGTAACCATAGTGACCATAAAACTGCCAATGCCTCCATTTAAAATGTTTAAACCTCTCTGCCCTCACACATTGTGGTGTGCCCACCTGGGGTGAGTCATTGAAGGAAGAGGATTTATTTAGCCCATTATCTCAGCATGCCAGTTGAGTGGCATGGCCTCGTGAGCCAGCTATCTTCCTCTGCAGGCTGGGGCCCTCAGACAGCTCTCTGCACTAATTTTCAGAGCCAATCAGAAGGGATCCGTGTGGCCATTTGAGCCTGTTCCTAAAGCCCAAAGAGGGCTTTACCAGTGGACATTTGGTGATCTCACTGTACTAAATGCTACCTGTGACCCTGCATGGAGGGTGTTTCTTTTATCTTTCAAATAATTAGTTTGTACAGATAAAGCCTAAAGAAATATCTGGCTTTTGGCCGTTTTTGTTTTCTTGTATCTTTTTTTTTTCTTTTTTCTTTTTCTCTTTTGGCTCGGGCCATCAAAAGCCCACAAAGGTTTGGTCCTTCTGTGCATCTCCATGAGGGTTTATCAACCTGATCCCATTCACTATGGTTCCCACTCACAGATGGTTTTCACAATTCTTATTTGCATAACAGTACCAGCTCTTTTAGGGTCCAAGGCATTGGATGAACCTTTAGTTGCTTCTCTTCCTACAGTGTTCCTTTAAGATTTTAAAGGTCAAGATGACTGATTATAATCCAAACATGTTTCCTTACTTTGCCTTGAGGCTAATTCTGTTTCTTGAAGCTAGGTGAGTATGAAGCAGCTGGTTCACAAATGAACCCTTGAATTCCAAAGCCTACAGCAGCCCCTAAAAATGCAGATCTCAGACCACACTGCTGGCAGCTGCTGTGCTCAAGTTGAAGACTAAAGGTCAGTAGTTGAGGTTGGGACACACATTAATAGTTTGACGAATGAGAAACATGCTAATGATTATCTCTCTGGGTAAATTTAGATACAGTTGATTTTCAAGGAACTATGGCTATACAGAATCCTTAAACTTCTGCATATGTTATATTTAAGGTTCTATGGAAAACTTTCTTTTTTACTCAGATTCAATTAAACTGAACAAGTGCTGAAATGTGAAAAATAAGAGGTGTGGCAATCTATAGCTGTCCAGATGCTGTGTGTGACAGGGGGAAGGGGGGTACCTTGGATAGCAGCAAACCCAAGGGATGCTGGGCCTCTGAACTCCCCCTCTCCCTACATGCATGGATTTTTATCTGAATAAAATCCATTTGAAAATGATCTCAGAGGGAGACCTGGATGTCAAAGTTGTAAAGAAATCCCACGAAGAAAGAGTGAAGGATATATGTGGAGGGTAGACACATTGACTGCACCATGTTGAAGGGGTTACAGATTCCTTGAGGGTGTAAAATCGGACAGCCAGCACAACCCAGCTGTCTCCTCTCTTGGCTATATTCATAAGTCATTGTCCTGCCAAGATAGGGGTAAGAGGGAGGATGACTCCCACTGTCCATCCTCCACTGCCTCTTCCAGGAAGCATGGAAGCTCTGGGCAGAGAATTCTGCATTGCACATGAATAAAGAGGAGCCAAAGGCAAGATGGAAACAAATTGTCAAGTTACGTGTCATCTTAATTCTTAATATTTAATATCAGCATAAATCAGTAGCAGCTCAGCTCCAATGTACTGTTTTAGCCTTCAGGGGCCCAATTTGAATTCAAAGAAGTATATGCTATACCATGAAAGATTCAGTTTAACTGATGTACTTCAGTCAGTTTTTGGTAGATCCTGGAAAGTCTTTGAAAACAGCTATAGTTTGGGAAGCTAACTAACTGCACAGGGACCCAAATATAGCTGGAAAATATGTGGCTCCCAAGCCAGAGGGACACTAATGCATTTCACAGTCTGCTAAGACAGTTGGGATCTGCTGAACCATCCACCAACCACCAACATTCTCCATATCTTCAAGGAAATTGGAAAATATAAGAAAAATTTGAATGAATAGTATAAAAAAATAAGAGAGGGACAAAATCTGAAAGAAAGTTTCTACCATTCTAGTCTGGCATCTACTTTTCATTGGTGTAAAACAGATACCAACAGCAGAGAAGAAAGCTCCCAGCCAGTGGCACATTCCCCTTGGGAAGAACCTTTTTTTAAAAAAAAAAAAATTAAGGTGGGTTCTCTGGTTCTTACGAATTTAAGAACTCTAGCTAAACATAATAAGGTCTGAGAGACAGGAGAACACCTATTTTCAAGGCTGCAAGAGCTGGATTATCACTTTCTAACATTTTTGCAATCAAAAAATTATCTTTTAAAGAAGTTTACTAATTTTCATGGGATGATCACAGATTAGCTGCAAGCAATTTGCTCATGAAAGGGCTTTTTATAACACATCATAGATTACCAATAAATGGGCTGAAATGACTTCATACTAAATGTAAAACAGATTACCTTTCCATCTGTAATTCAGTGTTCAAAAGAAACAAAATATTAGCAAGTTATTCATAATACATAATTCATTTTTATGTGAGCATTAGTAATTCTGGCCTACTTGTGGTCCGGATAAACCCATATTTATGATGTTGTAACTTAAAGTGTCTTTCACTCTGTTCATGGTGTTCTTTTTACATTAAAAAAAAAAATTAGAAGTAGGGAAGGCCATAGCTTCTCATTTTAAATGTGCTCATTCCTGGGGAGCTAAGCATATGAAAATTATAATCCAACAAACATCTGTTTCTAAACTACTGATGCTTTAGCATGAACTAGAAATATAAATTTTAATCTGATGACTGAAAGCATCCCTTTAACTGTTTTTTTTTTTTTTTTTTTTTTTTTTTTTTTTTTTTTTGAGTAGTCCAGTGGGATGACATCTGGAGGGGCTATGCTTTAGATTATTTATAGATGTGGGCAATAAGAGCTACATTTATGTTGTCAGTGCTGTTTGCCCTCGTTTAATTTCTCAAATGACCTAATTATATGTGTTCTCAATATGTCTTGGGAGGAAAATAATTGCTGATACTGTCAAAGGCAAAATGCTGAATATGTTTCAGTGCTTCTCACATTCCATGGCCTGATTATGGGCATCATTAAATTACACGTTACCATTCTTCCGGAACATCGCATTGAACATGTCCTAATGTTTCACAATGAGAAGTGAAGCACTTCCTCTTACTTAAAAAGAAAAATATTTGATTTTTACAGGATGCCTGACACTAATGCTTACTATTCTGCTATCTATGATGTCTTCACTTATGGATATATTTATTAACAAGTACTTATTAGCTATTTAACATTTCCTCTACTGAGTGTTATTAATTACAGATGCTGTATTAGTTTCCTAAGGCTGCTGTAACAAATTACCACAAACGTGGTGACTTAAAACAACAGAAATTTATTCTCTCACGGTTCTGGAGGCCAGAAGTTCAAAATACAGCTGGGACCAAAGGCATCTCTAAGGAAGGATACAGTCCTTGCCTCTTCCAGGGTTCTGGTGAGTGTCCCGGCATTCCTGGCTGGTGACCACATCACTCCAATCTCTGTGTCTGTGATCACATTGCCGCCACCTCCTCTTCTGTGTGTGTCTCTTTTGTGAGTCTTTCATAAGGACACTTGTTATTGGATTTAGGTCCCACTCAGATAATCCAATATGATGTCCCCTTTTCAAGATCCTTAAGTTAATAATATCTGCAAGGACCCTTTATCCAAATAAGGTCACAGTGACAGATTTGGGGGATTAAGATGTGGACAGATCTTTTTTGGAGTCACCACTCAACCCACTGCAGATGGCAAATTTTAAATGGCAATGGTTGGTAGCCTATAGGCAGATTTTTGATTTTTAAAATCTGCTATTTAAAGATAAGTTACACAGTTGTTTTCTTTTTCTCTAAAATACCTCAAATAAACACTGTACCTTTTTGGACGTAACCTCTTGCATCAGTGAGGTCCATGAGTTAAATGTGCTCATTTGCTTTAATACAACGGATTTTATTGCTGGTATATCTAATGGTGAAAATATGGATTTAATGTTGGTATTTGCACGCCACTAAAAGAACAAAAGAGCCTCCAAATCTCTCTTCTCCCCTCTTCTGACAAGGCTCTCCAGGTTCTTATGGGTGGTCCATGATAGTGAAAGACAGTGAAAAGAAAGATCTCAGAAGTATGAACTCATTTACTATATCCTCAAATATCAATCGAACCCCCACTTCGTGCCCTGTAATATTCTAGACATTGGAAGTAGAGACAGCTGACTTCCTAGGGGATGACTTATGTTGATATATAGGGCCTTGTGCTTGGAAGGTCCCCACCCTTGGCTCAGTGCTCTGTTGTTGTTATCTTAAAATTATTAATATTCATTTTGCACTGGGCCCCATGGATTATGTAGCAGATCTTGAAAAGAACAGTGGACAATATAGGAAAGCTTCCAGCTCTCAAGGACTTGTCAGGGTATCTGATGGTAGACAGCCAGCACCAGTGCCCCAGACATAAATATGTGATGCTGAGCCCTTTGGGGTCAAATCTAAGATAAGCCAGTAAAGAATGTAGTGTCACATTTGGATATACTGTAATGGTATCATGGACTGACTCACAGTTTCTGATTTTGTCTTCTATCAAAACTTTCTACTTATTAATATGAAGCTTCATTTCTAAATTTCAGAGCAGCATCTCCCAAGATACAATCAGAATTGTCTAACTAACTGTTTTCTTAAGAAAATCTTTCAGGGTTAATGACCATCATAAACCCTCTCTCTAACATAGACATTAGTTTCAGCATTTGGGAGGGGGAAAGGACCTTGGAATCATTGCCAATAAGAGCAATGTTTTTATAACAAAATATGTTTCAAATTCTATCTATCTTGGACATCTCTTTCAGAGAAGATAAGTTGTGTAATATTGATACTCTGAGAAAAGGCAATTCATTTATACCTCCTTCTAAAGAAGTGTTGTCTCAATATGTTCATCATAGTGGCATGCCGGATTATATGAATGAGATCTGGCTCCTTAAATCTTCAGGGCTTCCCAGCAATCTATTTTTAACATAGAACAAGCATATAAATATATATGTTTTTAATCCATATTACTCCTGAAAGGAATAAACTCAGAACTGAAGTTGTTGGTGGAAGTTTAATGCAGTTCAATTAAGGATTTGTATCCAAAAGAAGTTGTTGCTTGTACTTCCATTTCTGCATTAGTCACACTAGATATATAGTCACTTTTAACAGCATTGTGCCATTACCAGTGACTTTAATTACTGTTTGGTAATCTTATCTACTTACACCAATATTAATTAAGTCCATCTGGTGGGGGGAATGGGGGGTCATCTCAACATATGTTGATTGAAAAATGCAAACCATAATCTTTATAGTGGCTAATTTTCTCAGACCCTTCGTTCCTGAGGACAGAAGGAGGTGAACACACCATTAGTTCTAAAAATTAATTCTAATATAGGAACTTGTTTTCTCTGCCTGTTTTAGTGCCTCCTGTTGGAATGAGCTCACTAACCAGTGGAAACAAACTGTTTATCCTTCTATGATGTTGCAACTGCCTGGGCTTTCTAATGCGTCTTCAGATTTCGGTTTGTACTCAGAACAAGTGAGAAAAGTTTTACAGCAACTCCACGAAACAAAGCAGACAGGCTCTCCTGAAGCCAAGGAGTTATGAAAAAGGCAGGCATCGCGCATTGAATCAAGTATGCCATTACCCTCACTCCCATGAACCTGTCTTTCAGCACAATCCATGACAGCAAGAAGACAAAGGCTTTGTTACAACAGAACAGAGCGGAGACATCCGTGGCCGTCAGCTTCTTTAAAGCCAGTAAATAAAGGTAATTAGTCAAAGTCCATAGAATAGAAAAGGGAGCAGTTCTTTTAAGAAAGAGTTTCAGCGTCAGACCATCTTCACCAAAAATCCGACTGCATTCCCTAGGAAAGAAAAGAGAAGTTAATATCCAGGTACTGATGGTGACACCTCTTGTCTTATCTGACTCATCGCAGCCATTTTCAGGTAAGAGCACAAACACTCAATACCCATCCTTCATTGTGAAGTATACTGAACCCAGTTCTGAAATCTGCGGGCTTCAGGGAGTGTATGAGGTTCCTTGGAAAATAGCCCACATGTGCCCAAGCACAGAGTTAGGCTCTCTTCTCTGAGATAGTCTCTGGAGGTTGCCTGAAAAGCCATTCTGTCGTTTTTGAGCATTCTCAGAAGAGCCTGCAGAAATACCGAAATTGGTAGTTGCTGAAATCACTAGCTATTGGAAGAGGGTGGGCAAACGAGAGAGGGTCAAGGCTGCTACTACTCTGTGAACGGGCTACAGACAACTCCTAGAACCCGGAGGGAAAGGGACCCTCATACATCTGTGCAGCACACATGTTTTTGGATTTTATTTCTAAGACACTAAGCCACTTTCTAATATATCTGCCCAATTGACTAATTTTTTTTCCTGCCAGCATTTTTAAGGCAGAAAAATGAAGTCCCTGTGATAACTCCCACATGATAAAAACTATAATAGAAAACTCAGGTTGTACTTATATACAAACATTTGGCCCTTTTGGAGGAATTGTCTAAATTCGGTGTGAGAAAATGGTCACTTCAATTGTTAAATCTTCGGTTTGTTTGATTTTTCAAGGAAGTTGGCTACATTTAGCCCCAGGGGCCATTTTTTTCCTTTAAGTCCTAGGCCTAAACATGATTTTTTTTTTCCCCCTAGGTCTGGCTCTCTTACCCAGGCTGGAATGCGGTAGCATGATCTTGGCTCACTGCAACCTCCGCCTCCCAGACTCGAGCCATCCTCACACCTCAGCCTCCTGAGTAGCTGGGACTACAGGCACGCACCACCATGCCAGGCTAGTTTTTGAAATTTTTTTGTAGAGACAGACAGGATTTCACTCTGTTGCCTAGGCTGGTCTCAAACTCTTAAGCTCAGGTGATCTGCTCACCTTGGCCTCCCAAAGTGCTGAGATTACAGGCAAGAGCCACTGCACCTGGCTCTGAGGGGCCATTTTAATAAAAATGTTCAAGCTAGCAATACATACAGGCAATAATGGAAGTGATACAATGACTGTACCTATACGACTATGGACTGAAGACAGACTTACCACTGGGAGAATTTTAATTTTTTTCCCACTCGATTGTTCATGAACATTCAAGTATTTATGGGGTAACTGTCATGCTCCAGGCATTGTATTTTCATGAGTAGTATATGTTTATAATGAAATCTATTTACAGGACTCTAGTACTAGTTTCTTTTCCAGTTTTAACTGAAATTAGTGTGCCTCAAAGTATTGCAAATCAAAGTAAATTCTAGCCAATGTTTGCCTCACATGAATAACCCCAAAAAAGGACCACGTGGAGAGGAGGAGTGACAAAGAATTAGGCACAGGGAGTATAGCCTTAAAGATTAAGTTTCATAGTAAATGTGACTTTCAACTGGATGAGAATGTTGGGAGTTGCAGGTCACCGGTTCCAGGAAGGTTAAAGACATGTGTTGCACACACAGAAACTTGTATTGAAATTTGTTTACTTTCATGTAAGGAGGCTTCCAAAAAGGAAGGATTTTTGTAAAATGAAAGTAAGATTTCCCAAAGATAAATTTTAACTTTAAAGCCTTCTGTAATGTAAACAGAAATTACACACGCTCACATACACAGGAAAGTGAACAGTCTCTTTGAAGCCCCACAGCCAATGGGATATTCTGAATTAGCACCATACATAGAACCAGAGGAAGTTTTCATAGAGCATCCTGGGCACAAAGTTCATTTTCTGTACTTATAAGGCGATCTGCTCCGTGAGAAAGCTGCCGTGTAGAGCTGGAGTTGAGAGTCGTGGGTTTATCCCATCATTTACAACTACTGATTGCCTTTTAAAATATGAACACATTTATTAAGAACCACAACAAAACCCATTCCTGATTAAAGGATATCTTTTTCTTATCACTGGCCCTAGCCAGTGATTGTTCTTCAACCAAGAGCTGGGAGGAGTGCTCCTAAGCAAAGATTTTGGATGCAGGAAAGGAACACTCCAATCCCACAGGGAAGACCAACAGATGTGTATTCCAGACAGACAGAGCCTCACTGGCAGAGCAGCTGGGAAGACGCTGCTGACTGACAGGTGGAGACTGTTCTCACCTGGCTCAACCTGTCTTCCAGGTGTTCATTCCCTCGTTCTTCCCCTTTCTTTCCCCTTCTCTCACTGCCGACCTTCTCCCCTTTGTTACTGTTGTTGTAGAAATTAAAAATGCTCTCCATCTAAATGCCAGGTCACTTGTGTAAAATCCCATACTATTTAAGCATTAAACTCTAAGAAACATGAAAACTGAAAAAAAAATATGGATTTTTATGGAGAAGCGAATAACAGTGGGTTTCTCTTTGGGATGATGAGATCAGACTTTCTGGGCAAGTGGCATTGACAGGTGGTATAGCTTGAAATGAAGCATAGAAGTTGGAGGACACTAATAATTTAGTTATGCTTATTATTAAAACAGCAGCCACTAGTTGTTGAACCCTGTCTATATGTTAAATAGCATCTTAAGCATATTTTATAGTAAGCATATTTTATAGGTGCCTGACATAGGCAAATATGTCTTTGGCTCCAGTTTGATGCTATCTAAGATTTTTCCCCTAAGAAAACGTCCTTGTTAATAATATGGTATATATTTTTTTCTTCCTAAATTTCAAATTCACTTGAGGCAATTGAATTCTCTTGTAGTATATAAATGATTATAAAAAACTACTTCTAAATACAGTCCTTACCATCTAGATTTGATACTTCATTGAAAATTATTTTGATATTACTGATAAAAAAATACTGGAAATGCTTTCATACCATTCTAGAGAAAATAGATTCTGGTGCTATGGGACAAATTCTATTTCCAGTCTTACACACTAACTCTATTCTTCCCTTGTTCAGTCATGAGAGCTTCGGGAGTAACTTCTGGAGTAACTTCTTGGCAGATGGTATTAATGAGTCTACAGGGAAAAAAAGATCGAGAATCTAAGAATTGTCTGACAATTTTACCTCTCATATGGAGGAGGCCATTGGAGAACATTCCCTTCAGAGATAGTATTTTCTGCTTGACAATAAAAGCTCTGATTCTATTTCAGAAATGGTCAGCTTCACTCTACATGCACTATAGGTAGAGTGCTAAATCAGATTTTACTAAGTTCAGAGTTAGTCTGACATGAGAGATGTGGAAAAAATGAAGTGCATTCCCAAAACAACACTTCTGCTAGCAGCAGTCTCTTGTTTTAAATCAGTTATCTTAAACTGACTTAACTTGCTTTGAGGTATTCTTGAGATACTTCTTTTTATATAAAACTTTTGTTGTTTTAAATCAATGTGTGTCTAAACCATGGAAGCATTCAAGTAGAACACACACACTGTACAGGTGCACATAGGTATCTTCAAACAGGAACAACTGTAGTCTGATAATCACATTCCCCTATAAATACTGTTTAAAAATTTTACAATGCAAGATCATGTCTATTTGGATGGGAATCAAATATAAAATATCTTTAGTAATCTCAAATAGTCATAGGGCTCTCCCCCAATCCAGTAAGCATTTACTCTCTTTGAATTGCTTTTTAATTCTTTAATTATAGCTGAGTTTTCATAGACACATATAGAAAATCAACTCACGGTGAGAATTAATATTCCCAAGCACTTGCAAAGTGGTGATAGGAAATTATAGCTCATGCCTATAATCCCAGCACTTTGGGAGGCCAAAAACCGCATGATTATCTCAATAGATGCAGAAAAGGCCTTCGACAAAATTCAACACCCCTTCATACTAAAAGTTCTTAAACTAGGTATGGATGGAACGTATCTATCTCAAAATAATAAGACCTATTTATGACAGACTCACAGCCAATATCATACTGAATGGGCAAAAGCTAGAAGCATTCCCTTTGAAAACCGGTCCAAGAAAAGGATGCCATCTCTTACCACTCCTATTCAACATAGTATTGGAAGTTCTGGCCAGGGCGATCAGGCAAGAGAAAAAAATAAAGGGTATCCAAGTAGGAAAAGAGGAAGTCAAATTGTCTCTGTTTGCAGATGACATGATTATCTATTAAGAAAACCCTACCGCCTCAGCCTAAAATCTCCTTAAGCTGATAAGGAACTTCAGCAAAATCTCAGGACACAAAATCAATGTGCAAATATCACAAGCATTCCTATACACCAGTAATAGCCAAATCATGAGTGAACAGCTATTTACAATTGCTACAAAGAGAATAAAATACCTAAGAATACAACTTACTTACAAGGGATTTGAAGGACCTCATCAACAAACCACTGCTCAAGGAAATAAGAGAGGACACAAACGGGTGGGAAAATATTCTATGCTCATTGATAGGAAGAATCAATATCGTCAAAATGGCCATACTGCCCAAAGTAATTTATAGATTCAATGCTCTTCCCATCAAGCTATCATTGACTTTCTTCTACAGAATTGGAAAAAAACTACTTTAAACTTCATCTGAAACCTAAAAAGAGCCTGCATAGCCAAGACAATCCTAAGTAAAAAGAACAAAGCTGGAGGCATCACACGACCTGACATCAAACTATACTACAAGGCTACAGTAACCAAAACAGCATGATACTGGTACCAAAACAGAGATATAGACCAATGGAACAGAACAGAGGCCTCAGAAATAACACCACACATCTACAACCATCTAGTCTTTGACAAGCCTGACAAAAACAAGCAATGGAGGAAAGATGCCCTATTTAATAAATGGTGTTGGGAAAATTGGCTAGCCATATGCAGAAAACTGAAACTGGACCCCTTCCTTACACCTTATACAAAAATTAACTCAAGGTGGATTAAAGACTTAAACGTAAGACCTAAAACCATAAAAACTCGAGAAGAAAACCTAGGCAATACCATTCAGGATATATGCATGGGTAAAGACTTCATGACTAGGCCAGGCGTGGTGGCTTACACCTGTAATCCCAGCACTTTGGGAGGCCAAGGTGGGCAGATCACGAGGTCAAGAGATCCAGACCATCCTGGCTAACACAGTGAAACCCCATCTCTACTAAAAAATACAAAAAATTAGCCGGGCGTGGTGGCGGGTGCCTGTAGTCCCAGCTACTCAGGAGGCTAAGGCAGGAGAATGTCGTGAACCCAGGAGGTGGAGCTGGCAGTCAGCCGAGATCACACCACTGCACTCCAGCCTGGGTGACAGAGCGAGACTCTGTCTCAAAAAAAAAAAAAAAAAAAAAAAAAAAAAAGACTTCATGACTAAAACACCAAAAGCAATGGCAACAAAAGCCATAATTGACAGATGGGATCTAATAAAACCAAGGAGCTTCTGCACAGCAAAAGAAACTATCATCAGAGTGAACAGGCAACCTACAGAATGGGAAAAAAATTTTGCAATCTACCCTTCTGACAAAGGGCTAATAGCCAGAATCTACAAAGAACTTAAACAAATTTACAAGAAAAAAAAACCAACAAACACTTCTCAAAAGAAGACGTTTATGCAGCCAACAAGCTATGAAAAAAAGCTCATCATCACTGGTCATTAGAGAAATGCAAATCAAAACCACGGTAACATACCATCTCAGGCCAGTTAGAATGGTGATCATTAATAAGTCAGGAAACAACAGATGCAGGAGAGGATGTGGAGAAATAGGAATGCTTCTACACTGTTGGTGGGCGTGTAAATTAGTTCAACCATTGTGGAAGACAGACAGTGTGGCAATTCCTCAAGGATCTAGAACTAGAATTACCATTTGACTCAGCAATCCCATAACTGGGTATATATCCAAAGGATTATAAATCATTCTAAAAAGACACACGCACACGTATGTTTATTGTGGCACTGTTAACAATAGCAAAGACTTGGAACGAACCCAAATGCCCATCAATGATAGACTGGATGAAGAAAATGTGGCACATATACACTATGGAATACTATGCAGCCATAAAAAAAGATGAGTTCGTGTCCTTTGCAGGGCCATGGATGAAGCTGGAAACCATTCTCAGCAAACTAACACAAGAACAGAAAAGCAAACACTGCATGTTCTCACTCATTAGTGGGAGTTGAACAATGAGAACACATGGACACAGGGAGGGGAACATCCCACACCAAGGCCTGTTGGCAGAGGTGGCGGACTAGGGGAGGGATAGCACTGGGAGAAATACCTAATGTAGATGATGGGTTAATGGGTGTAGCAAACCACCATGGCACATGTATACCCATGTAACAAAGCTGCACGTTCTGCCCATGTATCCCAGAACTTAAAGTACAATAAAAACAGAAAAATCTGCCAAGTTACTGCAAAAGGTGATCAAAAATTAAACATTCTTCAAGGCCAAATGAATAAAGAATAATTAGTACATGCACCTTCCAAAAAAAAAAAAAAAAAAGAAAATGGTAGTTGAGGCCAGGCACGCTGGCTCACGCCTGTAATCCCAGTACTTTGGGCGGCCAAGGTGGTCAGATCACTTGAGGCCAGGAGTTGAAGAGCAGTCTAGCCAACATGGTGAAACCCATCTCTACTAAAAATACAAAAACTTAGCCAGGCATGGTGGCGGGCGCTTGTAACCCAAGCTACTCAAGAGGCTGAGGAAAGAGGCGAAGGTTGTAGTGAGCTGAGATCGTGCCACTGCACTCCAGCCTGGGTGACAGAGCAAGACTCTGTCTCAAATGGAAATGGAATTTGAAGATAGACCCTTCAAAGTTAAGTTTATAAGAAGAGTCGTATAATGTACCAGTTGTAATAATTTCTTTTCATTTGGTACAGGGGCAACCCCTGCAAGACAAATTTATTCTGCTGAGGAATAGTAAGTCCATGTGGAGAACTCTTCTTCCATCTGCCATCCACTGGTGTCCCTATTTTTTTTTCTCCTGGGTGATCATAGCAATTTTCCTAGAAGTCACTTCTCAGCATCAGGCTTTTCCTCTTCATGGAACTGTCCACTAGCAAAGGTACTTGGACCCAAATGCTGCTTTTGCCTCCCTTGAGTGCCATGCAGGGCTGTGTGACATCAGCCCTGTCAGCTTCCTGAGCTATCCAAGAGGGGCTTACAGAAGCCAGATTTAGTACAGAACAACCACTGGAACCATAAGACTTTAAGCCCAACCACCACTGTTCATGGTTAGCAAGGAAACAGACAAAGCCCCCATGTGCATCTAGGCAGCAAAGAGTGGCATCTTTTAAAGTTTCTTAGTGCCAAACTCCCCGTTGCATGAAATCAGGCCATGTCATCTGCTAGGCATCTCAGTGTCAGGAATATTGAGCAAATGTTTGTGTAACAATCTTATTAATACCATTTTTTTCTGGGCTTGATGCACTGGGATGTTCTTATAAAACACGACTTTCAGAAATAAATAGATCTAGATTTAAATCTTGGTTCTATTATTTATAAGTGTATAACATTGAATGAGTCATTCAACCTTTCTGAATTTGTGTCCTCTTGTCTTAAAATGGGGATAACACCACCTTAAAATGTAAATGTTACCACCGGTCATAATAAGTTATGCAAAAGCACCAGTACAGTGCCTGGCATGTTATAGACACATTTATATTTTTAAGGGAGGACTGATTCTGCTTCTAGTGCTCGTCTCCAACCTTAGATCTTGTTTCTTCACATACCCCAAAAAACTCAACTCATATTCCCAAGAGATAAAAATAGGCATATTTTCATAAAACATTTCAATGATCTCTTATTGGGCAGTTAACATGAAACCTACCTGAATTTTTTCATTGGAGATTGCTTTTCTTGAGCAGTGGCTAGATGACCAGAATAATAGACTGGGAAAAACATAATGTTCCAGTTTGTTGAAAACCAAGTCATGAAAAATGGGCAATAGAAGTTCTTATAAGTAATTTTTACAATCTGTGTAGTTCCAACCCAAGATGATGATACTGACAAGATGATCAAGAGTCCCCAGATGCCCTTCAGAACCATGGACGTGCAGGACAGGCAGCGAGCCTTGATTCTGTTTTCTTGGCTGCTGTTCTCAGAATGAGTCTGTGTCCCATCGTCTGCTGGAAACAGGAAAGGAATACAAATGTGAGGAAAGCAGGTTATGAAACAGCAATCAAATATATCAGCTCCTTAAAAAAGATGGATGAAACCAAAGAGGCAGACAGTAGAATTACCAGTGTTTTTCTTTTCTACCATCATTTGAAGAGACTGATAACTTCGGCTCACTTTTTCTCTGGACTCTGTGCTCTGCACAATACAGTAAGCATCTGAGTCCCGATCCAGTCCATGAGGTTGCTCATGCGGATGTTATGCTGTTTTCCAGTGTGCCCTTCCCTTGTAAGAGCATTACACATCCCAGCCCCCAAAGACTGGTCTTGGCCACATGCCCTGCGCTTTCTATTGAATGTGAGAAGACATGAGGCATAACACCTCCCATAAGAAGCCTTAGGAGGCATCCCAAGGTCCTACCAGCTCTCTTGCTCTTCCCCTCTGTCATTTCAAAGTAGAACGCCAAATAGAAGGTGTTCTTTCTGTGTGGGAACATGAGCAGAACCCAGCCAAAGCTGCTCTGTATGCACCAACATGAAAAGCGAGTGAGAAATAAATATTCGTTTCCATTTTCCTTTTTTTTTTTTTTTTACGTTATAGCAAATGGCCTGGTGCTGTGACTCAGGCCTGTCATCTCAGCACTCTGGGAGGCCAAGGTGGGAGGATCACTTGAATTCAGGAGTTCAAGACCAGCTTGGCCAAGAAAGAGAGACCTTGTCTATGCAAAAAAAAAAAAAAAAATTAGCCGTGGGAGGTGGCATATACCTTTAGTCCCAGCAACTCCAGAGGCTCAGGTGGGTGAATCCCTTGAGCCCAGGAGTTTGAGGCTGCAGTGAGCAATGATTGTACCACTGCACTCCAGTCTGGGTGACAGAAGGAGACCCAGTCTCTAAAAAAAATGCAACAGAGATGATTATTAAAAGTAATGTGTCCCAAGAATAGAGCAAGTCCTGACTACACAGTCATTTCCCACCTCACCAATGACTAATATATTTCTGGGAGCACAATAAATTCTGCTTTGTACTTTTACTAAGAAAATTTTGCAGCAATTTTACAGCACACTAAAATAGCCAAAACTCTCTAAAAGTGATAATCATGAAGGCTGTCTCCCTTCATGGAAAAAACAAGTTAACATAATGAATTCATGTACCTTTCAGGAAGTTAAACAGGAGCGGAGGTCATTCTGAGTCCCTGAGCTGAGATCCCAGATGGTAATTGCCTACAAGAGTCTCTTGTGTCTCCAAAGACCCCACTTAAGCACAAGGCCTATGCTGAGGGTTAAAGTAGCGCAGCCCAGAGATTGCAAATGGCAGTGGATGGGGCTGCTCACTTTGTGTCTCCAGAGCCTACTGGCTCTCCGCTGAATGTGTTCCTACTGCTTAATGAGCCAGGTGTGGCTGCCCCACTGTGTTAAAAACCTTTACCCAGTTAAGGCTTTCTGATATAATCATTGGGGGAAAGGAGAAGAGAGCCTTGAAAGTGAATTCTCCACTGGGGAATATAAACCAAGTAACTATGAACACAGCAACCACTACATGACTTGTAAATCTTATAAACAGTACTGAATTCTCAGAGCCTAGGCATCCAGAAGATAAAAACTGGCAATCTTCCATTCATTCAACCAAATCTTATGGAGACTCTACCAGGCGCTAGTTAGCTACTTGGATCCTAAGGATTTGAATATGAAAGACTTCAGCCCATGGTCTAGTGGAAAGCCAGAAACACACTCAACACAGTGTGATAAGAGCCAGCTCAGACAGATACAATGCCAGACAAGTACTTGTTGAGGAGCTGGGGGGGATATGATCAGAAAAAATGTCCATGGTGCAGTGACACTGAGATGAGTCTGGAAGTGTGAGTTACTCAGCTCCTTCAGCTGTTTACAGACAACACAGTCTCTTGATAACAGGTCTGCAAATTTCCTCCATGACCATGTGGCTTATGCAGAGAGTAGAAGGAAAACTAGGATAAATAAGAGGATAGAGAATCTTGTGTTGAGAGGCCAAGAAAGGAACACAAACCTGACTTATTAAGTAGGTATTATCATTCCCACTTCACAGATGAAAAAGCTGAGAATTGTGTTAAGGGTTGTCCAAGATTGAACCCAACTGAATCAGTATGACTCCAGGGTCTAAACTTTATTCTGAGCACCCACATGGCTGGGCCTTCAGCCCTTAGCTTTCCATTCAGGCACTGCAAGTTTCAGACTAGTTTGGGAAAAAAGTTCTGTTTCCTGGCAGGAATGGCAGTCCTGCATGAAATTTAAAAAGTGATACTTAAGAGAAAGGTGTACCCTACTACACTTCAGATCTCATGATTCCCAGGGACTACCTTATAAAGGAGGAATAACTCTACAAAGATTCTGAGGCAATATCTGCCTTTACTGTCACCTTCTGTGAAGAATGCGTCTGCACCACTATACTATGGGTGTGCTTTTGATGACACCAATAGTCACCTACACCTTTTCATAGTATTGACTCTAGGCTTCTTCTGTTAACTAGATTGATTGTTGCCAATTCTTCGATTTTACAAAGCACAGAAAGATTAGGTACCCAGAACTCTTTTATTTTCTGACCACTTTTAACATGATTTTCTATAGTCCTGCTTAGATTTTGTTATCATTAAAATTGTTTTACCAGGATTCTATCCATTTCTGCGTACCTTTATCAAGTCATGCAAATTGACAGCAGAGGCCACTGGAATTTGGAAACGTGAATTTAAATCCTAGCCCTGCCATTGTATGGCATTGAGTACATTTTTAAATTCCTTTCTTAGCTTCTTTATCTGTCCAACAGTGATAATAGCTATCTCATAGGATTTATTTTGAGATTAAGTACCATAATATCCACAAAATCATGGTGAGCTTCTTTTCAGATTATTCTTTTCTTCTCTTTGGTGCACTGGAATATCCCCAAGTGCTTCCAATAATCACAGAAAGAGTAACTTATGTTCCAGATGATCTTTAATGATATGGTATTTGAAATTTGTAATCTGTGTATGATACATAGGGCATATCTTTATTAACCAGTGTGTTTAATTAACTGGAACATTTTGTTTTGCAAACAACTGGGGTAATAGGAATATTGCAATTTATTAAAGCCAATTAAAACTTTCTGAAAATGTAAGATGTCATTATTTTTCTAAGTTTTAGCCTTGGGGTTCACACAGTGTCTAAGACATCATTTTATTTTCTCATAAAAAATACATTCTCAAATGAGTAGGACCCTAGACGAAGCTTTCACATCTCCTCTCTTCCTCTGTTTACCCTTCCCCCACCCCTAATTGAATCCTCTGAATTGTCATTTTTTTAAGGCAGTTTTCCCAAATTTCTGGAGGTTTTTATTGTTGTTGTTGGTTTTACTACCAACTTATTTTGGTGGTGTATTTTGTTGTTTTTGCTGCTGCTGTTACTATTTTTGAGGATGAAAGAGATTTTAGTATGTTGCCAGCCAAGCTGAAGGAACAAATGGAGAGAAACAAATGGGCCAGAAGAGATGTAGGTAGGGCTATCATGGACACAGGTAGGGGGCTAAAATTGGAAAGGTAGAAAGACAATCATACCACAAGTCATCCCACAGTGATGGTAACTGGTAAACAAAAGCACAGAGACATTCTGAGGTAGAGGAATGCATTTGTAAGCGTACAACTGTTTGCTCTTTTCAGGAACGTGGAAGTATGCTCGGTCATACAATGAGAGGAAGTGAATTTAAACAGGGGACTTGAGTCCATTTCCTGAGGAAGGCAATAAGATGTCCACTACCAATAAGGAACAGTCCTGGCCAGCAGTCTAGTGGACCCAGCTGCATTTAAAAACTATAAATTTTGCTGGGAAACTCATGAGCACAGTTACAAGATTTATCTAGCAATTCCAGTCAGTAACCCAGGAGTTGGCGAGTGGTCAGGTGGATGTGAGGAAAAGCTAAAGTCTCAACTGATCAGAAAATGCTGATCAGGGAAGCCAGTGAAGTCTCCTGCAGAAAGTATGAAACTGGGAATACTAAAAGGGCTCCAGGGACTAACAGTCCCGATGAGGACAAAAGCAGATTCTGTTATTTTACTGGTGTTTTCATTCTTTTCAGGATGGGTACATTGTGCTGTTACTGAATCCCCAGGCTGAGACAAAAGATGCAGGGTTTTGATATTTTGAAGATGAGAAAACTACCTACCTTGTAAACTTCACCAGGAGTCATTGTCTAACCATGTTTTAGTTACTCAACTACAGGTTTTGGCATTCAGTTTCTCTGCCATACTATACACCACTAATAGATTGTATCTATATATTTCCCTGCTTCCTTATCCTCCGGCTTGATAAAGCTTCCCCACATGTACTCATAAGAGTCCGTGTAACATCTCTGCATTCTGTGACAATGGCGAGATCTTTCTATTTAGAAGCTTACTAGGATGTACCGTTATTTAAGAGGAGGTCACCCACATACCTGATCTGTTCTGTCTCTCAACTCTGTGTCCACAAACTCCTGAGGATCCTTGGTTTTGAAGTTCAAGAATAGGAGCAGAGGAATCTTCGGTGACAGACAGTGGGGACAGTTGTCTACTGATGCCACTGTGTGAACTGGGGCAGTTGGCTCCTGGTTTACATCTAGTGACTGATGATCTGGAGGTACCTGGAAAGACAGAGTTCACGCCAGTTTGAGAACTGCCTGAACAAATTGGAAGTAGATTTTATTATTTATTTAATTATTGTTTGGAAACAGGGTCTCACTCTGTCACCCAGGCTAGAGTGCAGTGGTGTGATCTCGAGTCACTGCAGCCTCTGCCTCCCAGGTTCGAGCAATTCTCCTGCCTCAGCCTCCCAAGTAGCTCGAATTACAGGTGTGTGCTACCACACCCAGCTAATTTTGTATTTTTTGTAGAGACAGGGTTTCACAGTGTTGGCCAGGCTGGCTGAAGTAGATTTTAAAGGCCTGAACAGTAAAATATATGGTAGCAACAATCACAGTCCTAATGAGCTTATTCAAATTCTATAAAAGGGGCTCATAAAAAGAAAATGTTATGGCAAGGTCTGTGCCTATAAGATAAAGACTCTTTTAGATAAATCTATTCACTAGAAATGAACACTAGAAGATGGTATTTGGATTGGTACTTGTGTTCAGAATTAATACTTAACACAGTCAAATAGTTTAAGGCAAGGAAGGCACAGTGTTCTGTGATTTTCCACTCTACCCTTTTCTTCCTAAGGCTGTCGATTTCCTAACTGGTAAAACTGCCAACAGTGTTTCCAACAAACTGACTATACACTTTTCCATGGGATTGATCACTAAAATTTAATTTCATTGTGTCTTCTCAATCACTACTAGCCTCTATCCGGTGTTACAGATGAAAATCATCCACCAGCCAACACCCCAAGAATCTCCAACCCCGGGTCAGCCTCATGGGTCTGCAGCCAATATAGTCACATAGGGTGCTGTGCTGAGAAGGGCCCATCCTGCCACTTCCCACCCCTCAGCCCCAATTTTCCTATCCAAATGATGCATCTATCAACATTAAGAGATTAACACTGGTACATCACTATTAACCAAATTCCAAACTTTATTTGGATTTTCACTAGTTTTATCACTAATGTCCTTTTTCTAGGACCCTATTCAGGATACCACATTACATTTAATCATCATGTCCCTTTATCCACCTATGGTCTGATATAGTTGTTCAGTCTTGTTTATCATAACCTTGACAGTTCTAAAGAGAGCTGTTGAAGTACTTCGTAGTCTCTCAATTTGAGTTTGCCAGATATTTTATTTGGCTATATTTGGCTCATGGATTTTTCAGGAAGAACACCACAGAGGTAAAGAATCCTTCTCATCATATAGTATCAGTCATGACATGCTACCAACATGACTTGTTATTGATGATGTTAACTGTGATCACCCAGCCAAGGTCGTGTTGGCCAGGTTTCTCCACTGTCTTTTTTTTCCCTTTCCATGCTCTCTTCTTCGGTAGCCAGTCACTAAGTCCAGCCCACACTCTGGTGTGGGGAAGAGAGGGTGCTAAGCCTCACTTTCTGGAGTCGGGGAGGTCTACATATATTATCTGGATTTCTTCTGTAAAGATAATTTGTCTCTTTTCCTCCTTTATTCACAATTTATTTGTATTGGTATAGACTTATGAATATTTAGTTCATACTTTGGGTTATGATCAAACCTGCATTGTTTATTATTTCACTCAAATTATTCCAGCTTTGGCCATGGCGAGCTCTTTTAGATTGGCTACTGAGTACCTTTGATTTGTCCCCATTCTTTTGCGTTTGAGCTCTTCCTTACTTTCTGGCACTGCAAGATGCCCTGGGCTTGTCTTATAGTTTCCCTGCCCCACTCCTGAAATTAATCACTTCTCCAAGCATTTCTATTTCTTCTATTTCTTTGGAATGATGGTTGCCAGAACCTAGGATGGATAGTGGGTTGAGGGTGGAGGGAGTGGGGACAGTTAATGAGTACAAACATATAGTTAGAATGAGTAAGATCTAATATTTGAAAGCACAAGAGGGTGACTACAGTCAACAATAATTGATTGTAGATTGTAAAATAACTAAGATCATAATTGAAATGTTTGTAACACAAAGAAATGATAAATGCTTGAGGTGATAGATGACATGTTACACATGGTATGTCTGTATAAAAATATCTCCTGTACCTGTAAATATATATACCTACTATGCACCCATACAAATAAAATAAAATGTACTATGTAATCTTGGATTTAGAAAATTAAAAATTTACAGTTACTCAGAAAGTTAACAGAAGCATTATATACTGACTGCTACACTTAAATTAATGCTATGTTACTATTGTTATTATAAGAGCATCAAAAATACCCAGGGTTCTTATTTTACATATTCAGAATGTTTATTATACCTTGTACAGCTATGTTTCTAATTGGACAATTCAAGTTCGATAAAAACGGACTGTCTGAAATTCAGTGAACTCACAATTATTCCTGTTCTTCAAGAGTGGCTGATGCTCAGATACTCCAAGAGTCTTTTAAAATTTATCTTTTGAAATTTATTTTTATAAGGTATGCCTTCTCCTCTTTTCTCAGGGTAATATTGGGTTTCATTTTCCCAATATTCCATTTCCAATCCCTTGGCAATTATACATCAAAAGGAGAAAGTCTAGAAATAGGCTGGGTAGCAAGTTGGGATGGGATTGAGATCAAATATTGTCCATAGTTACCTAAAAAGTTGGTAACTTGTGTGTAGCGAGCAAGTGTTGAATGTATAAGCCACACCAGTGATTTATCTTCCTTTCTCATTTTCACTAAAATATTATGTCCTGGCTTCCATACCTCCTGTTCCTTATGTGATATACCGCAAAGCCCATTGCCTGCTGCCAGCTGCCTCCCACTGGTCAGTTTGTGGAAGAGATCCAAGAGTAGTTCATCCATGACAGACATTTTAATCACTGTCTTAAACAATACAAACTTTAAACTTCCAAGCCAGACCTGGAGACGTATTCAGGGGTTGGGCCATGATACAATTATCTCCAATCCTGGAAGCGAAAACATTGTCCCATCCTCTATGGTCTTGTACCATTTAGTTAATCTAAAGGCAACCCTGACAAATATAAACATTCAGAACATCGTCTGGGATGTAGTCAAGTATCATAAATAAATATTTCTATTTTCTGTTTTGTATGCAACAATGAGTGCCTGAGTGGAACCAGAGATTGCAAATCCAGTTAGTAAACAATGTTCTGATTTTACTAAGTATTGTGAGTAAACTGTATTAGGAGTGATGTGTGGGTGGTATCTCATTTGTCACACCAGATGGTCCCCTATCCTTCTTAAAGACATCTGCTCACCTGACCCATAGCAGTGGGGCCATCTTGGGCCATTTTCATTATTTGGCCCAGAAGGAGAATATGATTTCTTCATCTGCACTGGTTGGGATCTGCATGCTCCCAAATTCAATTTGATTCAACAAGTAGTTATTAAGCACCTATTATGGGGCAGGTATTGTGTCAGGACCAGAGTTAGACAAATGAAGAATAGTTTGTACCTTCATGGAACTCTCAGTTTTGTATGATGCAGACATGTAACCAATTAGCCACAGTTTGATGCAGCTGGGGGAGCAGGAAGAAAGGGAGTGAGGGATTCATTCAGAAGCCTGGAGCAGGGAAGGCTCTGTGGAAGGTCACATCAAAGGTGTCTTTGAAGGATGAACAGGACTTAATCAGGCAGAGGTTTAGGCTGGGGAATAGGCAATACAGTCAGAGGAAACCGTAGAAGCAAATAGTCAGAGGCATAAGGTGCATGCTATGAAGCTCAATATTAAGACGATCAGCTCTAAGATGCTGAAATCTCAATATACAAGAGTATTGGAAATCCCATTCTTTCACCCTCACCTGTTACTTGAAAAGGAGCTGTCTAATTGAGATTCAGGCAGTATACAGTGGCTAAGAAACCAGGCTGTCTAAACCTGGGGAGACCTCGTAAACAAAAATGACTATTAGGGGCCATTTATTAAATAGAATATTTGACTTCATATACTAGGAATCCAAACTAAATTGGTTTAAAGCTAAAAGGGGAGTTTTTAGGAGCTTAGCGACCTACAGGGACAAGAAGGCCAGAGTGTCCCTAAACCTCAGGAACACCTGGAACCAGGGCCCTGGTGCAATCAGTCTCATCTTCTCCATCTCTCGCTGCTGGGTACCAGCTTCATGTCTTCTCAGAAGGCTGCTGCTTACCTTTCTCTGCGGAAAATTTGGTTGTCTGAAGCTCCTACACTTTCAATCTCACAGCTTTAGCCTTCTGAGAGAAATCTAGTTGCACAGAGTCAAAAATCTGGAGAAAGGAACTTGAATATTACACCGATGCTTGTCCAATTTCTGTCACTAGCAGAGCGAACATCGCAACAGGCTGCAGCTCCCAGGAAAGAAGGAGTGGAGCTGAGAATAAGGTGCCTTGGGTGTTTAGGAACTTCAAAGCGAAAAGGGAAAAGAACTACAGCCACTGAGTAAAACAATTGCTTAAAAAGATTGAGTATAAGATGTGAAGTTCTCAGATAACAACTTGAAAAGCCAAGCTGATAAAAGTTAACTAGGAAAAGGTCTTTGGAAAGCACTGGGGGTAAAAAGCAAAGAGTCAAATGTCTCCATGCGAACAAGTGCAAGATGACTTGGAAGATACAGATAGATCAAAGTCCCAGCTATCATTCAAACAAAGGCCTTACCATTGGCTTTTATCTCCTATGGGCACAAAAGGTCAACAAAACAACTGGCTTTACTAAGTACTATACTGAAGCTGAGCCAGAGACCTTATCCCTATTTGCCCCAAATCGTGAAGCAAACACCGCTATATAGATCTGGTGCCTAAACCTAAAGGTAGAAATCATGAATACCCAGAAGCAATTAACACGATCTAGGGAATGTGTGTGTGTATGTGTGTGTGTGTGTGTGTGTGTATAGAAGGGGTAGTTGCTCTATGACAAGAGGCAGCATAATATGTACCCTGAAAAGGCTGCCCTGAAAAGTAGGATACCACTGGCTGTGTCAACTCAGGTAAATCACTTGACCTCACTTTGTTCACATTCTTTCCTTGCTGAAATTAAAGGATTAGACAAAATGATTTCCTAAATTCCCACAGCTTTCTCTTCTTCAACCTGAAGATTTTTCAAACATGTATTTGCAAATTATGCTTAACCATAACACAACTTTGTCTGTTTTCAACTCATTTTTATAGCCACTTATATGGATAGGGTTCCAGGAGGAAGAGATGGCAAACTCAAAACAGGACAATTTTAGAAAAGGTGGTCAAGGTATAGGGCCATAGGGCAGTGGCTCCCTAAGCCTCCCACCCTAGCATCGCTTGGGAACTTGTTAGAAATGCAAATTCTTAGTGCCAATATCAGACCCATTGAGTCAGAAATTCTGCAGTTGGGTAACCTATAGTTTTAGGAGCCTTCCAGGTGATTCCAATGTAAGTTAAAATTTGTGAAACACTGTATGTGAGAAATCATAGAGGGTAGGGCAGTATTCAGGTTTAACTACAGCTCTTACTAACCACAGGCCTGAAGCGGCGAGGGGACAGAGTGATTAGAAGAATCTGGGGCCGGGCACGGTGGCTCACGACTGTAATCCCAGCACTTTGGGAAGCTGAGGTAGGTGGATCACCTGAGGTCAGTAGTTCAAGACCAGCCTGACCAACATGATGAAACCCCGTCTCTACTAAAAATACAAAAATTCTCGTGTTGAGGCAGGAGAACCTCTTGAACCCCGGAGGTGGAGGTTGCAGTGAGCTAAGATCACGCCATTGCACTCCAGCCTGGGCGACAGAGCAAGACTCTGTCTTGAAAAAAAAAAAAAAAAACAACACCAGAATTTGGAAGGAGAGGGAGGAGAGGGTTGCTTGGCTTAGGTCATGACTTTTAATTAAGGCAGGCACCCAGTTGGGGGTCTTGGAAATACTCCCTCCCTTTGATATCCCACAGGAACTCCCCATTGGTTAATAAGCCAAAGCCAGGAGATAAGACAGCCTCTTTCTTTACAGGTTCAGACCCCAGAGAAAGTTGGGTGGAAAAAAGTGGAAAGAGGATCTGGAGGAGTAAAGAAAAGACATCCAATATTCTGTTTCTACAACAATGCTATGATCACAAAGTCAGGGGTTAGATCATATGATCTCCTAACCCCCTACTAGCTTTATGATTGATTGATAATTCTTCCAAACAAGCTCACGTAAATTATATATTGGCCATAAAACTAGCGCTATTTTCAACTCATCTTTTATAAGTGTGTTTCTTTTAAAGATCCAAGACCTTTTCCATGACTAAGATATTATAATCACTAAAGAAATGCTGAAGACAGAAATGTAACCCTGGATTTTTCACTTGATGTTGGTTGGTAGCCATAATTATTAATCTGTCATTTTTTCTTACAAAAAGATAAAATATCAATAACTAGGGGCCGGGCGCGGTGGCTCACGCCTGTAATCCCAGCACTTTGGGAGGCCAAGGTGGGCGGATCACGAGGTCAGGAGATCGAGACCATCCCGGCTAAAACGGTGAAACCCCGTCTCTACTAAAAATACAAAAAATTAGCCGGGCGTAGTGGCGGGCGCCTGTAGTCCCAGCTACCTGGGAGGCTGAGGCAGGAGAATGGCGTGAACCCGGGAGGCGGAGCTTGCAGTGAGCCGAGATCCCGCCACTGCACTCCAGCCTGGGCGACAGAGCAAGACTCCATCTCAAAAAAAAAAAAAAAAAAAAAAAAAAAACCAAAAAGATAAAATATCAATAACTCAACAAAATATATGAACAGTTATATTTCAGCTTATTTTAAAACTCATATTCTGTTGATTTCAGTGGCAACAAATATTTCCTTGTAGTAGTATCATTTATTGTAATCAGTTTTGGTAGGTTTTTCATAGAAACCCACATGGAATCTGGTTTAAGGGTTACCCTTTTCTTAGGTAAACATATAGCCTTGAAGTTACTGAAAAGGTTCAGCTTGGTGGATAGTCAATGCACAAGCAATAGAAACTTTTCATTTCAATTTATTCTCTAAAAGCCATAACTTCTCAGCACAATTCCATCGTACTTACCAGGTATTACTCACTCCTTATAGTTCTAACAGCTCTTAATTCATTTAATAAATAAATATGTTTTAAAATAACTTGGCTGTTGGTCATATTATCTATATTTTTGTATGCCTTATATATTTTATATTTTAAAAGTTTTTTCAAGACTTGCTTATTATCTTATTATAAATAATAATTATATGTATATTATCTGAAAGCTAGATTTTGAGGATGTAAATCTGAATTATTTAGGTACTTTTACATGCATATTAAAACAACATGAAAAATACCTTTTAATTTTTTTTCAACTTTTATTTTAGATTCAGAGGACACATGTGCATATTTGTTACCTGGGTATACTGCTTGATTCTGGTTTTGGGTATGAATGATCCCATCACTACTGATCATAGTGCCCAACATTAAGTTTTTCAACCCTTTCCCCCCTCCTCCCTCTAGTAGTCCCCAATGTCTATTGCTGCCATCTTTATGTCCATCAGTACCCAATATTTAGCTCCCACTTATAAGAGAGAACATGTAGTATTTGAAAAAGCTTTTAATTTCTAATTCATTTTGTATTTATCTAAAATCTATATCTGAAAGAAAGGAGTACTAATGGTTATATTTCTGTTATAAACATCTTATCCCTAAAATAGTAGTAATCTATCTAGAATACAATTTATCTTCTCTACTTGTAATCAACTTTGAAATCAAAGGTTAGATCACTGCTACCTATTTTTACAATGTAAAAATAAAAATGCCTACTATTTAATTTAGCACCTACTATGCACAAAAAGCCTTGTGTATATTATCTCCAGACCTCACAACAATACTTGTGGGTGTATTTTACTATCCCCATTTTTTACAGATGAGGAAAGAGAATTTCCAATAGCCTAAGTATTGATGAAAACTCAGGTGTGTCCAATTCCAAAGCCCATATTCTCTCCAGTGTATCTCACTGCTTTTCCATCTCAGCTAATCAGTTTTACTGAGCTCCTTCTGTAGGCAAAAAGGTTACAATCTTGCTGGGAAGATAATATATATTTCCCCAAATGCTTAAATACATTAAGGTGAGCAATTCAATAGCACAGAAAATAAGGATAATTATTGTTCAGAAAGTGGAGAGATTAATTTCAGCCTGGATGGTAAAAAAAAAAAAAATGCTTCATAGAGGACAATGGATTCAAACAGATCAAAAAGCAAAGCAAGGTTTGGATAGGAGGAGAGCCTAGGGCAGCTTCCAACACAGGAAAGTGTGGATTTTGCCCTTTTAATTGTGGGGAGCAAACAAGGTGTTTAAGGTGTTTTGTAGAGAGATGGTGGCTTGAAAGCAGAATTTCGGGAAGGCAAAATTGGCAAGAGAGGGTAGGATACTCACTACAGAGAGAACCTAGGGGGAAGATAACTATTTGGAAGTTGTTAATCCAAAATGTAGTCTTGAAGGGGAGCTGGAATGTCTCCTTTTGAAATTTGTATTGCAGTAGAATCTTTCTTTTCTCTGGCTAGGATCTCAGCATTCACATGATGATGGTAGAAAGAACATTAATAATAGTATTAATAATGGTGTTAAGAACATAAACAATGCACAATAATCATACCTTGTATGTAAGCCAGTTATAATCATTCTTCCCTGTAATGACCTTGTGCAATGCAACTAGTGACACTTTCCCTGGGTCTCCAAATGCCAGAGGAGCTCCACTGTTATACTTGTCAAGCACCTGTTCTGGATTCATATACTAAAGAAGTGGTTGGGATCAAGACATATTTTCTCTGTTTCCCTTACCCTGAATAAAATATTATCCTTAACACTTGCTTGTTTCTATCCCTTCAGACCCTGTATCTCCCTCCAGCATCAAGCTTTAACCCCCAGTCCTGCCCAAGAATAACCCCTCTCCCTTAACTATGGCTCCAAACACACCCATGTCTTATTAAGTCTAAAGTTGTTTTCCTAATTCCAGCTACCTCTTACCTTGTCCAGACCTAGAATCTGTCTACTCAGCCTTGTTACTCTTTACACCTCTGTTATCTGTAGAATTAGATTGTGGAGTAACTTTGATGATTTCTGCTGAACATTTATAGAAATCTGAAATGGATTTTGAAGTATTCCTAAGATACTTATGAAACATTTTTAAATCTATTTTGCTGATTCTAGATATGGATCAGCAGAAATACCACAAAATTGCATTAAAGTTGTCTTTGTGTGTGATAGTCCTGATCTTTAAATAATTTCCCAGATAATAGAAAGTGCTTTTCATTGCAAAAGAACAAACAATTTTTTTAAAAAAAATCTCAGCCCAGTTATCAACTCCTTAAATATATTTAACATGGCTATCTTAGACTTCTGTCCTGTGTTTAGCTACCCAGCACCCAACCCTCTTCCTATTTAGGGGGAGTTCCCCCTCCCTCATTATATAAGTCTTAATGGGAAACAGTGCCCTACATCCTACAATGGAAACTGAAGGAAGCTAAATAATTCTGCTTGCTCTTGGCAATAAGGTGTAGGTATGACTTGGTTTCAGCCCATCAGATGCTCCTATCCAGACTTAGAATCTCCTGGAAGCCACAATGGTTAAAGCCCTACAGTACCAGTGGGTACTACCCAACAACAGGATATTGGGTAGTGATGGAAATGGCAGCGTCTCAGCCAGATTGTTACAGCTGTGGCTCTGAAGGCCTCTTGATTCCTGCACATTTTTCAAGGCTGGGTGACCCTCTCCTCCCAAAGCCAGTCAGTAAATCTTCATTTTGCTTAACAGCCCTAGGGTAGCATTTCAGTGGCTTGCAACCAAGAGTCCTGTTTGATACCAACTTTACAGGACCTTTCCATGTACCCAACTCTGTAGCCCCTTCCTCACCTTATCTATTTCCCTTCTCTATGATGTCTTCACTCACTAGTTACCTTTGTATTACAGCTATCTCTATGGGTGACAGTCCTTGTTCTCAGAGAGGGACCTCTTGAGAGCATTTAGGAAAATTTTCTGGATTTCCCACTAGCTTCCCTGTAAAAGCCCAATGGTAGGCACCTTTAAGACAGTGTAGCTGGCTGTTACCACTGATGAGCACCTGGTGGCAAGTTTTCTCGTGTAAGAGAGCTGGTTGATTCCCAACTGAGGGTAGAGAGAATCTCTTAGATGCACCAACATCACTTCTCTTCTGTATCACTCCGGTCACTGTGATAACGCCAACAGCAAGTGGAGATTCATTTCTATACAGTGAAAAGGCTAGTCTTGATGGTTCTGAAATAATTCAGTTTAACCCGAGAAAACAAAAAGAAATTTAAGATTCACTTTAGAACATTTCTCAAAGAGATCAGCCAACTAAATTGAAGCAAAATAGATAAGAAAATGCTATGCTGTATTCCAGGAATATAGCTAACCAAGGAGGTGAAAGATCTCTACAAGGAGAATTATAAAACACTGCTGAAAGAAATCATAGATGACACAAATGAATGGAAAAACATCCCATGCTCATGGATTGGAAGAATCAATATCATTAAAGTGGCCATATTGCCCAAAGCAATTTATAGATTCAATGCTATTGCTATCAAACTATCAATGCCATTTTTCACAGAATTGGAAAAAACTATTCTAAAATTTATATGGAACCAAAAAAGAGCCCAAATAGCTAAAGCAATCCTAAGCAAAAAGAACAAAACCAGAGGCATCACATTACCTGACTCCAAACTAATGCTACAAGGCTACAGTAAACAAAACAGCATGGTACTGGTACAAAAACAGACATATAGACCAATGGAACAGAATAGAGAACCCAGAAATAGAGCTGCACATCTACAACCATCTGATCTTTCACAAAATTGACAAAAATAAGCAATGGGGGAAAGGATCCCTATTCAATAAATGGTGCTAGAATAACTGGCTATCCATATGCAAAAGAATGAAACTGGACCCATACCTATCACCATATACAAAAATTAACTCAAGATGGATCAAACAGTTAAATATAAGACTTCAAACTATAAAAATCCTAGAAGAAAACCTAGGAAATACCCTTCTCAATATCAGCCTAGGCAAAGAAGTTACGGCTAAGTCCCCAAAAGCAATTGAAAACAAAAAACAAAAATTGACAAACAAGACCTAATTAAACTGAAGAGCTTCTGCATAGAAAGAAAACCTATTAAGGGAGTAAACAGACAACCTTTAGAATTGGAGAAAATATCCACAAACTATGTATCTGACAAAGGTCTATTATCCAGAATCTATAAGGAACTCAAATCAACAAGAAAAAAGCAAATAACCTCATAAAAGATGAGGAAAGGATATGAACAGACAGTTCTGAAAAGAAGACATACAAGCAGCCAAGAAATACATGAAAAAAATCCTCATCTTCACTAATCATCAACAAATGCAAATCAAAACCACAGTGACATACCGTCTCACATCAGTCAGAATGGCTTTTGTTAAAAAGTCAAAAAATAAGAGATGTTGGTGAGGCTGCAGAAAAAATGAAATACTTATATACTGTTGGTGGGAATGCAAATCAGTTCAATCACTGTAGAGAGCAACTTGGAGATTTCTCAGAGAACTGAGAGTTAAACTAGAATTCAACCCAGCAATTCTACTACTGAGTATATGCCCAAAAGAAAATAAATTGTTCTACCAAAAAGATATGTGCATCCATATGTTCATAGCAGCACTATTTACAATTGTAAAGACATAGAATCAACCCAGGTGCCCATCAGTAGTGGGTTGGATTTAAAAAAAAAAAAGTGGTACAGATACACCATGGAATATTATACAGCCACAAAAGAGAATGAAATCACGTCCCTTGCAACAACACAGATACAACTGAAAACCATTATCCTAAGCGAACTAATGCAGAAACCAAAAACCAAATACCACATGTTCTCACTTGCAGGTGGGAGCTAAACATTGTGTAGACATGGTCATAAAAATGGGAACGATAAACACTGGGGAAGACAAGAGGGGGAAGGATGGGAGGGTGATAAGGTTGAAAAAACTACCTATTGGGTACTATGCTCACTACCTGGGTGACGGATTCATTTGTTCTTCAAACCTCAGCATCGTGCTATATACCTTTATAACAAACCTGCACATGTATCCCCTGATTCTAAAATGAAAGTTGAAAAAAGAAAAGTCTATGCTATATGAAGAAAACAAAACTAAAAGTGCTTTTTGGCCTGATATAAGTCTATAGTTTAGCTATTCTCAGAGTATTAAACAAAGTTCCAAATGTCATACCTTTGAATAAACATCTCTTTCTTTTAGGTGGCAAGATACTGGCATTAAGACTGCAAGACTACTTTGCTTTCTATAATACTTATATATTTCTCCAAAAACCCATACAAATAACTTAATGGCATTTTAAAACTCATATTTTAGATGCAGTGGGAGTGCTTATGCTTGAAATAATATCTTACTCAAATAAGCAACTGATTTTAATTTGTTTTCTATTTCTGGATTTTCATATGTTGAGCTTGCTTCCCTGAAACACCCTGTTTGCTTTTATTAAGCTTTCACAGTGACTTTTCTTCATTTGAACCTTTGTTTCTTTTGCTCCAAATTCTTGGTTTCCTTGTAACTTGAACTAGCTTATTTACCTACATACAAGTGTATACAAAGAGTACTAAAATCCTTATGGACCTTGTGACATCACCACTGTCCTCTTGCAATGTCAACCACTCTACCAAGTTTGGCAAATACTCCTTTATGGACTGTAGAAACCCTCTGCTTACAAATTCCTCCCTGGTACGCTCTCCTGGAATCTTCTCTTCCAAATGGCCCTGGTGAGTTTCTTGATTGGTAGATTTGACAACGCATTAATAAGGCAGTCTCATAATCCATTATAGTTCAAAACTCAATTTAGAATAAATCAAGAAACCTGTGGCTACTGGCCTAATTCTGTGATGACTAATTAATTAATAAGTTATGGATGCCTACTGTGTGCCTAGCAGTGCCTGCCCCTCTGCTAAGCACAGGGAAGAACAAGAAGGCATGGTGCTTGCCCTCATTTTTTTATGGTCCAGCAGGGGAAAAGCCAATTATACAAGCAATTTCTATAAAGAGTGCTAAATGCCGAGTGGGTGGACAAGCCAGCCTTTTCTCTGGAAGGCAATTCACTGCACAGCCCCTTGCCAGTACTAATGGTCCACAAGTATCTTCTCTTTGGGGAAGTGGGCTTTTAAACTGTAATCCTATGGCTCAGTTCACAAAATATTTATGCCTTGTTCATTAGCAGAAAGAAATAAATGGGCAGACGAGCATGCCAGGGTACAGCTAATGCTATTAGCATATACATATTTGTCACCCAGGGGAGGAGTACCAGTCAGGAACTGGCAGAGACAGCTGCTTAGGAAGCTCTGCTGTGATTTAAGCCACAATCTAAATGAAACTATTCGCAAGTTTCTGCCTCTGGGGACATAAGCTAAACAACCAGCATCAGTTTGTTTTCACAATTGTTATGGGTATCCACAACTGCCAGGTAGATGGGCTGAAACAGTCTTTGGACCTAAACCCACAATGATGAGTCCCAGCTCCACACTCATAGAAGCCTCTTCCTCACTTACCTAAATCCTGCTGTCCCTTCAAAGTCCAGTTCAAAGCCTAACACCAATCTCGGCCAATGCCCACTTCCAAGACACTCACTGCCATTTGAAAGGATTTAAGTAGGGAAGTGGAATCATCGGATTTGAGTTTTTAGAAGATCACTGTGTAACGTGGAGAACGGACTGAGAGGAAGTAAAACTTGAGGTAGAATGACTTGTTAAGAGAAAACTGGATGTCTAGGGGACAGATTAAAGTGGCCTTGAAGAGGTGGCAGCAGTGAGGTTGAAGAGAGGTAGACTGAACAGTATCGCAGAGATGGAATGGATATAAATTGGTAAATAATTGAACATGGGTGTAGAAATAAGGGTGAAAGAGGGGTCAAGAATAAGCATCAGTTTCTGTCGTGGACAACTGAATTGATAAAACACCATTTACAGAGCTAGAAGGAGGACCTGGTTTGTGGGAAGGGTAATGAATGCAGTCTTAGACGTGGTGAGTTTAAGTGCATGAAACTCATCCAAGGAGAGATGGTCAGTGGGCAGTTGGACACACAGATCTAGAGTTCAGAAGACAGATTTGGGCTGGAAACAGATTTGAGAGTCATCAGTGTATGGAAAAGTCACTGAAGCTATGGGAGGGGTTATATGTTGAATTGCGTCCCACTCTCCCTCCCCTCCGTCAAATTCACATATTGAAGTTCTAACCCTCAGTACCTGAGCATGTGACCTTATTTAGAGATAACACCTTTACAGAGGTGATCAAATTAAAATGAGGTCATTAAGGTAGCCCTTAATTCCATATGACCAGTGTCCTTCTAAAAAGGGAAAACTTGGGCACACACACTCATGGGGAGAACACCATGTAAAGATGAAGCCAGAGAAAGAATGGATGCTTTTATCAGCCAAGGAATGCCAAAGATTGCCAAAAAATCACTAGAAGCTATGGGGGAGGTGGTGGAACAGACTGCCTCCCACAGGCCTCAGAAGAAAGCAACCCTGTGGATACCTTGACCTTGGACTTCCAGCCTTCAGAACTGTGAGACAATACATTTCTGTTGTTTCAGCCACCATGTTTGTGGAACTTTGTTACAGCAGCCCTAGCAAACTCATACAGGAGGGGATGAGATCACCCAGAAGGAAAATGTTGACTGAGAACTGCAGATAACAAGGGCTGAGACTCAAGAAACCCAGTAATTAAAAGGATATGAACCTGTTAAAAAAAGAAAAGCAGCCCAAAAGATGGCCGGGGGGGGGCGGCGGGGGGAGAGAAACAGGAAATTATAACAATACAGAAATCAAAGGAACAGAATGGGAGAAGGTGGCCATGGTACAAATGTGACTTAGTGACAAGACAGTCATTGTTGACTTTGGAAAGAGCACTGTTGGTGGAGTAGCAGGGGCAAAAGCCAGACTGGCCTTTATTGAGAAACAAGTGGGAGATGAGAAAGCGCATGCAGGAAGTATAGACAGGACACAAATGCAAAGATCAGGGAAACACTTTTCTATGCAGAGATTTTGAAAACACAGAAATTGTGTTAATTTAAGGAGTCGATAAACCATCCCAAATCTGTTATGCGGGAGGTAGGGACAGACATGTATGCAGATGGATGCATGGATGGATCGATGGATGGATGGATGGGAGAAAAGATGGCATATGGCAGATTCAGATAATTCAGCGTAGTTTTATTAGAAAAAAATGATCTTTTATTCACAGTGCAAAAGATTTATAAAAATCAGGCATGTTTTTGTAATTTAATAGAAGAAAATGTGAAGCTCTCATTAAGCTCCTGGAAATCTTGCTACCCTGAGTTCAGGGAAACTGGTTTGGCATGTTTATCACCTCTCTGCTTCCATGATTGTTGCAAATGTTTAATCACAATCCTCACCATAAGGATCATTTCTTAGCCAGAGATAAGGAAAAAATGATATTAAAGTATTTGTTCTGTTCCTTTGGTAAGCAAAAGAGTGTAAGTCACCTCCCAGGAGTACCATATTCACCCATGTGAGGCGAATTATGGGAGCTATGCAAGTATTAGAATGCTTAATGTGCTGTTGCTGACAGTTGAGCATAGAATATTTAAAATGTTTCTTGTAGAGGCAGCTCTTGCAGTTTGTTATGCATGCTCTCCTCTCGAAATCCTAAATTTATCTGATGGAGTGAAAGATAATCCTTCTGATGTTCACACTGTCCGGAAGATGGCTTAAATTTACTACACAGGCTTTGGAATAAGGTAAAAATGCTGCTGGCATTACCTTCTAAACATTCCTTGAATCCATCTCCTTTTGCCATCCTTGCCCCTCCGCTTCCCCACATTAGGCCCTTGCTGGCTATTTCGTGGATGACTGGCTGCCATGTGTTCCTAGCCTCCAGGAAACTGGCTGCCACATGCTCCCAGCCTCCAGGACTATAGAAAGGAGCTGCTATGTGAGGATAGAAGTTATCCAGTATCAGAGAAAAACTCTAGGGAAACTTTGACCCACACATCTATAGTCCAGAGGATAATTTTCCTTGTCACTATTTGTTTTGGCTAGAGGAGTTTTGGCAACTCTTATTCATTCATTCATAAGGATTTATTGAGGAGTCTCTATGTTCCAGACATTGAACTAGACCTTATGGACTACAAAGAGGGTGAAGACTAAGTTTCTGCCTCAGTTCACGCTATATTAGGGAAAAGAGACTGAAAAACAGGTAAATTATAACCCAATATGAAATGTGCTAATATAATGACAAATCCTGGGATTAATAAAAGTGAGAATCTGTAGGACCCTGAGCCTGGAGGGTGTGAGAAACTGGAAGAGCCCAGAAGTAAGAACAACACTTATAGGGCAACCACTTCTTGGGAAACTGGTCAAGACCAGCAGGAAAACAGCCTGCTGACTGCGCGGGGTCTGTGAAGGCAACTGTACCATCTGGACTCAATAATGGTGAAGCTGAGCCTTAATGAGGTTCAATTTGGGCTGTAAGACAAACTTCGGTTTTTCAACTTTAAAAACTCTATAACCACAGAATCTAACCCTTCGGTTTCTCTCAGCTCAGGATTCACTTTGTCTCACAATTTTATTTTTCCTTATTAATATACCAATGAAATGTTGTAGGAGCATGGAAGACCATGCTTTATGTGCTTGTGTCTCCAACATCAATGCCTGGCACAGAAAACCTGGGGTGGAAGATCCTCCTGTAGAGAAGAAAGGGAGTGAGTCTGGTGATGATCTCACTCATGCATCTGACAAATATTTACTGAATGTATTTACTGAGTATCTCCTATGTGCCAGGAACTGTGATAGGTACCATGCAGACCCGAATTGATAAAACAGACATGGTTTCAGTCCTTGGAAGCTTAAAGTAAGTGAACAAACACATAAACATATGGATAGAGCATGTGTAAGCAAATACATCAGCCAATAATGACAACTTCTAAGTTCTGTGAAGAACGCAAGAGTGGGTAGTGATTGGGAATAGCAGAGTGGTGTCTAGTTACATAAGGTTGTGCAGGGATGCTTCTCTGAGGAGATTATGGGCAAACTGGGACTTAAAGGCTGAGGCATAAACAGAGGAAAGGGAGATTCAGGAAGCAGGAACTGCACATGCAAAGACCCTGTGGTGGGGAGAGTTTGGTGTGTTATAGGAACTAAATGCAGGTTGGTGTAGTGTAGATAGAGTGCAGTAGATAAAGGAGAGAAGGAAATAAAGTTTAAAAGGAGACAGAAGCCAGATCTGTTTTGAGGGGGGATATCAAGGTACAAATCCCTGCTAGGCAGCTAGATAAATCTAACAAGGGTATGGGTGAAGAAGACAGGATTGGTCATATGAAGTTGGGTGTATTCCCATGTAAGAGACAATGGAAGGCAGGGTAAGAAATAAACTCTCTAAAGCTGTGAGTATAGAGAAGATGCCCAGCAGGTCCAGGATGAACACCCCGGGGAACAGTCCTGGGAAATGCTGTTATCAAGGGATGGAAGAAGTTGAGGCCAGCAAACGATATGGTACAGTTGTCAAAGGCAAAAGCAGAGTCATAGAGCTGAGAGAATCTAAGAGAAGAGTTAAAAAAAAAAAAACAAAAAAAAGAGTTACCATTTAATCACTTCTACGACTGCCAACAAGACAAGGAGATTGAAAGTGAAAGAAATGCCCATTGGCTATGGCAATAAGGACCTCCCAGGTGATTAATGAAAGTAGTTTCAGTAGAGAAGAGGTGAAGGAGGTGGAAGGAAGAGGAATGGAGGCAGGGGTTTGAGAAACTGAAAGGTAGATAACATCAAAGTCGAGTGAAGTTAGTCAAGATACATGGGAGAGTTCCAGCTAGATGAAGTAACCTGGCCTCCCTCCCACTGTAAACAAAATAAAACTGGACAAAGCATATGAGGCAACTGAGCTCAGATGTTGGTCACTGTGCAGTGCAACAGTGCAGTCCCTAAGATCTTACAAGGTCAGCCTCATAATCTCCAGCTTTTCCTTGAGACAATATCTCAAGTGACACAGTGACAATGTCCTCACTGTGGTGCAGAAAGCTGGAGTCTGAGTTACTACCACTGAGTAGAGGAGGCAGAGACCAAAGTTTGAGGCCAGATGCAGTGGTTCACACCTATAACCCCAGCAACTTTGGAGACTGAGGCAGGAAGATCACTTGAGCCCAGAAGTTGGAGGCTGCAGTAAGCTATGATTGTGCCACTGCCCTCCAGCCTGGACAACAGAGTGAGATCCCGTCTCTAAAAAAAAAAGTTTGGGGAAGGAGCTGGCATTAGTGGGGCAGTCAGAGAGGAGGGAGCTGTAACTTCCCAGGCTATTACAAGCAAGTCTCAAGTCTCATGCCTGCCTTTTTCTCTAGCCTGGTTGATGACCGCTTCTCCCCACCCAGCAGTTGGGCCAACATTCTATGAATTCATATTCAAGCTTCAAGTCTCAGTTCAAGTGTCACTTACCTATAGCGGCATTCCTTGACCATTTTCCCTCTTCTGTGCACACTGCACTTAACCTAACCACACCATATTCTACTGTAATTTCTGGTTTATTTATTTTTCTTCCTGGCTGTCAGCTTCTTAATAGTCAGGGCTCTGTCTTAGCTATTTCTGTATCTCCAGTATTGGCACTTAGTGGCTTTTCATAAGCATTTGTTGAGCTCACTGACCCTTGGGGAGAAATTAAAGATAACATCTAATTATGCTCTACTGTGTTCAGTAACTTTAATGTGCATATGTCTTATCATCTCCAACTACGCATGCTCAAGAAATATTTAAGTGACTAAATGAATAAATGAACAAGAGTAGCAATACCATAATTAAGGACAAGGACCAATTTTGAATCTCTTATGCCTCCATGAAAGAATGTTGGGCACACACTAAATATTCAACAAATACTTGAGAAATTGGGTAATTAGCAGGAAAGTCAATAAACTCCAGATGCATCAAGAGCTGCCTCACATTTGCATCTTTGAGACGTGAGCATGGGATAGAGACGTACTGATGGTAACTTTTAGATCTTTCATGAGCACTGCATGCCATTAACTCTAAGGAGCTATCATATTTAAGATCTGGGCAGCAGGAGCTGGGTTGTTTTGGAGTCCCTGCTTCTCTGTCTTATGGGAGAGTTGAGAACAACTGCTTACTATCTTGGGAAGCTGTCTGAGTTTCCTCCTTCTGGATGGAGACCATTAATAAACATGCTGAGTTGGTCTGATTAGCAGGTGCATGGAACAGATTTAGCTCTCAAGGCTTTTAAGCAAATCTTACTAGAGCATTTATATAATTTATTGTGTGTCTGACTCCATCAGGGGTTTAGATCAAAGTGAAATATCTGAAATTTGTTATTGATAAAGGAGAAGTCTTACTGATGGCAAAAGGAGAGCCTGTCATACACTCCCCTGAGGAGATGGCGGTCTGTGCTCCTATGTCCCCTGTCCTCCCCCAACAATGGGTCACTCAGTCAAAAACGTCAGTCACCCTATCCTCCTGGAGTCCCAGTTGTTCCAACGATAGGCTTTTCAGTTTCTTAGTAACTTGGGATAGCATTCTCTAAGAGGTATTTCTAAGGCAGCAATAGTCCGAGCAAACATTTTTCTACCTGAGATTCAGCACAAATTTCTATTTTTCCCAGAAGCTTCTGATACATAGCTTCCAAAGACTTTTGAAAATACAGCTTGACTT
The DNA here is from genome assembly GCF_000001405.40 of Homo sapiens. Lineage (NCBI taxonomy): Eukaryota > Metazoa > Chordata > Mammalia > Primates > Hominidae > Homo > Homo sapiens. Next base: position 57,613,684 of record NC_000014.9, read on the forward strand.
CCTGCATAGTCTCATTAGAGCATAATTATTGCACCACAGCACAGCTGAAAGAGCCCAGACTTGGGAGTCAGGTGACCTGGAAGAGAAAGACAGCTCTGTCTCCCACTAGGATTGTGCTCTTGAGCAAGTTATCTTTCCTCTCCAAGCCTCAGTTTCTTTATTGGCAAGGAGGAAAGTAACATCTACCTAGTAAAGTTGTTGTAAGGAGTAGATGATGTAATGTATGTTTGTGTTATTATGTATTTTATTTGCAGAACATTATAACCCCTGGACTGGTGCCTTTTCACCTAGAAGGCTCTCAAAAAATATTTACTGACTGAATTTTACTTAAACTCAGGGCATATACCATAGGCAGTTTCTGACTTATAAACTGGAGTTTTTCCAGATCTAAATGCATTTCCCCACATAAACAAGTTATAAACTGTGGTTTGGCTGCAGATTGGTGCTAACATCCCATTATTGCTAAAATACTGTACATTTGCAGTGGGGAAACACATAAAATAAAATCAGTCATTAAGTAAAACAAGAAAATATTGAATAAAAATGGTTTCATATTTATTTTGAGAGTTAGTGATTGAGGAAAAGCAGATTTCATTTAAGGAGGAAGAAAAAGTTGTTGGTAATTACTGGAGGGGATCTTCAGGGAAATTTCTGTGTATTTCCAAAAACTCTCAGTGTTGGTGCCCTGGATATTTATTCTGTTTAATTTCCCTTAAATCCTAGAACAGACTTCTTCAGTACAGGTAACCCATTAGCATCAATCTTTCGTTATCAACAATGACAAATATTTCTTTAAGCTGATACATGGTGAGGTTTCATGAGTAAAGTTGTTATTTCCCAAAGAATAAGAAACAGACAAAAAGGATGAACAAATGACAGAATTTTTAATAACTAAGAACAAGTTGAAAAAGAATTGGAAGTAAAAAGACTTAAAAGGAGGTGTGTGTGCATGTGACCATTCTCCCTCAGGCAACTGTTTTTAATGAAGGGCCCAGCTGTCACAGTAGAGGGAAATGGCAGATGAGCTCTAGATCTCTCTCTGATGGGGCAACAGGGAGTGGTGGGTATGGGATTTCAAACTAGACAGCTCCCCATAATGACTTCTGGGTGGTAGATCAGCCATGAAGATAGCTTGGTTCCTGCTCTAAACAAGTGCATATGAGGGGTTTGTAAGACAACATGTAGGGAGAAAGCTGTGTGACCTTGGGATGTCACTTAAACTTTTTAGATTTAAGTGTTCTCGTCCATAAAATAAGAGGGTGGGACCAGAAATTCTATGAAAATTTCACTGAAGCTTTTGAGATTTGAGTGTTCTCATCCATCAAATAAGAAAGTAGGACAAGAAATTCTATGAAAATTTCAGTCTAAACTTTTAAAATTTTATGAGGACCTTGTGACTTAATACCAGGTAGGGCTGTCTTTCCAGCTAAGTACAAGTTAAAATCCTAAACTTTGTGAAACCAATATGATTCTTCACTCTCACCTCCTTTAAAATGTGTCTTTCCTAAGCATCGCCATGACAATTGAGAACATTTCACTAAGAAAGGGTTTCTCAGAATTATTCCTAGGCACAGGGCAAGACATTTCCAGGAAATATCAATGCATTTGGAACCTTCCCTGGAGCAAAAGATCTAAGTGAGAATCCCTGAAAGAACAAGAAACAAACATTTTCCTTTTTTTTTTTTTAACTGCTCACTTCATTTCTTCATTGTTAACTGCTGCTTTAAGGAGTGTATTTTCCAAGAGAAATTTCAATAGGTTATGTGATCAATTAAACTTATGTACTGGCTTTTGCCAAAGGACATAGTTTTAAAAATCCATGGCACACAATGTAAAATTGATCATCTTTACAAAACAATATTGAGGTTTTTAGAACTTCAGTTCTGCATATAGATGGGATAGAGGGTTAGATTTGGAGCTTTTCTGACATTTTCTTTGAAAAAAAATACTGCTCATAATCTTCATTGTCAACTACTGCTTTAAGGAGTGTATTTTTAAGAGAAATTTCAGTAGGTTATGTGATAAATTAAACTTATGTACTGGCTTTTACCAAAGGATATAGTTTTTAAAATCCATGGCACCCAATGTGAAATTGATCCTCTTTACAAAACAATATTATGAGGCTTTTAGAACCTCAGCTGTGCATATAGATGGGATAGAGGGTTAGATCTGGAGCTTTGCCTGAAAAGAACCTTATACCAAATATTAGGATTCCTAGGGCTCAGTAGCTGGTTTAACTACTACTAACTGAGCACCTGACCCTAGATATTTCTTTTGTCATGTGTCTCTTGATTTTCTACATTTAAAATTGGAAAATAACTACCATTTCTTTATATCAAGCTCTTACTGCTATTCTCTTATGTTTTTATAGTGACAAACTGTACATAACTTAAAATTTATCATTTTAACTCTTTTAAGTGTAAAGTCCAGTTGAATTAAGTACATTCATATGGTTGTTCAACCATTACCAACATCCATCTCCAGAACTTTTTCAGCTTCTCAAACTTGAAACTTCATACCTATTCTCTTATTTTAATAGTATTTTTCTTGATCCACTTAGAGAATATCAACCAACAGAATTCTCATAACATATACCATCTTAGCGTGGTAGTAAGGGTATAATTTTCCAGAATTATGAAGGGGAAATTGACCCTTGAGCATTGGCTAGTTTGATGTCAAATGTGCTACAAGGTTTATATATTAAACTGTGATGATTAACTGCCCCCTTGGGTTACAATCAAAGTTGTGAATGTTTGAACTTTGTGATGTACATGCTCCCCTAGTAAAAAGCACAAGAGGATTCTTGCCCCCTCAGTGAAAAACACTGAGAATTCCCCAAAGAGACTGACAAAGTTAAATATCTCCTGAAGACCAGCCTTCTAGGGAAGTGTATGAATTGGGTGGGCTGGTTGGGTCTTCCCAGCGCATTTGAGATTTTCTCCAGGCTCCACTTCTTTACTGTCTACTGTCTCCATCACTGCCTGTTTACTTTGAATTCCACTCTTTTTCTGTCTATTCCCTTTACTTGTTGCTTTGGAGCATCCTTGCTTCCCTGCCTCTCCTTGTCCATATAGTTTGAGGGGTCCCTTACCTCTCAACCACAGCCCCACCTTCATCTTAAATAAGGACTAAGTTCCCCTTTGTTCATCCCTTGACACTGTGGGTCAGCCTCCTCCACTCTTCTCCTGGCTATAGCTGACTAAACCTTAGCCCCTCTTCTTCCTCGCCCCATCCCCTTTCTCAAGTCCCCCTTCCTCTCAATCAGAGCCACAGACACTGCATTATACATTATGAAAATGTGGTTTTCTGTTTTGCAAAAACAGCGTGAATGTTAAGTCAGATAACTTGAGCCTTAGCTTTCGGATGATGATTTATAGATTAGACTCTTTCCCATTCATAGGGAAACCCCATATTGGAAATTCGAGCTCAGCTTAACTGTACTTATTCTTTTTTTTTTTTTTTTTTGAGACAGAGTCTCGCTCTGTCGCCCAGGCTGGAGTGCAGCGGTGTGATCTCGGCTCACTGCAACCTCCACCTCCCGGGTTCATGCCATTCTCCTGCCTCAGCCTCCCGAGTAGCTGGGACTACAGGCGCCTGCTACCACATTCGGCTAACTTTTTATATTTTTAGTGGAGACGGGGTTTCACCATGTTAGCCAGGATGGTCTCGATCTCCTGACCTCGTGATCCACCTGCCTCAGCCTCCCAAAGTGCTGGGATTACAAGCATGAGCCACCGCGCCTGGCCTAACTGTAGTTATTCTTAAAAAGAAAAAAAAATGACAGAGCTTCCTAATCAGAGATACCTTTATATACATTATATGCATTTGTTTATTCACTTACCCAATAAACATTTACTCAATACCTTGCATGTGCTAGGCACTATCTTAGGTGCTCATAAAATAGCTGTGAATAATGATGACCCTCACCTCACAGGGTTTAAAGACTTTAGGGAAATACAGACCAGAAAGCTGGCAATTGCAATAGTATGGATAAGCAGTGTGCTAGGAGGGGTAGAGTGGGTCTGTATGAGTCATGGCAGAGGCATTTAACCAGGCTGGGGGCTCAAGCAAGCTTTCCTAGGGAAGTGATATCTAAGCAGGAACCCAGAGGAGGAGTTAGCCAAGCAATTAATAGGGAACCTGGGACTTACTGAATGCCATTTACAGGTCGTGATAGTTTAGTTTTTAGTTTTGTTTTTCAAAAATTCATTGCTTCTGTCATTCAAAGAAAATAAACTCTGACCTGATATGTAGGCAACAGAAGGGACTTTAAAGATGCCATCTAAATCTAGTAGAGTCAGTTTGTTCTTGGGTTAAGTAATGATGGTGTCTTATGATGAGAGTTGTTTTCTTTTTACATTTCAGTAATAAAATCATATCAAGTGGGATCCAAGAGAACGTCTTAAAACTAGCCCTAAGTGTTTCTATCTGACATTTAGGATGTATTATTAGTATATGAGTAAAACCAATTGATCACATGACAAGATTTTAAAATAAAATGTGAAAAGACCTATTATGTATATTTGGCATAAAGAATCCAGTCATCGTGGCAGCTTACTGGCAAGATGGCCAAATAGGAATAGCACTGGTATGCAGCTCCCAGCAAGACTGACGCAGAAGGTGGGTGATTTCAGCATTTCCAACTGAGGTACCTGGTTCATCTCCCTGGGACTGGTTAGACAGTGGGTGCAGCCCACAGAGGGTAAGCAGAAGCAGGGTGGGGTGTTGCCTCACCCAAGAAGCAGAAGGGGTCGGGGGAGTTCCCTCCCCTACCCAAGGGAAGCCGGGAGGAACTGTACTGTGAGGAACGGTGCACTCTGGCCCAGATACTGCGCTTTTCCCATGGTCTTCACAACCCACAGACAAGGAGATTCCCTCCAGTGCCTACACCACCAGGGCCCTGGATTTCAAGTACAAAACTGGGTGGTCACTTGGGCAGACACCAAGTTAGCTGCAGGAGTTTTTTATTCATACCCCAGGGGCACCTGCAATGCCAGCGAGCCAGAACCACTCACTCCCCTGGAAAGGGGGCTTGAAGCCAGGGAGCAAAGTGGTCTGCCTTGGCAGGTCCCACCCGCACAGAACCCAGCAAGCTAAGATCCACTGGCTTGAAATTCTTGCTGCCAGCACAGCAGTCTGAGGTGGACCTGGGATGCTAGAGCTTGGTGGGGTGAGGGGCGTCCACCATTGCTGAGGCTTGAGTAGGTGGTTTTACACTCACAGTGTAAACAAAGATGCTGGGAAGTTCGAACTGGGTGGAGCCCACCGCAGCTCAGCAAGGCTGCTGGGGCCACACTGCCTCTCTAGATTCCTCCTCTCTGGGCAGGGCATCACCGAAAAAAAGGCGGCAGCTCCAGTCAGGGACTTATAGATAAAACCCCCATCTCCCTGGGACAGAGAACCTAGGGAAAGGGGCAACTGTGGGTTCAGCTTCAGCAGACTTAAACGTCCCTACCTAATGGCTCTTAAGAGAGCAGCGGATCTCCCAGCACAGCATTTGAGCTCTGCTAAGGGTCAGACTCCCTCCTCAAGTGAGTCCCTGACCCCATTTATCCTGACTGGAAGACACCTCCAAGTGGGGGCTGACAGACACCTCATACAGGAGTGCTCTGGCTGGCATCTGGCGGGTGCCCCTCTGGGACAAAGTTTCTAGAGAAAGGAACAGGCAGCAATCTTTTCTGTTCTGCAGCCTCCGCTGGTGATACCCAGGCAAAAAAGGTCTGGAGTGGACCTCCAACAAACTCCAGTAGACCTGCAGCAGAGGGGCCTGGCTGTTAGAAGGAAAACTAACAAAAAGAAAGGAATAGCATCAACATCAACAAAAAGGACGTCCACCAGGAGACCCCATGCCAAGGTCACTAACATCAGAGACCAAAGGTAGATAAATCCATGAAGATGGGGAGAAACCAGCACAAAAAGGCTAAAAATTCCAAAAACCAGAATGCCTCTTCTCCAAAGGATCACAACTCCTCACCAGCAAGGGAACAAAACTGAACGTAGAATGAGTTTGACAAATGGACAGAAGTAGGCTTCAGAAGGTGGGTAATAACAAAACTCCTCTGAGCTAAAGGAGCATGTTCTAATGAAATGCAAGGAAGCTAAGAACCCTGAAAAAAGGTTAGGCAAATTGCTAAGTAGAATAACCAGTTCAGAGAAGAACACATATAACCTGATGAAGCTGAAAAACACAGCACGAGAATTTCGTGAAGCATATAAAGTATCAACAGCCGAATCAATCAAGCAGAAGAACAGATATCAGAGACTGAAGATCAACTCAATGAAATAAAGCAAGAAGACAAGATTAGTGAAAAAAGAATGAAAAGAAATGAAAAAAGCCTCCAAGAAATATGGGACTATGTGAAAAGACCAAATGTGTGTTTGATTGGTGTACCTGAAAGTTACGGGGAGAATGGAACCTAGTTGGAAAACACTCTTCAGGATATTTTCCAGGAGAACTTCCCCAACCTAGCAAGACAGGCCAACATTCCAATTCAGGAAATACAGAGAACACCATAAAGATACTCCTTGAGAAGAGCAACCCCAAGACATAATTGTCAGATTCACCAAGGTTGAAATGAAGGAAAAAATGTTAAGGGCAGCCAGAGAGAAAGGTCGGGTTACACACAAAGGGAAGCCCATCAGACTAACAGTGAATCTCTCGGCAGAAACACTACAAGCCAGAAGAGGGTGGGGGCCAATATTCAATATTCTTAAAGAGAAGAATTTTCAACCCAGAATTTCATATCCAGCCAAACTAAGCTTCATAAGCAAAAGAGAAATAAAATCCTTTACAGACAAGCAAATGCTGAGAGATTCTGTCACCACCAGGCCTGCCTTACAAGAGCTCCTGAAGGAAGCACTAAACATGGAAAGGAACAACCGGTACCAGCCACTGGAAAAAAACACCAAATTGTGCCAGTTTTCAAAGGGAATGCTTCCAGTTTTTGCCCATTCAGTATGGTATTGGCTGTGGGTTTGTCATAGATAGCTCTTATTATTTTGAGATACGTCCCATCAATACCTAATTTATTGAGAGTTTTTAGCATGAAGGGTTGTTGAATTTTGTCAAAGGCAAGACAGGGATGCCCTCTCTCACCACTCCTATTCAACATAGTGTTGGAAGTTCTGGCAGGGCAATTAGGCAGGAGAAGGAAATAAAGGGTATTCAATTAGGAAAAGAGGAAGTCAAATTGTCCCTGTTTGCAGATGTACATGATTGTACATCTAGAAAACCCCATCATCTCAGCCCAAAATCTCCTTAAGCTGATAAGCAACTTCAGCAAAGTCTCAGGATACAAAATCAAGGTACAAAAATCACAAGCATTCTTATACACCAATAACAGACAAACAGAGAGCCAAATCATGAGTGAACTCCCATTCACAATTGCTTCAAAGAGAATAAAATACCTAGGAATCCACCTTACAAGGGATGTGAAGGACCTCTTCAAGAAGAACTACAAACCACTGCTCAATGAAACAAAAGAGGATACAAACAAATGGAAGAACATTCCATGCTCATGGGTAGGAAGAATCAATATCGTGAAAATGGCCATACTGCCCAAGGTAATTTACAGATTCAATGCCATCCCCATCAAGCTACCAATGACTTTCTTCACAGAATTGGAAAAAACTACTTTAAAGTTCATATGGAACCAAAAAAGAGCCTGCATCGCCAAGTCAATCCCAAGCCAAAAGAACAAAGCTGGAGGCAACACTCTACCTGACTTCAAACTACACTACAAGGCTACAGTAACCAAAACAGCATGGTACTGGTACCAAAACAGAGATATAGATCAATGGAACAGAACAGAGCCCTCAGAAATAACACTACATATCTACAACTATCTGATCTTTGACAAACCTGAGAAAAACAAGCAATGGGAAAGGATTCCGTATTTAATAAATGGTGCTGGGAAAACTGGCTAGCCATATGTAAAAAGCTGAAACTGGATCCCTTCCTTATACCTTATACAAAAATTAATTCAAGATGGATTAAAGACTTAAACGTTAGACCTAAAACCATAAAAACCGTAGAAGGAAACCTAGGCATTACCATTCAGGACACAGGCATGGGCAAGGACTTCATGTCTAAAACACCAAAAGCAATGGCAACAAAAGACAAAATTGACAAATGGGATCTAATTAAACTAAAGAGTTCCTGCACAGCAAAAGAAACTACCATCAGAGTGAACAGGCAACCCACAAAATGGGAGAAAATTTTTGCAACCTACTCATCTGACAAAGGGCTAATAACTAGAATCTACAATGAACTCAAACAAATTTACAAGAAAAAAACAAACAACCCCATCAAAAAGTGGGCGAACGACATGAACAGACACTTCTCAAAAGAAGACATTTATGCAGCCAAAAAACACATGAAAAAATGCTCGCCATCACTGGCCATCAGAGAAATGCAAATCAAAACCACAATGAGATACCATCTCACACAAGTTAGAATGGCAATCATTAAAAAGTCAGGAAACAACAGGTGCTGGAGAGGATGTGGACAAATAGGAACACTTTTACACTGTTGATGGCACTGTAAACTAGTTCAACCACTGTGGAAGTCAGTGTGGCGATTCCTCAGGGATCTAGAACTAGAAATACCATTTGACCCAGCCATCCCATTACTGGGTATATACCCAAAGGACTATAAATCATGCTGCTATAAAGACACATGCACACGTATGTTTATTGCGGCACTATTCACAATAGCAAAGACTTGGAAACCAACCCAAATGTCCAACAATGATAGACTGGATTAAGAAAATGTGGCACATATACACCATGGAATACTATGCAGCCATAAAAAATTATGAGTTCATGTCCTTTGTAGGGACATGGATGAAATTGGAAATCATCATTCTCAGTAAACTATCGCAAGAACAAAAAACCAAAAACTGCATATTCTCACTCATAGGTGGGAATTGAACAATGAGAACACATGGACACAGGAAGGGGAACATCACACTCTGGGGACTGTTGTGGGGTTGGGGGAGTGGGGAGGGATAGCATTGGGAGATATACCTAATGCTAGATGACGAGTTAGTGGGTGCAGCGCACCAGCATGGCACATGTATACATATGTAACTAATCTGCACATTGTGCACATGTATCCTAAAACTTAAAGTATAATAAAAAAATAAAAAATAAAAATAAAAAAATTAAAAAAACCCCACCAAATTGTAAAGACTATTGACACTATGAAGAAACTGCATCAACTAACAGGCAAAATAACTAGCTAGCATCATATGACAGGATCGACTTCACACATAACAATATTAACCTTAAATGTGAATGGACTGAGTGCCCCAGTTAAAAGACACAGACTGGCAAATTGGATAAAGAGTCAAGACCCATCAGTGTGCTGTATTCAGAAGACCCATCTCACTTGCAAATCACACATAGGCTCTAAAATAAGAGATGGAAGAATATTTAACAAGCAAATGGAAAGCAAAAAAGCAGAGGTTGCAATCCTATTCTCTGAAAAAACCCAGATATTAAACCAACAAAGATCAAAAAAGACAAAGAAGGGCATTACATAATGGTAAAGGGATCAATGCAACAAGAGGAGCTAAATATCCTAAATATATATGTGCCCAATACAGAAGCACCCAGATTTGTAAAGCAAGTTCTTAGAGACCTAAAAAGAGACTTAGACTCCCACACAATAATAGTGGAAGACTTTAACACCCCACTGTCAACATTAGACAGATCAACGAGACAAAATTAACAAGGATATCCACGACTTGAACTCAGCTCTGGACCAAGCGGACCTAATTGACATCTAGAGAACTCTCCACCCCAAATTAACAGAATATACATTCTTCTCAGCACCACATTGCACTTATTCTAAAATTGACCACATAATTGGAAAACACTCGTCAGCAAATGCAAAAGAATGGAAATCATAACAGTCTCTCAGACCACAGTGCAATCAAATTAGAACTCAGGATTAAGAAGCTCACTCAAAACCACACAACTACATGGAAACTGAACAACCTGCCATGAATGACTACTGGGTAAATAACAAAATTAAGGCAGAAACAAAGATGTTCTTTGAAACCAGTGAGAACAAGTTACAATGTACCAGAATCTCTGGGACACACATAAAGCTGTGTGTAGTGGGAAATTTATAGCACTAAATGCCCACGAGAGAAAGCAGGAAAGATCTAAATCGGACAGCCTAACATCACAATTAAAAGAACTAGAGAAGCAGGAGTAAACAAATGCAAAAGCTAGCAGAAGACAAGAAATAACTAAGATTAGAGCAGAACTGAAGGAGATAGAGACACAAAAATCCCTTCAAAAAATCAATGAATCCAGGAGCTGGTTTTTTGAAATGATCAACAAAATTGATGGACACTGTCCAGACTAATAAAGAAGAAAAGAGAGGACAATCAAATAGACACAATAAAAAATGATAAAGGGGATATCACCACTGATTCCACAGAAATACAAACTAACATCAGAGAATATGATAAACACCTCTACACAAATAAACTAGAAAATCTAGAAGAAGTGGATAAATTCCTGGACACATACACCCTCTCAAGACTAAACCAGGAAGAAGTTGAATCCCTGAGTAGACCAATAACAAGTTCTGAAATTGAAGCAGTAATTAATAGCTTACCAACCAAAAAAAGTCCAGGACCAGGCGGATTCACAGCTGAATTCTACCAGAGGTACAAAGAGGAGCTGGTACCATTCCTTCTGAAACTATTCCAAACAATAGAAAAAGAGGGAAGGAATCCTCCCTAACTCATTTTATGAGGCCAGTGTCATCCTGATACAACAACCTGGGGGAGACACATCAAAAAAGGAAAACTTCAGGCCAATATTCCTGATGAACATTGATGTGAAAATCCTCAGTAAAATACTGGAAAACCAAATCCAGCAGCACATCAAAAAGTTTATCCACCATGTTCAAGTCGGCTTCATCCCTGGGATGCAAGATTGGTTCAACATATGCAAATCAATAAACATAATCCAGCACATAAACAGAACCAATGACAAATATGACATGATTATCTCAATAGATGCAGAAAAGGCCTTCAACAAAATTCAACACCCTTTCATGCTAAAAACTCTCAATAAACTAGGTATTGATGGACCATATCTCAAAATAATAAGACCTATTTATGACAAACCCACAGCCAATATCATACTGAATGGGTAAAAGCTGGAAGCATTCCCTTTGAAAACCGGCACAAGACAAGGATGCCCTCTCTCACCACTCCTATTCAACATACTATTGGAAGTTCTGGCCAGGGCAATCAGGCAAGAGAAAGAAATAAATGGTATTCCAATAGAAAAAGAGGAAGTCAAATTGTCTCTGTTTGCAGATGACGCAATTGTATATTTAGAAAACCCCATCATCTCAGCCCAAAATCTCCTTAAGCTGATAAGCAACTTCAGCAAAGTCTCAGGATACAAAATCAATGTGCAAAAATCACAAGCATTCCTATACACCAAGAACAGACAGAGAGCCAAATCATGAGTGAACTCCCATTCACAATTGCTACAAAGAGAATAAAATACATAGGAATATCACTTACAAGGGATGTGAAGGACCTCTTCAAGGAAAACTACAAAACACTGCTCAAGGAAATAAGAGAGGACACAAACAGATGGAAAAACATTCCATGCACATGGATAGGAAGAATCAATATCATAAAAATGGCCATACTGCCCCAAGTAATTTATAAATTCAATGCTATCCCTATCAAGCTACCATTGACTTTCTTGAAAGAATTGGAAAAAACTACTTTATATTTCGTATGGAATCAAAAAAGAGCCCACATAGCCAAGACAATCCTAAGTAAAAAGAACAAAGCTGGAGGCGTCATGCTACCTGACTTCAAACTATACTACAAGGCTACAGAAACCAAACAGCATGGTACTGGTACCAAAACAGACATATAGACCAATGGAACAGAACAGAGCCCTCAGAAATAACACCGCACATCTACAACCATCTGGTCTTCGACAAACCTGACAAAAACAAGCAATGGAGAAAGGATTCCCTATTTAATAAATGGTGCTGGGAAAACTGGCTAGCCATACGCAGAAAACTGAAACTGGATCCTTTCCTTACACCTTAAACAAAATACCATTTGACCTAGCAATCCCATTACTGGGTATATACCCAAAGGATTATAAATCATTCTACTATAAAGACACACACACGTATGTTTATTGCGGCACTGTTAACAATAGCAAAGACTTGGAACCAACCCAAATGCCCATCAATGATAGGCTGGATAAAGAAAATGTGGCACATATACACCATGGAATACTAAGCAGCCATAAAAAAGGATGAGTTCATGTCATTTGCAGGGACATGGATGAAGCTGGAAACCATCATTCTCAGCAAACTAACACAAGAACAGAAAACCAAACACCTCATGTTTTCACTCATAAGTGGGAGTTTAACAATGAGAACACATGGACACAGGGAGGGGAACATCTCACACTGGGACCTGTTGAGGTGTGGGAGGCTAGGGGAGGGATAGCATTAGAGAAATACGTAATGTAAATGACGGGTTGATGGGTGCAGCAAACTGCCATGGCACATGTATAGCTATGTAACAAACCTGCATGTTTTGCACATGTACCCCAGAACTTAAAGTATATTTTAAAAAGGAAACATAACAATACTTTTCTTGAGAAATAAATCTGTAAAATGGCAAAAAAAAAAAATTCAGTCATATAGAAAGCATCAGCGATGTCTTTTTTCTATACAACTCGTAAATAGGAAGATGTATGTGCTCTGATAGGAGCTCTTTATCTGGGGTCCAGGGACATCTGGGGACTTCAGGAGGTCCTGAAATACTGTAAAACTATATCAAAAAAATTATGTGTATGTGCATATTACTGTAGATATGGTCCATAACTTAAATTGCACACTCAACAAGGAATCCATGTCCCCCAAAAGTTCAAGAACCAGAACTCGATAGCACGCAGTAATTGCTAAAAGAACTATTAGAGCTGGATGGAACTTCAGAGATTCTCTCATTCAAAATATCAGAAACATGAAGTATTCACTTGTGGATTAGGAAATAGAGGTACAATCAATCATATTCATACTAAATATGTTCTCAGGCAAGAACATCAAAGTGTGGCAGCACATGGTTTGGTTAACATAAAGCTAATTTAAAGAAGAAATTCAAAATGGTAATGACTGATAGAGTGGTATTTCTAAAGAGGTGTGTAGAGTTTTCCCTTTTGAAAAGTTTTTTTACAGAAAATCTGAGGTTTTATTTACTGTATGTGAGTTCCTGGTTAAAGGGAAGAGACAATGTGGCACTGTAGCCCTCAAATGCTCCTACTTCTTCTCTTTCCTGGTCTATAGTAACTCCAATAAATGAAATTCACAAGTCTATCCAAGGGCAAGGCAACATATGATTTTGTATATAAAGTTCACATTTTGCATTTAAATGGTGTGTTTACTTTTTTAGCCTTGTCAACTGGAAGTAATGGAGGACTTCAGATCCTGTAACTTGTTTTAAGATGAACATAACATAAAGTCTCATTATTTGGGATGCAAGTATTTTATATTTTGTGATCATTTGGACAAAGCCCAGATTGGCATTTATCTTCGTAGTCTCAAAAATGGGTTCGATAAATATATTTAGAGTAGAGAAACAAGATTGAGGAAGAATGCTTAACTTACCAGTCCCTGTTGCAAGCATTAATCTGTGTATCAAACACTAGTGGTTAATACGCTGTCTAGCAAAGACATTTATTCCTTGGACCAGGGCTAAACAAAACATTGTTAGCTAATTGCTTATGGAATTATACTTACTTTAAATAATTCAACCACATTTTTAAAAAGAAGCATTATTTAGCTAAAAATTCACATAGCTATGCTGGGCTTTTGGGCTGACTGGTTTTATTATTAATCATCATAAAAATCAGATGATCACAGTCTCTTAGATGAACCCAAGAAATAATATACCAGAAACTATCTGACTACTCATTCTTGAATACAATATTCATAAAGCCACTTGCAGTAAAATTCTAACTTGTTCCCGCATTAAGTAAAAATGTTATCAATTTATAAAACCTGATGTTTAAACAAGTGAATGATAGTGTTTTTAAAAAAGAGAAATTTAATTCCTTCCTTTTTTTTAATGCCTCCAATGTTTTAGTCTTTAAGATTGAATGTTAGTCAATGTCTCCGAGTCAAAAGGACTGACAATTTCATCCCAATGTTGCTGTTTTCCCCTTTATTCTTTAGAAATGGGCTCAACCTCAGCTCAGTTGGAATGTCCACTAGGCTGATAAAGATCTCAATTCACCTATGTAGAAAAACATACATTTTATTCAGTTCCTTTTGTATTCCTTTATTTCCTAAAATGCTTGATTCTTATATAGAATTCTTTCTTTATATCATTTCCTTGTCTACGTACATTTTTGGTACGTACATTTCAGGACCTCCTGAAGTCCCCAGATGTCCCTGGACCCCAGATAAAGAGCTCCTATCAGAGCACATACATCTTCCTATTTACGAGTTGTACAGAAAAAAGACATCGCTGATGCTTTCTATATGACTGAATTTTTTTTTTTTTTTGCCATTTTACAGATTTATTTCTCAAGAAAAGTATTGTTATGTTTCCTTTTTAAAATATACTTTAAGTTCTGGGGTACATGTGCAAAACATGCAGGTTTGTTACATAGCTATACATGTGCCATGGCAGTTTGCTGCACCCATCAACCCGTCATTTACATTACGTATTTCTCTAATGCTATCCCTCCCCTAGCCTCCCACACCTCAACAGGTCCCAGTGTGAGATGTTCCCCTCCCTGTGTCCATGTGTTCTCATTGTTAAACTCCCACTTATGAGTGAAAACATGAGGTGTTTGGTTTTCTGTTCTTGTGTTAGTTTGCTGAGAATGATGGTTTCCAGCTTCATCCATGTCCCTGCAAATGACATGAACTCATCCTTTTTTATGGCTGCTTAGTATTCCATGGTGTATATGTGCCACATTTTCTTTATCCAGCTAAATAAATTGCTGAAATGTTAGCAAAGTCAAAGACACGAAACCTCTTAAACACAATAATAAGAGTTTGGGCTCCAGATAAACTACCTGATATGTAAATAAGTCAAATCAAAGCAACTTTAAAAAAAATTTTCTCTTTTAGGGACTGAAAAATTTCCCTAAAGTGATTTTCATTTCAAAACTGCCAATTGTATACGTAGAAATCATAATTAGGCAACAGGTCATTTCAGCTGTATCTCATGGATTTCCCCTGAGAATGAACAGTGATGATAACAGCACAAGAAGCATAAAAACAGTCACATGGAGAAGGGCAAGTGCCCAGGAAAACAGCATTTACCATCGGATACAGGTGATTTTTGTTCAGAGACATGGTCGGAGCTAAGGGCACCACTCTTGCAGAACATTTCTTCATCTTTTGAAATTATTTGTCTTGTTCTCAGTGCTTCCTCTGACTTTGTTTTGAGTCTCCTGTTCTGTAGCACACACTCTGCTATGGCTAGTGTCTAGCTGCTGTTCTGAAAATGTTACTGAAAGCTACAAGGACTGGTTTACTGTCTCCCTGGGAAACCATTTGCCCCACATTCAAACAATGTTTGACCTCCACTAAAAATTTTTTTTAAAAAATCAATTGTTAGGCACAGTGGGAAACTATGAGAAATGAAAGGAGAAATAAACACTGTTTTCCACTTAAACTGCAGGAGAGTTGTTGGACTGAAGCATTGCCTTTCTAAAGAAATATATAAATGTAAATGTGACTAAGGCACAGAATTTCCATGGTGCAACCAGAAGGAAGAACATACAATATCTTCCAGAAAAATATGGAGTTCAGTGCACAAATCACATAAGAAGACTGTGATGTCATGGTATACATTGATTTTGATGAAGGATGATTTAGTTGTGCCATATAGAAACTTCAAGATTAAAATGTGCCCATAAATAGAAAAGAAACTGTTTTCTCATGGAATGGTCACAGAAATTATCACTATATATGCATCAATTTATTCAAGATCAATACACATAGATCTGTATAGTTGCTAGATACATGGGCACATAAGACAGGAACACAGGAAGCAGGGACAGAGCTCAGGAACATGAATGAGAAATTACAACTGCATGACTGTAGACGAGAAGTGGGAGTGGAGGATCGGCAGCCGGAGATGCAGACAGTTTGCTGAGACTGCTAGTGCTCTAGGCTGAGACTCACACCACCACCATGTCCTGCTACCAGTATCGCTGAACACATCTCTCTTCTTCAGGAATGTGGCCGATGACACCAGGTATGAAGATTTACAGTGTGAACTTGGTCATTATGGTCCTATAGTTGATGTGTATGTTCCGCTTGATTTCTACATTCGCTGTCCAAGAGGATTTGCTTATATTCAATTTGAGGATGTTTGTGATGCTGAAGATGCTTACATAATTTGGACAGAAAGTGGATTTGTGGATGGCAGATTAAAATACAGTTTGCCTAGGGGGATCAGAAGACACTAAATCAGATGAAAGCCAAGGAAGGGAAGAATGTGTACAGTTCTTCATGCTATGATGATGATGACAGATACAGACATTCTAGAAGCCAAAGTTGTAAAAGAAGGAGATCAAGAAGGCTGTCTTCTGATTACAACTATAGAAGGTCGTATAGTCCTAGAAACAGTAGACCGACTGGAAGACCACACATAGCAGAAGCCATTCCAAATATGATAGATTCAAACACTGAAATTAATCTTTTTCAAAATCTAAATCCAATTCAAGATCACGGTCCAAGTCCCAGCCCAAGAGAGAAATGAAGGCTGAATCACATTCTAGGTCTGCATCTCACACCAAAACTAGAGGCACCTCAAAAATAGATTCCAAAACACATTATAAGTCTGGCTCAAGATATGAAAAGGAATTAGGGAAAAAAAGAACCACCTAGATCCAAATCTCAGTCAAAATCACAGTCTATGTTTAGGTCAAAATCGGTATCAAGGTCTTGGACTAGTCCTATGCTCAGTGGCCATTGACAGTATAAACCATGATCATTTTTAGGCGTGTGTCATTCACTTATTCATAGTTTGGTTTACCTAAATTATCAGGAATACAGTGTTGCAATGATGATTAAAAAGACACTTGTTAGTTTTCCCTGTACCAGGCAATGATCATAATCAAAATGATATGCTGTTGAGAAGCCACTCTTAAGAGTCCAGTTTGTTTAATGTTATGAGCAGCCACCAATTTGTGGTGTCTCTGTATATTTTTGTAAAGATTCTCATTTTTATGCTTGAAGTATTTGGTGAAAAGATGTGGTTGACCATAATTTGCAACATTCTTTTATTAAAAATAAACTTTCATATTTGTATTTGGTAGAACCGTTAACCTAGAAATGTAGCTTGTTAATAAGAATGACACAAAAATGAAGTCATAGCTACAGTACAACACTGACTGCTCAGACACATTTAGGTTCAGGGCAGGCCTTTATGTCTTGTCAAGGTGTCTTGTCATGATAATTATTTATGATGAAGTGTGGATTCGTTTTTTTGTTAACCCCACTGTCTTAGGGAATTATGCCAACTGGGTTACATAGTATTTTCAGGGAGACTGAGTTTTTGACTGAAACATGGAGGCTTCACTGCTTTTTTCTGGTTCCTATGAAGATTTGGAAAATAGAAAACATCACAAAAACTCACCTTAAAATGGCAAAAATAATTTTAAAGGGAAAATAATGTTCTTATATAGTTATTATAAAGTTTAAGGGGCATTGTTGATCATAATGTTGCTTAGTTTTCTTACAGCTGTTGGAAGCAAACTTTGTGTGTGCGTGCATAGTGTAAAAGAACTGAAATTTTGATGCTTACAGCACTTGGCCTGTGCATTTGTATCAAAATTTGCCTGCCTCGTTATGAGGGAGGTTTGCTTTTCAGGCCTCAGTTTATTTAATATGAGGCAAGTTGAAAGACAACATTCATTCTAGGTGATTTTGTGGTACCAAGAAATTTAAAGTAATTTTGGAAAAAGGATTAGTCAGTTTTAAGCAAGAGTCAGATCTTCTGAGTTTTTGATTATCAGTGTAGTACCTGACTAAAAATGAAGAAGTAATATCCTTAACCATTTATAATTTCTAGTATTTCTCTGAAAGATCGTTTTGGGGACAAAAGTGACTTGACATGTCCAATCTCAAATCTTTATAAAAAGCCAAAAATTAAAAAAAGTCTCGGATTGCTTGCTTACAGATATAAGTAAGAATTATCACAAAGAAACGATTCCTTTTAGAGGATTACTTTTTTCAATTTTGGTTTTAGTAATCTAGGCTTTGCCTACAAAGAACAAAACAATGGTTCTGAAATACTGTTTGTGGAATGTGTTTAAAGGATTGATTCTAGAACCTTTGTATATTTGATAGTATTTCTAACTTTCATTTCTTTACTGTTTGCAGTTAGTGTTCATGTTCTGCTATGCAGTCATTTATATGCAGGTTTAATTTTTTTTTTTAGATTTTCCTGGACATATAGTTTCAACAACAAAAAGTCTATTTAAAACTGTAGCAGTAGTTTGCAGTTCTAGCAAAGAGGAAAGTTGTGGGGTTAAATTTTGCATTTTCTTTCTTATAGAAGCCTCTGAAATGGTATTTTTGAATGTCTGGATCAAAACAGGACCCAGCTTATTTTATGCTTGTGTAAATCAAGCAAACATGTTATAATAAAAACAAAATGAAGGAAAAAAAAGAGTAGATGAGGAGTCACAGGGAGAGCTCACAGGAGGTAAAGAAAGACAGGCCTTCAAGGATCTCTGAAGAATAGAATACTAACTTCTTAAAAAATAGACTGTATTTCTTAGAGCAGTTTTAGGTTCATAGCAAAATTAAGAAGGTTCAGATATTTCCCATATAATTCCTGCCCCCACACATCCATAGCCTCCCCCATTATCAACATTCCCCACCACAGTGGCACATTGGTTACAACTGATGAACCTACATGAACACTGCATTATCACCCAAAGTCCATAGTTTACATTAGGGTTCACTCTTGGTGTCATACCTTCTATGGGTTTTTTGTTTTTGTTTTTTTGACATGCCCAGGCTGGAGTGCAGTGGTGGGATCTTGGCTCACTGCAACGTCCAACTATGGGTTTTTGACAAATTTATAACGATATGTATCCACCATTGGAGTATCATACAGAGTACTTTCACTTCCCTAAAAATCCTCTGTGCTTTGCCTCCCTCCCTATCCATCCCTCCCTCCCTTCAATCTATGACAACCACTCATCTTTTCACTGTCTCAATAACTTTGCCTTTTCCAGAATGTCATATCATTGGACTCATGCAGTATATAGACTTCTCAGATTGGCTTTTTTCACTTAGTAATGTGCATTTAAGTTTCCTCTATGTCATTTCATAATCTGATAGCTCATTTAACACTCAATAATATTCCAATGTCCGCATGTACCACAGTTTATTTATCCATTTACCTACTAGAGGATATCTCGATTGCATCTAAGTCTGGGCAATTACAAAGAAAGCTGCTCTAAATATTCATGTGCAGGATTTTTTGCAGACATAAGTTTTCAACTCCTTTGAATGAACACCAAGGAGTGAGATTACTGGATTTTACAGTAAGAGTATATTTAGCTTTGTAGGAAACTGTCAAATTATCTTCCAAAGGTGCTATACCATTTTGCATTTCCACTACAATAATTAAGAATTCCTGTTGCTCCACATGCTCTCCAGCATTTGATGTTGTCAGTGTTCTGATTTTGGCCATTCTAATAGATAAGTAATGGTATCTCATTGCTGTAATTGGTATTTCCCTGATGACAGGTGATGTGAAAGAATACTAACTTTTAAAAAACTTTTTATTTTTAAATAATTTTAGACTCACATAAAAGTTGCACAACTTGTACAGAGACTTCCCATGTACCCTTCACCCAGCATTTTACCACACACATAGATTTGTGTAACCACCACCATAGTAAGATATAGAACAGTTTCATCACCCCCAAACTCTCTCACGCTTTCCCTTTTTAGTCTCCCTCCTCTATCCCAGCCCTTGGCAACTACCTGTCTATTCTCCATCACTATATGTCATTTTGAAACCATTATAGAAATTAAACCATGTAGTATATAACATTTTGAGGCTGGCTTTCTTCACTCAGCATAATGCCCTCAGATGTATACAAGTTGTGTGTATCAATTGTTGTTTCTTTTTATTGCGGAGTGGTATTCCATAGTATGAATCTACCATGGACAGAATGCTAACTTTAAAGGACTAAGAGCAGAAAAGGAGCCCACATATGAGAATGAGAAAGATGGAGCCAGAAAAGGGGATGTAGGAGAGTTAGAATCCAGAAGTAGAGGAAGGTAGTGCTTCAAGCAGAATGATATGCTCAGCTGTGTTAAAGCTGTAAAATGAGATAAGGACCAAGAATTTAGCAGCAACAACCACAACCAGCAATGTGCTGAGCACCCACCATGTGCTAGGAATGTGCTAGGCTCTGGGATAAAACGGGAAGCAAAGCCAGACATGTTCTTTCATGGCGTCTAAAGAGTCAGGTGAAACTGATCACCTATCTCATTAATAAAATGTAAGTTGTGATAAGTGCGGTTGAAGGCAAGGGAATGGTGCTATGAAGATGTATAACAGAAGGATGTGGCCTTATCTAGAGTACATTCTCTCCTTCCTTCCTTTATTCTTTCATTCACTGTACCAAATTTGGATGTCTACTATGTGCCAGCTCTGTGTTCAGTCATGTAAACACATTTGGGCAAGATTCTTATCTTCATGGTGCTTCAGAGTGTGGGAGTGACGTTTGAACTGAAAGATATGAATGACAAGAAGGAGTGAAGTGGGTGGAGTATGGCAGGTGGCAGCAGCACCATTCATTGGAAAAACAGAAAACTCCAGTGTGGCTGGAATGCAGTGAGTGAGCGAGGAATTCACAGGTGAGATAAACCTGTAAAGGCAGGCAGGGGCCAGATACTGCCTCAGGCCATGGGATGAGATTTGGATTTTTTTTCCCCTAAGTATAATTCAAAGCTATTGCATGGTTTTAAGCAAGAAAGTCTGCTGATTTTGTTTGTTGTTTAAAAAGATCACTGTGGTAACTGTGTGGAGAACGGACTAGGATGGAGGAGAGAGTTCAGGTGAAAGGTGATAGTGACTTCACCTAGAATGGTGAAGTGGAGATGAAGACAAGTAGCTAGGGCTGAAACAATTTTGGAGACAGACCTAACAAGCCTTGGTGATGGATTATCCAATCCAAGTCAGGAAAGGGATAGAGGTAGAAGATGAGTGATCAAAAGTGTTAAGAAAACCCCCTTGGCCGGTTGCGGCTCATGCCTGTAACCCCAGGAGGCTGACGCAGGAGGATCACTTGAGGCCAGGAGTTCAAGACAAACCTGGGCATCATAGTGAAACTCTGTACCTACCAAAAAGAAATTGGTAAGGTGTGATGGCATGCACCTATAGTCCTAGCTACTTGGGAAGCTGAGGCAGGAGGATTGCTTGAGCTCAGAAGTTTGAGGCTGCAGTGAGTTATGATCATGCCATTGCACTATAGCCTGGGTGACAAAGCAAGACTCTTACTCAAAAAAAAAAAAAAAAACCCCAAATATCTGGCTTTTGCAACTGGGTGGATGTTGTCCTTTACTGAACAATGTAGGAGACAAACAACTGCGAGAGAGAGGAGTACTCACTGAAGTGCGGAGAGGGGTCGGAGGGAGACTAAGCGGCTGATTTCAGATGTGTTAAGTTTCAGAAATATATGACATCCAAGTGGGGATGTCAAAAAGGCCATTAGACTGTGCAGTCTGTTGCTCAGAAGATAACACTGGGCTAGAGAAATATGGGAATAGTCAGCTGAGAGATGTTTAATTGTCACAGGTTTGAGTGAGATCAGCTAACACACAGCACTACAGGAGGAACCAGCACTGAGCTCCAAGGCCACCAACATTTAGATTTGAGGTTGAGATGAAGCCAGTAAAGGAGACAGATGCTTAATTAATAAGCATCTGCAAAACTAAAATTCAGGAAGGCCTCAAGAATGGCAGCTTAATATGTCAAACTTGAAATGCCATAAGAAATTATTTTCCAGGAATTACAAATGTATTCTTGGAAGCTAATGAGCTGTTTTGATTTCTGAGAACAAATTTAAATAAGTTTGAGAAATTGCATCAAACAATTTATGCCAGTGTATGTAATTACGCCAACACATATGGCACCTAAAAACCACTCACTACTTCAACAGCATGTGAAAATGTTAGCAAAGCAAGAGAAATGGAGCCTTAACTCATAACTTCCTGGCTACACCAGGTGAAAGTTAAAACAGCTTTTACTTCCATGTGGGGTCTTATTGTTGATTTGCTGGAGTAGGTTTTGTATGCTGTTAATAGGTGGCTTCAGGAAAATTATCCAGAGCTGCCACAGCAAACCAATGTTTGCTTCACAATCTCCAAATTAGACAATGGAGACATTAAGACAGCAGGAGAACCAGTAGGAGTTAGGCACAGTTTAATTCTCTGCAGAAACCCAACCAAGCTTAAACACTGGGCGCTGACTCCTCCAGGTGGAAATAGGAACAGCCCGATGGGAACTGTTTTCAGTACGTTGGATTTGATTACTAAACATGTAGACCTTACTAACATGCTTTGAAAACTTATGTTCTACTCTATATTGCAGAGGTTGCACTGAAAATACCATGCACGGTAGCTCTACTGCTTGTGGGGTTTATAACACATTTGCAGCACACTTGTAGACTGCTTTAACAGCCAATAAAGAATGCTCATATACCCCACTCCATGTTATTCTTCCATTAATTAGTGAGGCAGTTACTATTATCTTTACTTAACAGGTGAGAAAAGCAAAGCTGAAAAAGCTTGATAAAAGCAATATGTCATATGAACAACAGCTTTCCAAATAGATATTCTAATGATTGCTTTATTCCAGAATTATGTATTAAACACTTGCTATGGGTCAGGGATTGTGCTAAAATTTGGAAATATAAAAATAAGTTAGATGACGATTTCTGCTTGCAGTCTACTGATATTTTTGGTGGGTTTACCAGATAAAATCCCATGCTCTCTGCCAGATAGACTTAGACTTAAAATTATTTGCTGTTCATTTGATTCAAATTTAACTGAGCATACTAGTTTTCTATTTGCAAAATCTGGCAACCCTATACATTATTAGAGACTTTTTAATGAACCACCTAGGCCAACAGAGCCCTCTTTGTTATTTTTACATTATAAAAAGTGACTCCAAATGCTTTATTTTCCAGAAAAATTACATCTGCCAACAAAATGCAAGCCACAGACTAGTGTTTATTAACCACAGCAGAACCAGTTACAAGGTTCTAGTCAAGGAGTGCTTCATCCCTGAATGAATCTTACGTAAAAGTGGTTTTTAGTTTATACAAAGAAGCTTTGCATACGTTATGTCATTGGACCTCAGAGCAATTGATCTTAATTCCAATTTATAGATGAGGAAACCAAGGCTTAGAGTGGCCAAGTGACTTTCTTGGGAGTGAAAAATAAATCCTGGGACTCTGAAACAAGTCACCAAACCCATCAACCTGTAGAAAAAAGTGTCTCTTTTTCTATAGGATGCTGGATGCTGATGACAATAATAACAGCTGAAGTAGAATCTTACAATTGAACTCCTCCTCCTTCAGTTTTGCATTGTGGAGAACAACACAATCAGTGTCTTGTCCCTCAGATCCTAAAGTCAGAAAGTGTCTCCTAACCCCATCTGTAAGAGACCTTTCTGGAGGAAGCTGTTGCCATGCTGAAGCGCCCAGCTCCCTGGCCCTGTGGTGGCGAAGGGAAGTGCTTCTCTCTGCAGTCTTACACGTTTTATAAAGAAACACACGCAAATGTCCAAATACATAAAATGGGATCCTCTCCGAGGATGGTTTAGCTAGGACTGCTGTACTAGAAGCAGGCTCAATCTTCCAGGCTAACTGAAGGAGGTACTAAAAGTTGCCTCTAAAAGGAATTACCACCATTGGACTGTACCATTTTACATATTCTAAATTACTGTTTTAATATAATGTAATACAAACATTATTACAAACAATTCCTGAGGAGACTAGGGCATGAAGCTACCTGATTTCATATGAGAACTGAAAATAAAATCCTAATCCCCTCAGCTGACTGAATGAACCCCTCTTGGCAAAAGGGACCCCAAAGAGACATTAAAAACTGAGTCTTGGCCATGATGGGATGGGAGGTCAGACACACTTCTTTAGACCCCGTCCCTTTTGCAGCTAGACACCACTGACCAGCATTAATGTTAAAATAAAGATCATAAGACTGATGGAATGCACTCTTTGTGATAATAACAAATTATAAACGAGACCTACGGTCATACCAGGCAGGAGTTAAGCCACCCTCCTCTACATAAGAATAAACTATGTCCTAACCACCACAAGGTTTCTCTTTCTCTAGCAGCTAAATAAGCCTTGGCCTCCAGGTAAGCGATATTGAAACAATTGCAGCTCATCCACTAGCAGACTCTGAGTAACTGACACCCTTGTTCCACAAGCAATAGCTACAGCTTTGATTGGTTAGGACTGATTTCAGTAACTTTCTCCTGATAAGAGACCACTGACCACAGACTGGTTCTGGCTGGTTTACAGAGGCTGCACACTGAGTGCCTTTATGTCTCTGTGTCACCTTCTGGTGTATAGGGCCTAATTGTAATGCATTTAAAAGTCTCAGCCCCAGAGTGAACATGGGTTGTGTGTAACATGTATGTTTGTTCAGCACACGTGTTAGGGGCCCCTTCGTGAATATTCATAGCTCTTCTTGTAAGCTGTTGAATACATAAATTTAGCCAATCCACTGAGCATAAATCTCCTCTGCAACCCTTACTCCTTGGAAATGCCTGCTTCCAGTTTCAGCCAGAGGCTCACTTTCCAAACTGCAGGGTGAACCCTTTAAAGAAATAAAGTCTCCTTTCAAATTTATAATTGTGTGATTTTTCAGTCGACATGTGTTTTATAGAACCAAATGGGACTAAAACAAGAATTAGCCCTTCTGATACAAGGAAGGCTACTACAGGAAAGGCAGGTGGGTGGCGGGAACAGATGTTACTCTTATGTGTCCCAAACCCCTTCCTCTGGATGACAGCCATGATTTTCCCACAAGGAACCACCTCTCTTCCACTCTAAATCTACATAGTTTAGGTCAGAGGTCCCCTATCAAGAGGTCCTCTTGAGAGAATGCAAGCCTAGAGTTAGGGTCATCTTTGCCACATACATGCAAAATGGAGAGAGACCAAGTGTTCATTCTTTCAAGCCTTACCTGAAGTCAAACATCTCCTGGACTTTTCGGTGTCATAAACCCCAAAATTCTGCCTTTTGTTTATTTCTGTGCCCAATTTGACTTAGGAGTCTGTTACCTGTAAGTGAAGGCATTGGGTCCATTTTAATGGCCCTAAGCAAAAGAGGCTGATGAACTTTGACCTAATCAGCTAATATCACTGGTTTAGAAAACAATTTGAAAAATAATCTCATTAGCTAAGTTAGATTAAGTCAATTACACAGAGTCTGAGCTGACAAGAGATAAAGACAGATGACCCCAAATTATTACACTGCCTGTTTCTTGCCCTAAATATATCCTGCCTCATTAATGACACAAGATATACCACTTCTCATCCTTCTTTTGTGAAACCATTTTCTCATCTTCTTATAACTACATGTATAAATTAAAAACACAGAAGATTCATTGAGAAGTCCCCATTTTCCCCACCCCTATGTTAATATAGTGTTTTCTGCTTGGGATCAGCTAAAGTCTATAAAATTTTGTGTTGGTTCATTATTATGTTCAGATTGGGTTTACCAAAACACAAGAGCCATGGGCTCTGTATTCAACTGAAGGTCATATTTATTTGTTTCATTAGTGCCAGATATAATTTTAAAATATCTCAGAGTGAAGCTCCCATAATTCCATATCAAAATAATTCCAGGATATTATTGCTTTCTTGGTGAGGGGCCCAGTACTTTATTAGGTGATGTGGCAGAGGACAAGGTATTCACCCCACTTTATCCCATAAATGACAATTGTCTAAGTCTACTAGTCTACTAGTGCATAGGACTACTAATCATGAGTCTACTAGTATATCTAACTACTACAATTTATGGAGCAAAACTTCTGCCTTAGGAAGTTGGGCCTTACTGATATTTGGAGTAATAAAGGGAAAACATGGGCTGATCTGTCCAGGATAACCATAAGAAACTCGTTTTAGCTCACGGTGCCCATCAACATCATGGTCATGTGTGGTCATTATCTCAATTTTAGCTTCAAGAAACAAACTCTTCTTCAAAGCCAACAAAGACCTCCCCCTTTTTCTATATTAAAAATTTCTCCTCTCCTCTCAATATAATATTTCCTTTGAATATCACAACTTATATCCTATAATAAATGACCTGGTCCCTAATCTAGAAAGGCAGGCACAAGAGGGAAGAGAGGGTTAAAGTTTCTCTCCAATGGTCTCTGCTGGTTTCCTTATCTTCTGTAATGTGCTGTAAATGTTCCAGGAGGATCTGTGTGTTCCAACATCTTGACTTTATGGTATTTCCAACATACTGGCAACCAAAATTCTGTAAATCCCCACTGAATAGAGGAAAGATAAAGAATCCATTTCTATCTATCTAATTCCTAATCACAAAAAGTACTGACAAAAAAGAGATAAAGAATTCCTTTAGACTTTAGAAAGGAAAAAGAAAATGTATAAAAACTTCAAGCCAAGAGAACACATGAGGCTTGAACCAATTGCAGACTTACAGCTGTTTTCTACCTCTTCAATTGTGACTCAAGAGTAACTCCCCTGTTTTATTTTGGTACAAGTCTCCTACACTGAACAAATTCCAGCAACACCTTTTTACATGTGCCAAATAGTACTTCAAGAGCATTGAAAAGGATATTGTATTTGTTCCTTATTCAATGAGGCATTATCTCCATTTTATGAATGAAAACATTGAGACTCAGGGAAGTTAAGTAAAATAACTGAGGTTATACAGCAAGTATAGTCACACAGAGCCCTGATATATCATTTTGGATAGCATATTTCCATAAGTTTGGTTTATATAGATTATCTCTGTCAAAATAACACTTAGAAAAGATAATCACTTTTTATGTTCAGTCCTTAAAGAAAGCCACTTGAGATGAGAAAAGAATTAGCTTAAATTTTACAAACAATATTAACATAAAAATAGAACTCATATAGATCTGATTGAAGGCAATTGATATAGCATGAACTTTATAAAATGATAGAAAATATAAGTTTATATGAACTATAAATTAATCGATAAATAGTGGCTGACTCTGCACACCAATATAATGGTTTTCTGGTCTTTTTAACAATTCATTTTTCTTGCCAGAAAGCATTACCACACGAAAGTGAAAATCAATACAATGTTATAAAGAAACAGTTGTTCTATAGACAAACACTAACTAGCCTTAGAGAGAAAGCAAAGATAATCATTTATAAAATGTAAGCCTTTTTCTATTCAATATCAAAAGCACCTATTGCATCCTAATTATTTACTCAGAGGAACGATGATCATAAACACGCTAACTTTAAAATAGTGTATTTTTTAAATGAGCCTATGACAAACAACATTGTCTCTCAGTTTCACTGAAAATCTTACCAAAGCCAACTGAGACAGCCCCAGAATAAGACAGCCCCAGAATAAGATTGCCAGGTGAACCTAATTCTTCTGGGCCTCAGTTTCCTCATCTTTAAGATGAGAGAGTTAGACTGGATGACCCTAGTCAGCAAAACCCAATAAAACAGAAACACCCCCAAAAATAACAAGAGAGGAAATCTAGGTACACTTTCTAGCTGAAGATTTGAAATTAGCCTGCTAAAGTCATGACCTATTTTAAGAAAACTCAAGACTTAAACCTCCAAAACCACAAAATGGATAAACTGGGAAGTGATTCTACTAGAAAATGATTCATGCTGTAATGCTTTTAAATGACAATGTTTCATAGTACCACTAAAACATGATTTAATTTAGAGTAAAAGGAAACAAAATTTATAAAAGTTTTAACACTATAGCTATTACATAGAACAGCTATTACACTGCAGCTATTACCTAGAATACTTTGTATTAATAGGCAATAATTTACCCTTGCACAGACCTATTTATGAAGATAAGCAACACTCACCTGTCTAGATTCACTGATGAATAGCATAGTCTTAAGAGAGGTGGGTATAAGTAACTTCTAGGCTTACAAGTCTGTTTTCCTAAAAGCCATTATTTGGGATTTATTAAAGATTGAGTTACTTGGATGTACTATTGGGGATTGCACAATCAACTCTAATCTATAAACACAAATATCCATTGCATTAACACAAATACATACTCTTATTTCTAGAAAGTCTGCAAATCTGGATTGCTTGACCCTAGAGATTCATTAGAGTTTAATTGCCTTATTTTATTACTTTGTCCCACAGTTGCCCATTAATAAATAAAATAGCAATAAGGCCACGTGCTAAGGTGACATGGGGAGGTGATTTTTAACCTTATCTAGACAAACTCCTAATTAACCGTGGTTGCAATCACCATTTCTTTCTACGTTTAACTCTTTCCATTGTTGGTGAAGGTGTTTACATTGAAGACCGAGAGCTAGTGAGAAAAAAAAAATCACTCCTCTTTCAGGGCTGATTTTATATTAACAACAAATTAACTTGTGCTTAGGTGATCATTTTGCTTTTCCACAACATTATAGTTATTGGAATATAAACGATTATCCTAGTAATGGCAAATACCATATTTTATAAGATACAGATTTTTTCTTTTTTTTTCCAATTTACTTTTATTTTTGTGATGTTAAATCAGAAGTTTAACTTTCATCCCCTTCTGAGTTTATATTCACATGAAACAAAACTTCTTATCTAAAAACACAAAACATCTGGACAAAAGAACTGTTTACTTTTTTTGATGTTTTCAATGTTGATATTTTTTTCCAAGAAGTAGAGAAATATCTCTGGATGGTTGTCTAAAATGTATAATTTTTGTACAGATATGGTATATAGGGCAGTGTCATAGTTTTAATGTTGAAAAAGCATTCTTTTAAATTATAGCAAATTATAAAGTATTTATATACATAATATGGCAATATCACTTCAGGAATTCAGATTTTTACCAACTAAAATAAGAAAAAAATGTCAATTTAAATAAAACATTTAATTATTTAGGTGGTTTACCCTATCTCCCATTTATTTAGTCTGGTTGCTTTGGCATATCTTTAGATTGGATAAGATTTATTCTCTTCCTCTTCTTGTTATAGGACATCTACTCTAGCATTTTAGATATACATTCTTTAGCACATTGTTTGTGTAATGGTTTAGCAAAAATTATGGCTTTATCCATATTAATATAAATCAGAATGATTAATCTAATTAGCCCAAATATAAAAATGCAAACCTTAATTGGTTCTTATTGTAAATGACCCACAAACAAAAGTTTCAACCACCTTCAGAAAAAAAAAATAAAACACTTAAGCAAGTATAGTAACACTTACTAGAGCACAGTAATTTGACAGCTAATGATTTGACCAATTGTATTAAGACTTGATATGACATTTTCATAGAAAACACTGTAGCCTGTTTAATTATTGAGTAATGCATACCAAGGACTCTTAACAATGAACATTTACTTTCCTGTGATAAACTGACATTAAGTAAGAAATAGTGCAATGCTAAAATAAATTATCTTAAAATAAAATTCAGATCAATAATAACAATAATACATAATAATGGCCCTGATTTATGAGTACTTACTATCTGTCAGTAGCTTCAGTTTTGCCTGCTGGAAATTATCACCCGATTTACAGGTAGCAAAACGGGCTTAAATAATTTAAATGAATCACTTAAGACCTACAGTAGGTAGCCTTTCTAATATTCTGTTCTGCTCCCACACATTACAACTCATCATTGGTCATTTTTTTTAAATTTTATTATTGTTATACTTTAAGTTTTAGGGTACATGTGCACAACGTGCAGGTTTGTTACTTATGTATACATGTGCCATGCTGGTGTGCTGCACCCATTAACTCCTCATTTAGCATTAGGTATATCTCCTAATACTATCCCTCCCCCCTTCCCCCACCCCACAACAGGCCCGGGTGTGTGATGTTCCCCTTCCTGTGTCCATGTGTTCTCATTGTTCAATTCCCACCTATGAGTGAGAATATGCGGTGTTTGGTTTTTTGTCCATGCGATAGTTTGCTGAGAATGATGGTTTCCAGCTTCATCCATGTCCCTACAAAGGACATGAACTCATCCTTGTTTATGGCTGCATAGTATTCCATGGTGTGTATGTGCCACATTTTCTTAATCCAGTCTATCATTGTTGGACATTTGGGTTGGTTCCAAGTCTTTGCTATTATGAATAGTGCCATAATAAACATACGTGTGCATGTGTCTTTATAGCAGCACGATTTA
Source organism: Homo sapiens (assembly GCF_000001405.40). Taxonomy (NCBI): domain Eukaryota; kingdom Metazoa; phylum Chordata; class Mammalia; order Primates; family Hominidae; genus Homo; species Homo sapiens. Next base: position 57,644,112 of record NC_000014.9, read on the forward strand.
TAATTCTTTGGGTATATACCCAGTAATGGGATGGCTGGGTCAAATGGTATTTCTAGTTCTAGATCCCTGAGGAATCGCCACACTGACTTCCACAGTGGTTGAACTAGTTTACAGTCCCACCAACAGTGTAAAAGTGTTCCTATTTCTCCACATCCTCTCCAGCACCTGTTGTTTCCTGACTTTTTAATGATTGCCATTCTAACTAGTGTGAGATGGTATCTCACTGTGGTTTTGATTTGCATTTCTCTGATGGCCAGTGATGATGAGCATTTTTTCGAGTGTTTTTTGGCAGCATAAATATCTTCTTTTGAGAAGTGTCTGTTCATATCCTTTGCCCACTTTTTGATGGGTTTTTTTTTTCCTTGTAAATTTGTTTGAGTTCTTTGTAGATTCTGGATATTAGCCCTTTGTCAGATGAGTAGGTTGCGAAAATTTTCTCCCATTCTGTAGGTTGCCTGTTCACTCTGATGGTGGTTTCTTTTGCTGTGCAGAAGCTCTTTAGTTTAATTAGATCCCATTTGTCAATTTTGGCTTTTGTTGCCATTGCTTTTGGTGTTTTAGACATGAAGTCCTTGCCCATGCCTATGTCTTGAATGGTATTGCCTAGGTTTTCTTCTAGGGTTTTTATGGTTAGACCTAAATTTCTAACATGTAACTCTTTAATCCATCTTGAATTAATTTTTGTATAAGGTGTAAGGAAGGGATCCAGTTTCAGCTTACTACATGTGGCTAGCCAGTTTTCCCAGCACCATTTATTAAATAGGGAATCCTTTCCCCATTGCTTGTTTTTGTCAGGTTTGTCAAAGATCAGATAGTTGTAGATATGTGGCATTATTTCTGAGAGCTCTGTTTTGTTCCATTGGTCTATATCTCTGTTGTGGTACAAGTACCATGCTGTTTTGGTTACTGTAGCCTTGTAGTATAGTTTAAAGTCAGGTAGTGTTATGCCTCCAGCTTTGTTCTTTTGGCTTAGGATTGATTCGATGATGCAGACTCTTTTTTGGTTCCACATGAACTTTAAAGTAGTTTTTTCCAATTCTGTGAACAAAGTCATTGGTAGCTTGATGGGGATGGCATTGAATCTATAAATTACCTTGGGCAGTATGGCCATTTTCACAATATTGATTCTTCCTACCCATGAGCATGGAATGTTCTTCCTTTTGTTTGTATCCTCTTTTATTTCATTGAGCAGTGGTTTGTAGTTCTCCTTGAAGAGGTCCTACACATCCCTTGTAAGGTGGATTCCTAGGTATTTTATTCTCTTTGAAGCAATCGTGAATGGGAGTTCACTCATGATTTGGCTCTCTGTTTGTCTGTTATTGGTGTATAAGAATGCTTGTGATTTTTGCACATTGATTTTGTATCCTGAGACTTTGCTGAAGTTGCTTATCAGCTTAAGGAGATTTTGGGCTGAGATGATGGGGTTTTCTAGATATACAATCATGTACATCTGCAAACAGGGACAATTTGACTTCGTCTTTTCCTAATTGAATGCCCTTTATTTCCTTCTCCTGCCTGATTGCCCTGACCAGAACTTCCAACACTATGTTGAATAGGAGTGGTGAGAGAGGGCATCCCTGTCTTGTGCCAGTTTTCAAAGGGAATGCTTCCAGTTTTCATCCATTCAGTATGATATTGGCTGTAGGCTTGTCATAGATAGCTCCTATTATTTTGAGATACGTCCCATCAGTACCTAATTTATTGAGAGTTTTTAGCATGAAGGGCAGTTGAATTTTGTCAAAGGCCTTTTCTGCATCTATTGAGATAATCATGTGGTTTTTGTCTTTGGTTCCGTTTATATGCTGGATTACATTTATTGATTTGTGTCTGTTGAACCAGCCTTGCATCCCAGGGATGAAGCCCACTTGATCATGGTGGATAAGCTTTTTGATGTGCTGCTGGATTCGGTTTGCCAGTATTTTATTGAGGATTTTTGTACCAATGTTCATCAAGGATATTGGCCTAAAATTATCTTTTTTTGTTGTGTCTCTGCCAGGTTTTGGTATCAGGATGATGCTGGCCTCATAAAATGAGTTAGGAAGGATTCCCTCTTTTTCTATTGATTGGAATAGTTTCAGAAGGAATGGTACCAGCTCCTCTTTGTACCTCTGGTAGAATTCGGCTGTGAATCCATCTGGTCCTGGACTTTTTTTGGTTGGTAAGCTATTAATTATTGTCTCAATTTCAGAGCCTGTTATTGTTCTATTCAGAGATTCCACTTCTTCCTGGTTTAGTCTTGGGAGGGTGTATGTATGGAGGAATTTATCCATTTCTTCTAGATTTTCTAGTTTATTTGCGTAGAGGTATCTATAGTATTCTCTGACGGTAGTTTGTATTTCTGTGGGATCGGTGGTGATATCCCCTTTGTCATTTTTTATTGCGTCTATTTGATTCTTCTGTCTTTTCTTCTTTATTAGTTGCTAGCGGTCTATCTATTTTGTTGATCTTTTCAAAAAACCAGTTCCTGGATTCATTGATTTTTTGAAGGGTTTTTTGTGTCTCTATTTCCTTCAGTTCTGCTCTGATCTTAGTTATTTCTCACCTTCTGTTCGCTTTTGAATGTGTTTGCTCTTGCTTCTCTAGTTCTTTTAATTGTGATGTTAGGGTGTCAAATTTAGATCTTTCCTGCTTTCTCTTGTGGGCATTTAGTGCTATAAATTTTCCTCTACACACTGCTTTTAATGTGACCCAGAGATTCTGGTATGTTGTGTCTTTGTTCTCGTTCATTTCAAAGAACATCTTTATTTCTGCCTTCATTTCATTATGTACCCAGTAGTCATTCAGGAGCAGGTTGTTCAGTTTCCATGTAGTTGAGCGGTTTTGAGTGAGTTTCTTAATCCTCAGTCCTAGTTTGATTGCACTGTGGTCTGAGAGACAGTTTGTTATAATTTCTCTTCTTTTACATTTGCTGAGGAGTGCTTTACTTCCAACTATGTGGTCAATTTTGGAATAGGTGTCATGTGGTGCTGAAAAGAATGCATATTCTGTTGACTTGGGGTGGAGAGTTCTGTAGATGTCTATTAGGTCCGCTTGGTGCAGAGCTGAGTTCAATTCCTGGATATCCTTGTTGACTTTCTGTCTCGTTGATCTGTCTAATGTTGACGGTGGGGTGTTAAAGTCTCCCATTATTATTGTGTGGGAGTCTAAGTCTCTTTGTAGGTCACTAAGGACTTGCTTTATGAATCTGGGTCCTCCTGTTATTGGGTGCATATACATTTAGGATAGTTACCTCTTCTTGTTGAATTGACCCCTTTACCATTATGTGATGGCCTTCTTTGTCTCTTTTGATCTTTGTTGGTTTGAAGTCTAACAACCTTCAAAATAAAAATTTGTTTTAGAGCTAATGGTGTCTTACAATCACTGTTAGCCATGTGGCCATTGTCTTGGAATGCTTGAACTGCACTGTAATTCCTGGTGGCATTACTGGACAACTTCAACCCCTTAATGTTTCAGTCCATAAGCTCTTTATAAGGACTATCTGAGGAAGAAAGAGGAATCCTGGCCTTATCTGAAAAGCTTCCATTGATATTGAAAAATATTCTTCGCATGACCAAACTTTGGTTAGGCTCCTGAACCTTTTCCTAGACCCATCTGTGTTCTTCCTTATAAAATGCAGTTTTAGAAATAACCCTGCTAAGTCACTTTAACCAGAATCCTCATCCTTCACACCTGATCACCCTCAATATGTAATCGGGTTCTTCATCCTCTACCATCCCCCAGGCGATGTCTGATCACCCCGGCCTGTCCTCAGCAAGAATCCTGTTAGTTCGGTTAGCCAGAATCCCCGCTACCCTGATCCTTCCTCTTATTAGTTTTCCAACCACAGACCCTCTCTCTGCTCCTTGACTTAAAATTTCCACTTGCCCATGCTTTATTCAGAATTGAGCGGTTTCATGTGGAAGTCTCTTCCTTTATTGCTATGGTTCCCAAATGTCTTTTTAGTGTTTTCACTATTGTCTAGCTCTGATTTTACTGTGACAGTAACTTCTAGCACGATTTCTTTAAATGCTAGCATCAGATATTATACCTCAGGTGTCAAAATCTTGGAAAAAATTCTGAAGGCAATCATAGAGCATTATTTGAAGAAATGATACATCATCATCATTCTTGATGGCACAGAGGATGTTATAGCATGGAAAATATGGACCTCAAAAATGGAATTGATGAGTAATTTGTATGATTTGGGCATTTAACTGTTCATGTATTAACAACAGAGACAGTTAATCTAAAACAAAATAATTTTTAAAAAGAGATATAGCTACTAACACTGTATATTTAAAGAAGCCTAAAAGAGCAATTTCAAATAAACATAAAATAAAAATTCAAAACAATATGAAAACAATATGTCATAGTTTATTGCCATTTTTTTCTTAGAGCTACATAACACATTCATGTGCCTTAAAATTTCAGTTTAGATGCCACATGCAGTGAATTACTAGTGGCTGTTTCAAGAATAAGCTTGAGAGGCTTCTCTGCAAAACTATATTCCTCTCCCCTTTTCTTATTTTTTCAATTAAAACTATAAATATGGATGGTTTATGAACCTTTCTTAAAAAGGAGAAAGGAAACTGAGCTTTTAAGAAGTGTGTACAAAGCGTATTTGTTTCTTTCTGAAAAATAAAATCTAAGCTTTATGCAAGCTCTTCAGCAACACCCTGCATGATCTGATCTTTGTAGAATCACTCTCTCTCACATTAGCTGTCAGATAAAATACAGGTAATATATTGCATAGACTTATACTAGAAATGATTTATTGCTTATCGAAACTCAAACTTAACTGCGTGCACTGTATTTCTATTTACTAAATCTGACAGACCTACGACTCACTCACTCTGCTTCAGTTACCCTGGCCTCATCTCTGTCCTTCCTTCCTGTCTGCACACTTGCTGTTTGTTCACTTCTTTGTCTGCCTACCTATTTCTCATCATCTTTCAAGTGGCACTTAAGATCACTCCTCAGAGATGCCTTCCTGATCCTTAACCTAAATCAGCTCCTCTGTTGAAACTTCTCACACCTTTTCCTTTCCTTCACATCACAGCTTGTGTCCCCATTTATAATTACTCCCTTTATTTGTGTGCTAATGTGCTTCACTTTTCTATTAGTTTCCTCTTGCGGCTGTAACAAATTACCAAAACATAATGGCTTAAAACAACACAGATTTATTATATTGCAGTTTTGGTGGTAGAAGTCTAAAACTGATTGGCAGGGCTACATTCCTTCTGGAGGTTCCAGGGGAGAACACTTTCTTTGCTTTTTCCAGCTTCTAGAAGCTGCCTGCCTTCTTTGGCTCATGATCCCCTATCACCCCTGCTTTTGTCTTCACATCTCCATCTCTGACTCTGACCCTCCTGCCTGCTTCTTATAAAGGAAGCTTGTGATTACCTTGGGCACATGCAGATAATCTGGGATAATCTCTCCTCTTCAAGATCCTTAATTTATTCACATCTGCAATGTTCTTTTTGCTATGTAAGGTAACACGTCCACAGGTTTAGGGGATTCCAATGTGGCATCTCTGAGGGGTCATTATTCTGCCAACCACAGCATGTCACAGACTATGGAAATGGGCCATATCTATTTTTCTCCACTGTATTTCTAGTGGCTGGCATGTGATGGGCACTAGGTAATGTTGGCGAAATGAATGAATATACCTTTTTTGTTGCCCTACTTAAAAGCAAATCACCAAATCCCCCAAAATTTACCAAAGAGAACTCATGACTCCATACTGAATCCAGAGATTTGATATTTCAAAAGTTTTTCTGGGGCAGGTGGGTGAGAAACACTACCTGTGCCCTGCAGCCTCAGATATGCACCCCATGTCTCAACGCCTTCCTTCATCTCCCTTTCCTTTCAGAAGCACTGGGTATATTGGACCTTTCCTTCAGTCTTTAAACACTCACCTCTCTTAGCTTTCAGGATACCATATCCTCCTGGAGTTCCTCCTACTTCCCCAACAGTTCCTTCTTAGTTTGCTTTTCTAACGTGACTTCTCCACCTTATCATTAATGTTGGAGCGCCCGAGGTCTGGTCCAGGGTCCCTTCTCTACTCTTCCTCATTCCTCTGAGAGATCTCATTCGGGCCTATGGATTTAATATTACCCATAGGCTGATCATTCCAAGTTGTCTCTAGCCTTGGCTTTCCCACAGCTCAAAATATCTCACATCCAGCTTTCTACTTGGTACCCTTACTGGAATGTTTAATATTATCCCAAACTTAAAAATGTTTCAAGCAGAAATTGTTATTTTCCTCCCTCCCAAATATTTCTCTCCTCAGACATTTACATCTCAACAAATAGCATCACCATCCAACCAGTTAGTATTCTTCTCCCACACCCCTGTCATCTAATTCATTAGCAAGTTCTACTGATTTGCCCAAAACACACCTCAACTACGTCTACTTCTCACCATCTCTATGTCTGTCACCTAATTCATACCTCTGTCATGTCCAGCCCAGACCACTACGATAATCTGCTAATGGGTCTCTGCCTCCAGACCCTCTTTTCACCTATACTTCACATAGTAGCCAGAGTGTGGTCTTTAAAAAATGGCAGTTAGATCATACCATTCTCCTGCTTAGATCCTTTCAACGGCCTTTGCTGCACTTAAATCCAGACTCTTTCCTTAGGCTTACAAAGTCCTCCGTGGTCCATCCCTGCCCACCCCTCCAGGTCAGCCTCATGGCCCTCCTTCTTTCACTCACTGGTTCTGTGTAGTGTTCTCAAAGTGGTCAAGTTTGTTCATGTATCAAGGCCTTAGAATGTGCTGTTCCCTGTGCCTGGAACCCTTCCTCAGCTCCTGGCATGGCTGGGAACTTGTAATCCTTCAGGTCTCAGACCAAATACCACCTTCTAAGAGAGGCATTCCCCAAACACCCTATCTAAAGTAGCTAAGCCCTCAGTTATACTCCATAACATTACTCCATTTATTTCCTTTAATATTTAGGCTTATGTCACAATCCCAAACCATTTTCCTCATCAGTGTGTTCACTGGTATAGTGCCTCCCTCTCCCATTAGGATATAAACTCATGGAGACAGAGAGCTTGTCAGTCTTGTTCACTACTAGATTGGGACCTAACACACAGCTGGTGCACAAAACATGTCAGTTGACTGACTGATTAAATGAACAAATGCTCTGACTGGACTAAACGCCCAAAGCTTGCCAAATTTATCAACATCAGACATTTTTATTTTGGTAATGACCTACTGGAGTTTCCAGTGAGGTATTCTGACTACCAAGAATTCTGAGAAGTGAGTCATCCTAGGGAGTGAAGTGGGTCGGTGGTGGGGGTAGACTGCCTCCAGCCCCATGAAGCCCAGCCAGTGCCCCCAGCTCTAGTGATGTCTGATGTCATCCCCTTCCTTGGCAGTGCTGGGGACAGGTGAGGTACAGCAGCCGTCACAGATACCGAGAGTCCTCAGTTTCCAAAGAACCACCTCTGAGGAGTAACCCCATCACACAGGAAGCAAGAGGAACCAGGACTGGCCCTTTGAGCATGAGGAGAGCAGTGGCCCTCCTAGAGACAGGAACAGGGTGGAGCTGAGGTAGCACTTTCTAGACTGGTCATTCAAGCTCCATGGCTGCGGCTTGGGAAAATGTCTCTGTGAGTGAGTGTGTGTGTGTGAGCTGAGAGCTCTGTTTACCTACAGTTCTGTAGTTCTGAGCTTCCAGGTCTAAGACGGCTGGAGGGAGCAGAGGGGCGTGAAATACTGAGTGAGAAAAGTTTATCCTCCTCTGTCCAATGGGACCCTTACCAGAGGCAGAGCAGTGGGTGGGAGCCCACACAGGACTGCTCAATATGACTCCACAGCAGCAACAGCCAGAGGGCAGGGAAGCTTCAGTGGGTAAAGCCAGCCTCTTCAGCTTAAGGGGTAATAAAAAGGACTGACCCACTGGATCATGGAGGCATCCTAGGGTACCTGGAGGACCCCCAGGAAAGAAGCTCCAAGAGGAAAGACAGACATCCTGGCAACAGGCAGTCAGGAGTCTCAGCCTGTAACATGAATTTTAAATGGAATGTGATGTAACTTCATGTCTTAAGAAGTATGTCTAACTTCATACATAAGTATGGAAAAGACTAGAATTTTCAGAAGCTTTCTGCAAGCTCAATTCTGAACTCCACAGAGCTAGAATTTTAATGACTATCAATAAACCAGAAACAAGAAATAAAAAGAAACCCCATGGACAGGCGTGCTAGCTTTCTGAGCTCTTTCTTGGCTCCTCCAGTTTCCCTAGCAATGTTTAAGCCGGGTACCTGCTCATGGTAACAAAAATCCAACCATCATGGGTCCTCATTTTGTCCCAGGAGGAATTAAAAAATCAATACTTTTTGGAGCAAATTTCTTCTCTCATTCAGATCAGTGGTTCTGAACGAGGGATGATCAGTGTCTTCTGAACAAGGAGACACTGAGTCATGTTCAGAGATGCTTTTTGGTTGTCATAACTGGGAGGTGGGTGCTGCTGGCATCTAGCACACAGAGGCCAGGGATGCTGCTAAACAGCCTACAGTGCAGAGGATAGTAACCCCCACACAAAGATCTAACAGGATAGTAACCCCCACACAAAGATCTAACAGGATAGTAACCCCCACACAAAGATCTAACAGGATAGTAACCCCCACACAAAGAACTATCTTGCACAAAATGTCAACAGTGCAGAGTGTGAAAAATCCTGACTTATGCTAAAATGTACACAAATCTCTTCTCTGATGAGGCTCTGGAAGTATAAGTGTGAGAGGAAGAGGGAGATGATTTGTGGATATTGAACCAAAGCTGATGGTTCATCTTGCAATCAATTCTAATCCAAAACAGTTTCACTAAGCAGTAATTTCTTCTTTTATTTAGTGCTGATGCTGTAGCATGGATGATTCTGTTTGGCTCTTTTCCATCAGGCATCTCTCTCCACTGAGTAATCTGCTTAGGTTACAAGCAACCCCTTCAGACTGCAGAAGCCTTTGCCTTCAATGTATTAAAAAACCTCAGGTACATATTCCCTTGGAAGTTCAATATCACAAAAGTCACAAGGCATTTACAAAGATTACTTTATAAGGTCTTTAATAGTTACTATTAAATAAATTATATGTTCAGTGTATTGGAGCTTCAGAGAAGAAATAACAGTAGGATCCCTGCCCTGAAGTGCTTGCAATATCCCACAAGGCCCAATAAAATGAGGCATGAAAGACGACTTCAGTGTACCAAGAACAGTCAAATCTCGCTGGGGAAACAACTGACAAGGGAGACTATTTCAAAGAGAAGACCCAGGTAAAACCAAGGATATTTCCACTGCTAAAGAAGCAAGTGCCTGGGGAGTAATGGAGTCTGTGTTATCACTCACTTTACACCAGAGATTAATGTGGAGACAATCACTGGTTGGTGGGTCGGGGGAGCCCAGGGGCCACTACCCAAGCTGTTGACTCAGTGTCCAACCTTGTAGGAAGAGCAGTTCAGCTCTGGGTCTTTGACATACTTTCTATCACCACCACAAATTTAGATTTTAAAACAACTGTCAGAAACACAAAATTATTTAGCTTCCCAGTCAAGCATGGTTATAGTCCTGAAAATGTTGATCTGAAGTAAGATATGCCAGGGAGCAGGTGGTGTTTGCTGCCAATGTGCAGAAGAGAGATCCTGCAGAGGTGGCCGCCTTATCAGGGCTGGAGTCTTTCTTACTTAGCATGTTAGTTTGCTAGGGCTGCTGTAACAAAGCACCATAAACGGAGTGACTTAAAACAACAGAAATGTATTGCCTCACACTTCCAGAGGCCAGAAGCCCAAGATCAAGGTATTGATACAGTTGGTTCCTTCTGAGGGCTGTGAGGAAGAATCTATTCCATGCTGCTCCCCTAGCTTCTGGTGGTTTGTTGGCAATCCTCGATTGCAGAAGCATCACCCCCACCCCTGCCTTCATCTTCACATGGTGCTCTACTTGTGTGCATGCCTGTTTCCAAATTTTCCCTTTATAACGACACCAGTCATATTGCATTAGGTACCCATTCTACTCATCCAGTATGGCTTCGTTTTATTTATTTTCATAGTTCAAGTATTTCATTTCAATAGTTTTTGAGGAACAGGTGGTTTTGGCTTACATGAATTAGTTCTTTAGTGGCGATTTCTGGGGTTTTTGTGCACCCATCACCCAAGCAGTATACACTGTATCCAATACATAATCCATTGTATCATTCTTATGCCTTTGCGTCCTCATAGCTTAGCTCTGACTTATAAGTGAGAATATGCAATATTTGGTTTTCCACCCCTGAGTTACTTCACTTAGAATAATGGCCTTCAACTCCATCCAGGTTGCTGCAAAAGACATTATTTCACTCTTTTTTATGGCTGAGTAGTATTCCACAGTGTATATATACCACATTTTCTTTATCCACTCGTTGGTTGATGGACATTTAGGCTGGTTCCATATTTTTGCAATTGTGAATTGTGCTGCTGTAAACATGCATGTGCAAGTGTCTTTTTTAATAAAATTACTTATTTTCCTCTGGGTAGATACCCATAGTGGGATTGCTGGATCAAATTGTAGTTCTACTTTTAGTTCTTTAAGGAACCTTCATACTGTTTTCCATAATGGTTGTACTAGTTTACATTCTCACCAGCAATGTAGCATAGTTCTTTTTACCACATCCATGAGCATGGCCTTATTTTAACTAATTACACTTGCAACAACCTAGTTTCCAAGTATGGTTGCATTTTGAGGTACTAGAAGTTAGGACTTCAACATGAACATTGGGGGACATAATTCAAACCATTATAGGAAGCTGGTAAAGAAGGGGTTGCTTCTGGGTGTCCAGCACCCTAGCTTATTTAAAGGTACGCTGACGAAGCCCGCATGCCTCCAATCAGAGGATATTTTAAGGTGTGTCATAGCTTTTGATTCTGTACTCCAGGGTGGCGTGACTCCTCAGAGCTTCCCTTGAACCATTCTGGAAATATCTCCACCATCTCAGAATCACCCTGTCAATTGAGTGTGTTCTTTACTGTATATCTGAAGGGTTGAGCTGGTGCTGAACCACCACTCTACTTAGAACTGAGAGCCATCTCATATTGTGGGTCTGTTTATTCTTTTCACCCTACTCAGTCCTTCCTTTTTTTAAAAAAAATACAAAGTGAAAAATAAATAAATTATAAATAATCTTTTTCTAGAAGTTCATGACATTCACCAAGTGATTGAATGCTCTGTTTGGGGAGGTGGGAGGCACTGCGCTGAGTGCTGGGGAGAACAAGATAGTGTCTGTTCCCATCAAGCTTACTGTGCACAGACTGAGAAAAATACAGAGCAACAAGACATCAGGATGTTTATACCCACGTTGTCTAGGGTACCTAAGTTCGGGCTTCCCTGTCCTCAGCGCTGTGGAGTCTTATCCCATCACTCCCAGAATTGTGCAACACAGCAATGAGGGGAGGACAGTTAGAGCTGCAGCAGGGGGTGTGTGGTGTCACTCTAGGGGATGCCATTCACAAATGGTGCTCTATAAAGCTTGTGCCTGTACCACCCAGCACTGCAGCTCCATGCTTACCGTCCTGTCCCCTTCTAGGCCTCATAGTGCCACCTCACCCAGAGCTGTTTCTGCCAAGGCTCGCACCTCAGGCACCCAAGACCCTTTCTTAGTTCTCATTGTCATCACCTATAGACACACACTACTCCAGCAGTTCTCACTTCGGACTCAAGTGTCATGACTCACAACCAATTACCAACAGTGTCATTTCTCATTTATCACTCCTAATAAAGTGCCAAAATTTACAAATGACCATTTTCCTAGGTTAGCATGGTTATCCCTTTAGCATCTCTCCTCCCACTCATCTATATCCTGATATGTGTGATCGTCTAATCTCATAATCCATGAGATGCATTCCTGAGGAGTACAGGAAGAGACATTGCTCTCTGCTGCTGCCAGGATCACAAGGCTGATCCTGTCACCCTCCTGGGCAAGTTTTGGGAACTTGCCCTTCCCTCCAGAGCAAATGCTGCACATCCCAGCACAGACTGCCCTCGGCTCTGCTCCATCTCTTCCCTACCTGCCCTGCCAGCCCCATCTTCTACTACTCCCCTTCCTATCTTGCGTATTAACCACATGAGGCTACTGGTTTCGTGTGTGTGTGTACATATCTACCAAAAGTGGGAGATGAAGGGCAAAACACACACTTGGAAACTGGCTCCTATGAGAAAGGAGCCAGAAGCCCCCCCACACCCCCCACACACACTCACACATATATGCTTGAGGACACACACACACATGTCCTTAGAGTATATATATATATATATACACACACACACACACACACACACACACACAGATACACATGATATATATACACACGTATATGTGCTCAGAGGACATTAAAACCCTAAATTAGTTACCTTAGATTATTTGCATGTAAAAATCCTCATGGCTTGTTACTATAGGAACTCAGAGTTCTACCAGAAATCTCCTCAGATTTTAGGTAGCATGGCAGTTAAGGATAGAAGTTCTTTAGCTAAAGGATGTAGGTTCAAATCCCAGCTCCACCTCTCACTAGCTATGTGCTCAGCATCCCCTCTGTAAAGTGGGGATAACAGGACGTACCTCAACACCTAACAGCAACTGGCCCATATCAAGTATACCTATATAATACACATATATTTATATTTAAACTTTCTATGTCTGTGCCTCTATTATTACTATCCTTTCTGCTTAGCATCCCTTGCCCCAGTGACATGTGCCAAATTCTAGTCAATTCCCCCAACAAGAATTTTTCCTCCCCCATCTGTGCTTCTGTGATATTCTGAGTGTAAATAATTTAACACAATTGTCACCATCATGACTATATCCATTTGTACATTACGTCTTTGTTATTAGATAGCATGGACTGTAAGGAATATAAATATCTGTTTCCTCCAAGCACTGAGCATAGGCACTTACACGTGGCAGGTCTTTAATCAAGGTTCAGTTTAGATGAGACACCAAAGCTGTCAATGAGTCAGAAAACACAAGTTCAGGCATCACCTGGATCTTTTTGACTCAAACGCCTTTTGTTTGCTTTCCTTGTCTTTCCCTGTGTCCAGGTCTTTCTCACAGGAGCCAGCTTTCAAGTGTATGTTTTACCCTCTATCCTTCCCATTTTGGGAGATGGAAGAGGAAAGGGCATAAGACTCCCACTATGGTTTTTCAGTCCTTTTTTTTCTGGGCTTTAATCTTGTTTAGGATGCTGTCTGTGCTAGAATGTGTTGAACATAACTTTCCAGCACTGATGCTGATACATCAATTTAAGCTTTACATTGGAACTGAGAGCCATCTCATGCTATGGGTCTATTTATTCTTTTCATGAACTTCCTATGTCAGCCCAGCACATGGCCATTAGTAATATTTTTTATTTCTGGCATGACATAATTTACCCTACCACCTCACAGTAAACGTTGCTAGAAAGACTGTCACAATACCATGCATGCATCATTTCCCCCAAAATCTAGGATCCTGTGCCGGCCCTTGCTTTTCTCCACTGTGCCACAAATTGCATCGCACGTGAGATTCTGTGCAGCTGTAGAAAGTTTATACTATGAGGTGAGGCAGATGGTTATTCTCTACACAGACTGCAGCCCCAACTCAGAAATCAGGCCCTGACTATGGTTTACTTAGCACAGTAATACTGGTGGATGACTCATTATTCTGGGGTTTCTAAACATTTGAGGTTCCTAAGCATTCTAAAATAATTAGATAAAGAAACCTCGGATTGGGAAGGTGCCTAAAGAGAAAGATTTTAGTTCTGTGTTTGTCACTAGTTTACCACTGATATTATAGTGGTATAAAGTTGGTAAGTTACTGTGTCACTTTGAGGAAGTTATTTAACCTCTCTGAGTCTCAATTATTGTGCCTATTCACAGAATAATTTTGAGAATCAAACGAGAATGTGCATAAAACATGTCAACAGTGTGCCTGACACATAGTCAACACCCAATAAGTAGCTATGATGATTATGACTATGGAAACTCAGTCAATTGCTTTTCTCCCTGGTGATTTCATTTTTATTCTTCCAAATAGAGAGCATAGTTATGATTTAGTGTCATCTGATATGAGTGTTTGGTAACTTAACATCCATTAAATATGCTCAGAGTCTCAGATGAAAGACTCTATAAACAGAACATTGATACTATTTTTCAGAGAAGCAGTTAGCTATGATATAATATGAAATATTTTTCATAATACTTTATTAATAAAACTGATGCCAAATATGTAAGCTTTCTAAATGTTCCAATCCATTATTTTAAGTGCTTCCTTATCAAATGGAAATATCTGTGTTGAAACAACTTTTATTCAGTGCTTGTCACAGTGACAGTGGTTTTTGTCAGGTCTACAATAAATTTCTTTCCAGGTCTGCATATATTTGAGATGTTCAACAATTAATTAGAGAATGAAGAAGTTCCTTTAGTGAAAATGAAACAGCAGACATAAAAGAGGAGCTATTAATCTGTCAGGTTCCAAGGGACTTTCTGACCACTCTTTGTTTTTAAATATAACAGCACATCATGGATTTCCAATTCAAACACCAATTCCTAAACTGAGATCCAGTTTAAAACCAGATATGGCTCTCGTTGCCAAGGTTCTTTGGAGAAATGCTGAAAATCATGACTCAGTAGGCAATGCTCTACAGATATATGGATGTCACCTGTCTAAATCACTCCAGCCCCAAATGCAAAGAAGGAAGGCCAACAAATCCTAAAACGGTATCTAGCACAAAATGGAAAATATATATTTCTAGTGAAGGAATAGACTCACTACACCCCTTGTTCCCACATTTGAACAATTTAGGATTATAGATTTAGAAATAGAACCTTCGAGTAGGAAGAAGTCAGCAAGACCCAGAGAGAAAGAAGAGGAGATAAAGAGAGGGTCCCACAGTCACCCTTAGGAAAGAAAGAAAATAAGGTTGGCTGGGCTCTCAGATATCATTGTCTAGGGAAGCCAAGACACTATCCCTAGTGGATCTTAAATCAGAAGAATTCAGAAAGATTCCTTCAGTTTTCTACTTTCTCAGGCGTGGGACTATTCCCCTGTTTAATTACCAAGGAAACTCAAAATGAGGAAGAAAGGTATGCCTGGTTTCCAGGACAGCAAAGACTGGAGGCTGCTCATTCTCTAGTTGGTCACATGTGAAAAGGAATCCCAAGGGACAGAGGAGGTGGTGACAGTCATTAAAGAAAGGAAAGCAGGCTGAGTCCCTGGAGTCTGCAGCAAGGGAAAAAAGAACACATGCAGATAGCTTAGATCAGGGAAGTGGCCCTGAGGTCTCAGCAGTCAGAGTTTTTAAGTTCCTACAATGAACTAGTTCCTACATCTGTGCCACCCAGAGACCTGAAAGGGAGCAGTCAGAATTAAATAGAAATAGAAATTAAATAGAAAGCAGCCAGTAACTGTACCAGTAACTGGTACACAGAGGAATAGTTACTATTAGCATTCCCACTTTATAGATGAGGAAACCAAGGCATAGAGGGTAAAGTATCTTGTCCAAGGTCACATAGATGGTAAATAACAGAGTTAGGATTTAATCCTAGATGATGTGGTCCCAGAGCCCATGTTTTTAATTACTACCTTAATTCTTCCTCTGTAAAGGATATATAGCTGAGGGTTGTACTTCAGCTTTCACCATCATTATTTACATAATTTTTAAAAATGACGTGAGGACAAATCACAGTTAGTGTCTTAGCTTAATAAACTTTACCTCCTCAAAATAACAGTAAAATGTTTTGGCAATATAATCATTTTTAAAGATTACTTTTATGACAGAGCAGATCTGGTGTAAAAATTAAAAGGTAGCTACAAGAAGCCTGCCAAAGAAGCATGAAGTTATGAGCTAGTTAGTTGGAAGCACAGTTTTGCAAATTAGTACCCACCAATTCAATCCCAAATCAACAAGAGACAGGTCCACAAGAAATGTGAGGAGCTGTGGGTCTCTGTTCAGTTATACTAACATGCAAATGCTTGGAAGATATGTGTTGGTTTGACTTGCATATCTATTTGTGAGTGGTTACCAAATATGCTTGAGCATCCTAGAAAAATGAGACTCCACGAGAGGAAACAGGCATGGTTTAAAAATAGCAGATGAAATGTGATTTGCAAAGTGTTTTTGGATGGTGAACATTTGCAGAAATGCATGTTTATGCACATAGAACTGACCCACAATATTGCAGAGTATACAAATAAAACAACAAAACATAGTATCTGGAATAGATTCAACAGTATCACAATTAGCAAAAAAGCTTTGGCTCTTGACAGGCTTCTGCTGGATCTACACTTAGAGTTCACAGCTGTTCTGACATCTGCTTCCATCATGCTTCCTCAAATAATCCATCAGCAGCTACGTGGTATACTGTGATCACTAGCCACCAAGATGGCCCCCATAATCTCTGTGTCCTGGTGTTCATGCCCTTGTGTGGTCACATGGGGACCACACAAGGGCATGAACACCAGGACACAGAGGAGGAGACCACGTGAGATGGTCTGCATGATCAATAAAATACAGCAGAAATGATGGCATGGCACTTTTGAGATTAGCTTATAAAAGACACTGTCTTTGTTGCTCAAGCTCTTTATCAGAGCACTGCTCTGGGGGAAGCCAGCTGTCATATTGTGAGCATTCTGAGAAAAGGCCCACACGGCAAGAAACTGAAGCCTCTCACCAACATGAGTGGGTCTGAAAGCAGATCCTCCAGTCTAGTCAAGCCTTCAAACATTTTGACTGCAATCTCATAAGAGACCTGGGGCGAGAAACCCTCAGTGAAGCTTACTCCCAAATTCCTGACTCTCAGAAACCGTAAAATCGTAAATATTTGTTGTTGTAAGCTACATATTTTGGGATCATTTGTTAAGCAGTAGTAGAAAACTAATGCATTCACTTGGCTGATGACACTTGCCTGTTTGGATTGTTCCATTTCTTCGGCACTGTAGGTGAACTTAGACAATAGTTTCACACAAAATTAAATTAGGCAGACCAATCCTGTGACCATGCGAATCGAGTTACGAATATTGGAGTAACCCTTTCAGGCCTTTCTTTTTACAGACTCAAATTTACAGAGTCAAATGACTTATCCATGGTAACGCAATCAGTGTCATAATCCTTGCCCTTTCAGTCACCTCCAAATTAATCAAGAGTTGTGGGGCACACAACTAATCATTGGTATTACAGCCCGGGGACAGCATTGAACAGGAACCCAGAGGAGCCCTTTTATTGCTAAGGGTCTCATTACTGTTTGTGAGGCACTGCTCCTGTGTCTTCCTCATGCCTGACGGATCATGCTCTCAAGCTTTAGAGTTCTCAGCACATATTTATCTGAATATTTTTCCAGCTCAACCTAGAGAAGTCAACATTATTGACTTTAGGTTCTACTTCCATCTTTTATAAACCTTCTAATTTGGTCTTGGCAATGCAATGATTGCAAGCCAATAAGTACCTGTAGCAGTAATAAATCAGTAAGAAGCAATCCAACCCTACTGATAATAGAGATAAGTTTCCTAAAGGACTTGAGTCATAATATCAAGCTTGTAGCTACTGTGAGTGAAGAAATATGAAGGCTACAGATCCAGAGACGAATGTGCTCTTCATGATGGGGTCATAAGGGTCCCAAATTCTAGAGCTATGATTCTCAAACTTCAGCAAGCATCAGAATCCCCAGAGGGTTTGTTAGAACAATTTGCTTGGCCCCACTTCCAAAGTTTTTGATTCAGGATATCTGAAGTGGGCTCTAATAATATGCACTTCTAACAAGTTCCCACGTAATAATGACCACACACTGAGAACCACTCCTCTGAGGTTTAGATTTAAGGTCACAAGCTCAAGGGTGTCCAACAGCCAGACCATAACATAAAGAACTGAGTGTAGCATTAGGGAATGGTGAGACCTGTGGTGATCTGCAAAATGTGTCCATGATTTAAAACCCATTCAAAACAAAAACACTATTTTAAACATAGTGAAGTAAGGCAGATGTCAGAGACTGTGTTTCCGGATTTTGCTGCCACCATTCACTCTAACAACTCCAAATGCATTCTTTGAAAACATGTAGAAATCTCGTGATCAGAGTTCTATAACTTGGATTCAACCTCTTTTCCCTCTCATTCCTTTTTTAGAGAAGTTATACATTACTAATTATTATGGAATGTATTTCCTAGTGCCCATTGGAAACAAGCTGAAATTGCCACCTGGAAAATGCTGTGATTAGAGCATGCCGTGATTTGAATATAGTTGGTCCCAGCAAAACTTATATTGAGGTTTGGTCACAGTATGGCAATATTGAGAGTTGGACATTTAAGAAATGGGGTCTTTAAGAGGTGAGTAGGTCTTTAAGATGAATTCATGCCTTTCTCGAGAGACTGAGTTCATTCTCATGGGACCAGGTTAGTTCTTGTTAGAGCAGGTTGTTATAAGCCTAGCCCCTCATGCTTGCCCTTTTTACATGCCAACTTCCCTTTGGCTTCTTTGTCATGTTATGATGCAACACAAGGCTGTCACTAGAAGTGGATCAGAGACAGCTGCCAGATCTTTAACTTCCCAGCCTCCAGAACCATGAGCCAAAATAAACCTCTACCATTTATAAATTATCCAGTCTCAGATATTCTGTTATAGCAATAGAAAATGGACTAAAACATAGCCTCTACTAAGAGTTTGCAAGGTGTGCTGGATATTCCCCATTTTCCCCTTTACACTCATTCTCCATCCTTTTCCACCTGTTATTCCACTAAAGGCTGATCTCTGAACACCGAATGAACTGTACTTATTTGCTGGTTGGGATTGGCCATTGTAGGGCACTGAAAGGAGACTGGAGGCAAAAGAGAGGTCACTCCCCTGGACTATGGTTGACAGTGGTTGTGTTCTACTAAAGCCACAACTCCCAATGGGTGTTCCTCTACTGGGAATGATCACTGCTTTTTCCTGTAAATCACTTTTTCCCTGATTGCTTCATGTCTAAGAGTGGGAATTACTCCCTGCTTCACCATTTCTTGTTGGTTTGCCTTAGCCCTGACCAAATCTTTATAACTGGTACCTTCATTACACTCCATTCAATTGCCCCTTTGAGTGTGTCATGTATTCCCTACCAGGACTCTACCTGATTCAGTTTTACCGTATAGATGTAGAATATATCTTGTTAGTAACGAAGTTACATAACTCAATTTAGCTGCATCAAAAACATATAGTAGAACAGTGGTCATTTGTTATTTGCTAAAACTAAATTCTAACTGTTGTCTAATTACAGAATTAACATATTTTCCAAGTGCCAATCAGCATTTCAATTCTAGAGCCCAAGTTCAGATTGTTCAGGAGAGGGCCAGACAAGCACAGCACTGACCTTACCTAGAATTATCCTACTGCCAAAGCCTCATAATTGTTTGGTATTGTTACCAAGGGACTCTCTGCTCAGCAGCCTCTGGAAGCACCAGTGGGAGCCACCAAACAAGAGATTTGTCTTTATAGCACAGAGACCACAGAGCCAGCATGAAGTTGCACACATCTGATACCTCGACACAATTGCTCATATTTCTCCAGTTAGTCGGTAACACGTTTTGGACAAGCATCAACCCTTTAGTTCCATGGAGTTCTAGCAATGGAAAGAGCCACAGGTAACTAAAATCAGAACTTCACAATCCCCACAAATTGGTCTGCTGGTGAAATCAGGCTGCTGGGCCCTTGTTAGGAGTGACAGGTCAGTATCACTTTTTAGTCCATGCCAAGAAAATACAAACCATCCTGGGCCACCAGGCAAAGCCATAAGAAAGAGATTGCAAATTGGCAGTTCACAGGTGCTACACAATCTGCAGGCATGTTTCAGTTAGCCCAAATCCTGTTTTTATTTTTTTGAATTGGTGGCCAACATTCAACATTTGGGAAATTTCAAATAAAAAGTTGGATGTTCAGTTTTCATTGAAAAAAAAAATTCCTCATAGCAGTAGGGCACTGTACATAGAGGAGAATATTAATAAACTCTGATGGAAATATTAATATCTTTAAACTAATAGGACAATGAGGACAATTCAGTGTTGCCTACCACCTACAGGGACATTTACTAATCTGCTGATGGCCATGCAGTTACCAGAGACAGATGTGCAGAGAACACACATCTAGGTCAGTCTGATGTTCAGCAACTACATTACTTGTCACTTCAAAATTGCTCAAGAATGACTGTGCCCAAACTATTATCTTCTCTTTTACCATGGAAGACACTCATTTAACAGGTAGCATTGTTATTTGTTACCATAATGCTACCTGTTAAATGAATGGGACACTGGGACACTGAGGGTAGAACACTGGGCAGTCCAGTTCTATTTATTTATTTATTTAATTTTATTTTTGAGACAGAGTCTCGCTCCGTCATCCAGGCTGAAGTACATTGGCACGATCTCGGCTCACTGCAACCTCCGCCTTCCACGTTCAAGTGATTTTCCTGCCTCACCCTCCCAAGTAGCTAGGACTACAGGCACACACCACAATGCCCGGCTAATTTTTTGGCATTTTTAGTAGAGAAGGAGTCTCACCATGTTGGCTAAGCTGGTCTCGAACTCCTGACCTTAGGTAATCCACTTGCCTCGGCCTCCCAAAGTGCTGGGATTACAGGCGTAAGCCACTGTGTCCGGCAGTCCAGTTCTAAACTGCGGATTACACAGGACGCAATGAACATCATGCTTCCGTCCATGAGTGGCAATAAATGTATCAACTACTGGGAGTTGCTTCCATGAAAATCAGGCTTTCTGTCCTCCAGGCCTGTCCCAATGATCTGAAAATACAAATCTACTAAGCCACAGTGAAAGATAAACCCTTAGGTTTGAAAACAGAGCCTAACCAAGCAATGAGAGTAAAAAGTGACTTTGGCTTCTTGAGCTTTCCAAGAAGGCAGGTGGGCAGGAGCCATGTGCTCCCCATTTCTGGGTGGGCTGTTTTAACAACATGCTTCCACTTCAGAGTGGGGCTGAACCATTCTAGGGACCCTCTTCCATCTTCTCCTTTCCTTCCCTTTGTCATCCACTCCTCATATTTTCAAACATCAACCGCCCTCCCGCCCACCACCACCCCGCACACACACACCTTAAAGACTGGGAACAAGCTGAGGTTTATAGAGAAATAGACACCTGTCAGAGTGAAAAATATTATATTTCTTAACTCAGGTCTTCAGACAGCTTACCCAGACTCCGCCCATCCTCCCTGAGGCCTGGGTGACATGCACCACAACCCCAAATTTTAAATAACAATAATAATAGCTATTACTTATTGTGCTAGGCATCTCATTATGGGCCAGATATTTGTATTTCACTTTAAACATCTTCCTTTACTACTCTTCACAATCCTATGAGGCAAGCACGAGTACTGTCTCAATTTTAAGGATGAGGCAACTAAAGTTCAGGGATGATAAATAACTTGTTCAAGGTCACCCAGACAGGAAGTGGCAGAGGCAGTATTCAAGATTGATTTCGCTAATCACAGAACTGAAGTGACTGAATATACTAAATGTATTTCTTCAAAGATTGTCTACCCTTCAACCCAGCAATCCCATTACTGGGTATATACCCAAAGGAATATAAATCATTCTATCATAAAGACACATGCAGATATATGTTCATTGCAGCACATTCACAATAGCAAAGACCTGGAATCGATCTAAATGTCCACCAATGATAGACTGGCTAAAGAACATGTGGGACATATACATCATGGAATACTGTGCAGCCATAAACAAGAATGAGATCATGTCTTTTGCATGGACATGGATGGAGCTGGCGGCCATTCTCCTTAGCGAATTAGCACAGGAACAGAAAACCAACTACCACATGTTCTCACTTAGAAGTGGGAGCTAAATGATGACAACACATGGACACATAGAGGGGGAACAACACACATTTTGGTCTATTGGAAGGTGGGAGGAGGGAGAGGATCAGAAAAAATCACTAATAGGTACCAGGCTCAGTGATGATGAAATAATCTGTACAACAGACCCCTGTGACACAAGTTGACCTATTTAACAAACCAGCAGCGTACCCCTGAACTGAAAATAAAAGTTAAAAATAAAGCTTGTCATAGGAAAGTCCTTTGTTGTGTGTACAGACAGAAACTAAGGCACCAACAGGGTAAACAATTTCCTCAGCATCACAGAATCTGTACGCATGTGTGAATAGAGAGACCCAGAACTTGAATTTAGGTATTCCTAAGGTTCCAAATAATCAAATACTATCCAGTTTTATTTTCCTCATTGAGCACAATTTCATGTAGACTTCACTGTAGGTACAACTATAAATCAATGACCTTTAGGTTTCCAGGACCTAACAGCCTCCAGCCAGCAAAAAGCCAGGGCTTTCAGTCCTATAGCCACAAGGAAATGAGTCCTGCCAACAACCTGAATGAGTTGGGAAAAGAGTTCTTCCCCAGATGAGGTGAGGATACTGCTTAATTAACAGCTTCATTGCAGTCTTGGGAAACTCTGAACAGAGGACTCAGTTAAGCTATACCACAACTCCTGACCTGCAGAAACAGTGAGATAATAAATGTATGTTTTTTTAAGCCACTAGGTTTGTGATAATTTGTTACATGGCAATAGAAAACTGATACATAATAAAACAAGCATGATGGCCAAAAAAAAGGAACTTCTTTTTTTTTTTTTCAACTGACTGTAGTTACTCAGAAAAGCAAGAGGCAGGCAAGAAAGCTATCAGGGCAGTTTCAAAAGGCTTTATTTGATTTAGTAAGCATTGTGGGGACCTAGTAGGCATGTGAAAATTAGCTCAGTGGAGCCTGGGCTGGCTAGACAATACAATACCTACAACAGTCTTTGCCCCCAGGGAGACGGAGACTACAAACAAGAAACTACAAAGCAGAAAGTTCTAGAAAGGCCAAATGCACGGAGTTCTCTGGGGCTACAATTTGAGCTATGAATTATTCTGTGGGAGGAAGCGTGGGCAAAGGCATCAGGTACATGTGACTTTTGAGTTAGGCCTTCCGGGAAGAGAAGGTACCTCCTAGGCAGACAGAGGAGAGAAGAGCAGATTAAAGAAAGCATTAAAATCACCACTACTATACCCACTCACAGATGCATATGCGCTCCTGTGTTTGTGTAAATACCTGCAAGCATGGGGGAGGGAGGGAAGGGGAGGGAGGGAAGGAGAAGGAGAGAGACATGTTCTGCTGGGTCACACTGCATATACTGCCAAACGTTTTTAAAGGGAGTGTCAAAATTGAGAGCACCTTACAAAATATTTTACTTTTTTGTTGTTGTTGTTTATTTATTTTTACTGTACTTTAAGTTTTAGGGTACATGTGCACAACGTGCAGGTTACATATGTATACATGTGCCATGTTGGTGTGCTGCACCCATTAACTCGTCATTTAACATTAGGTATATCTCCTAATGCTATCCCTCCTCCCTCCCCCGACCCCACAACAGGCCCCAGTGTGTGATGTTCCCCTTCCTGTGTCCACATGTTCTCAATGTTCAATTCCTACCTATGAGTGAGAACATGCAGTGTTTGGTTTTTTGTCCTTGTGATAGTTTGCTGAGAATGATGGTTTCCAGCTTCATCCATGTCCCTACAAAGGACATGAACTCATCCTTGTTTATGGCTGCAGAGTATTCCATGGTGTATATGTGCCACATTTTCTTAATCCAGTCTATCATTGTTGGACATTTGGGTTGGTTCCGAGTCTTTGCTATTGTGAATAGTGCCACAATAAACATACAGTGCATGTGTCTTTATAGCAGCATGATTTATAATTCTTTGGGTATATACCCAGTAATGGGATGGCTGAGTCAAATGGTATTTCTAGTTCTAGATCCCTGAGGAATTGCCACACTGTCTTCCACAATGGTTGAACTAGTTTACAGTCCCACCAACAGTGTAAAAGTGTTCCTATTTCTCCACATCCTCTCCAGCACCTGTTGTTTCCTGACTTTTTAATGATTGCCATTCTAACTGGTGTGAGATGGTATCTCATTGTGGTTTTGATTTGCATTTCTCTGATGGCCAGTGATGATGAGCATTTTTTCATGTGTCTGTTGGCTGCATAAATGTCTTCTTTTGAGAAGTGTCTGTTCATATCCTTTGCCCACTTTTTGATGGGGTTGTTTTTTTCTTGTAAATTTGTTTGAGTTCATTGTAGATTCTGGATATTAGCCCTTTGTCAGATGAGTAAGTTGCAAAAATTTTCTCCCATGTTGTAGGTTGCCTGTTCACTCTGATGGTAGTTTCTTTTGCTGTGCAGAAGCTCTTTAGTTTAATTAGATTCCATTTGTCAATTTTGTCTTTTGTTGCCATTGCTTTTGGTGTTTTAGACATGAAGTCCTTGCCCATGCCTATGTCCTGAATGGTATTGCCTGGGTTTTCTTCTAGGGTTTTTATGGTTTTAGGTCTAACATTTAAGTCTTTAATCCATCTTGAATTAATTTTTGTATAAGGTGTAAGGAAGGGATCCAGTTTCAACTTTCTGCATATGGCTAGCCAGTTTTCCCAGCACCATTTGTTAAATAGGGAATCCTTTCCCCATTTCTTGTTTTTGTCAGGGTTGTCAAAGATCAGATAGTTGTAGATATGTGGCATTATTTCTGAGGGCTCTGTTCTGTTCCATTGGCCTATATCTCTGTTTTAGTACCAGTACCATGCTGTTTGGTTACTGTAGCCTTGTAATATAGTTTGAAGTCAGGTAGCATGATGCCTCCAGCTTTGTTCTTTTGGCTTAGGATTGACTTGGCGATGCGGGCTCTTTTTTGATTCCATATGAACTTTAAAGTAGTTTTTTCCAATTCTGTGAACAAAGTCATTGGTAGCTTGATGGGGATGGCATTGAATCTATAAATTACCTTGGGCAGTATGGCCATTTTCACAATATTGATTCTTCCTATCCATGAGCATGGAATGTTCTTCCATTTGTTTGTATCCTCTTTTATTTCATTGAGCAGTGGTTTGTAGTTCTCCTTGAAGAGGGCCTTTACATCCCCTGTAAGTTGGATTCCTAGGTATTTTATTCTCTTTGAAGCAATTGTGAATGGGAATCCACTCATGATTTGGCTCTCTGTTTGTCTGTTATTGGTGTATAAGACTGCTTGTGATTTTTGCACATTGATTTTGTATCCTGAGACTTTGCTGAAGTTGCTTATCAGCTTAAGGAGATTTTGGGCTGAGACAATGGGGTTTTCTAGATATACAATCATGTCAACTGCAAACAGGGACAATTTGACTTCCTCTTTTCCTAATTGAATACCCTTTATTTCCTTCTCCTGCCTGATTGCCCTGACCAGAACTTCCAACACTATGTTGAATAGGAGTGGTGAGAGAGGGCATCCCTGTCTTGTGCCAGTTTTGAAAAGGAATGCTTCCAGTTTTTGCCCATTCAGCATGATATTGGCTGTGGGTTTGTCATAGATAGCTCCTATTATTTTGAGATATGTCCCATCAATACCTAATTTATTGAGATTTTTTAGCATGAAGGGCAGTTGAATTTTGTCAAAGGCCTTTTCTGCATCTATTGAGATAATCATGCGGTTTTTGTCATTGGTTCTGTTTATATGCTGGATTACGTTTATTGATTTGCATCTGTTGAACCAGCCTTGCATCCCAGGGATGAAGCCCACTTGATCATGGTGGATAAGCTTTTTGATGTGCTGCTGGATTCGGTTTGTCAGTATTTTATTGAGGATTTTTGCATCAATGTTCACCAGGGATATTGGTCTAAAATTCTCTTTTTTGTTGTGTCTCTGCCAGGCTTTGGTATCAGGATGATGCTGGCCTCATAAAATGAGTTAGGGAGGATTCTCTCTTTTTCTACGGATTGGAATAGTTTCAGAAGGAATGGTACCAGCTCCTCCTTATACCTCTGGTAGAATTCGGCTATGAATCCATCTGGTCCTGGACTTTTTTTGGTTGGTAAGCTATTAATTATTGCCTCAATTTCAGAGCCTGTTATTGGTCTATTCAGAGATTCAACTTCTTCCTGGTTTAGTCTTGGGAGAGTGTATGTGTCGAGGAATTTATCCATTTCTTCTGGATTTTCTGGTTTATTTGCATAGAGGTGTTTATAGTATTCTCTGATGATAGTTTGTATTTCTGTGGGATCAGTGGTGATATTCACTTTATCATTTTTTATTGCGTCTATTTGATTCTTCTCTCTTTTCTTCTTTATTAGTCTTGCTAGCAGTCTATCAATTTTGTTGATCTTTTCAAAGAACAGCTCCTGGATTCATTGAATTTTTTGAAGGGTTTTTTGTGTCTCTATTTCCTTCAGTTGTGCTCAGATCTTAAGTTATTTCTTGCCTTCTGCTGGCTTGTGAATGTGTTTGCTTTTGCTTCTCTAGTTCTTTTAATTGTGATGTTAGGGTGTTAATTTTAGATCTTTCCTGCTTTCTCTTGTGGGCATTTAGTGCTATAAATTTCCCTCTACACACTGCTTTGAATGTGTCCCACTGATTCTGGTATGTTGTGTCTTTGTTCTCGTTGGTTTCAAAGAACATCTTTATTTCTGCCTTCATTTCGTTATGTACCCAGTAGTCATTCAGGAGCAGGTTGTTCAGTTTCCATGTAGTTGAGCGGTTTTGAGTGAGTCTTAATCCTGAGTTCTAGTTTGATTGCACTGTGGTCTGAGAGACAGTTTGTTATAATTTCTGTTCTTTTAACATTTTACTGTTACAGTGGTGAAGGAAACAGGCCTAGTTGTGCATTTCCTTGGTGAAGAACAAGCAGATCCAGGGATACCTATTCTATTAATTCATACTGAATGTTTTCTAATCCCAGAAAGACTAGGATGCCACAGAAGCTATAGAGGACACTGGAGCTTCTTGGTAACTCATTCATTCTTTTTTTTTTTTTTTTTTTTGAGACGGAGTCTTGCTCTGTCACCCAGGCTGGAGTGCAGTGGCATGGTCTCAGCTCACTGCAACCTCCGCCTCCCGGGTTCAAGCGGTTATCCTGCCTCAGCCTCCTGAGTAGCTGGGACTATAGACACACACCACCATGCCACCTAATTTTTGTATTTTTAGTAGAGAAGGGGTTTCACTATGTTGGCCAGCATAGTCTCGGTCTCCTGACCTCAACTCACCCATTCTTTCATAGGCTGCAGGTGCCCATCCTCCAGCACCTGTGACCTTCTGAGGTTTGCCCTTAGGCACTGGAACTGCCTCACCCATGCACAGAATGAGAAGCGGTGGGGAGCTGGGGCAGCTAAGGGAGTGCTGGCATCACCCCTCCCTTAACCTCAGAGTGCACAGGTCTCAGGTCCAAAAGAGACCTCTTCCTTTCCACTTGAGGAGAGGGGAGGACTTTGTCTTTCATCTAGGATACCGCCTCAGCTCCAGCAGGATAGGGTACTGACCAGAGTTGTGAGGCCCCTGTTTCAGGCCTTAGCTCCCAGAAAACATTTTTAGACACACCATGGGCCAGAAGGGAACCCACTGACTTGAAGGGAAGACCCAGTCCTGGCAGCATTTATTATCTGCTAACTGAAGAGCCCTTGGGCCCCAAATAACCAGCAGCAATACCCAGGCACTATATCAAGGGCCTTGGGTGGGATTCTGATATTTGCTGACTTCAAGTGAGACTCAGTACATAACCAGCGGTGGTGGCTATGGGGTGAAACTCCTTCTGCTTGAAAAAAGCAGAGGGAAAAGTAAACGGAAATGCTTGGGAATTTACTTACCAACTCCTGCATCCCAGTGCCCCCAGCTAGTAGCCAGTGATATGATGGATGAGCACGGAAGTACAAATGTCCAGCTTCTTCTCCATGAAGCAGGTCAAGCCCATTATAGTTGACACTCTATTAATTCTCCCCATGAAATCAGGCTAAGTGTGAGACATTACTTGAAACCACATTTTTTTCTTGGTTTCTTCCCCTTTCCAGTCTGGCTTCCTGTGCTCCTAAAAGCATTTTCTCAATAAATCTCTTAAACTTGATTCCTTACTTCTGGATTTTTCTAGGAAAACCTAACTTAAGAGAAAAGAGAAATAAAAACATCTCATGGCTTCAGACATGTGGAGTTTGGCTGCATTTTATAACTCAATGATTTACTTTACCCATAGAACATATCAAGAACATTTTCTGAGGTGGACCGAGTCACCTCATGATCACTCGCAGAGGCCACACACTTCTTTCTAAATATTCCACTACCTGTTTTCCTGTCACCCCTTGTATCACCTTGCAGCTGTGCCAGACTCAGCCGGTCACTGTGGACAAAGATCCTGCAAACATCCCACTTTGCCCTAGACACGGGGCACTATAACCCAGCATTGACACCCAGATTTAAAAGTGAAAAATCAAGAATTATAACAACTGATCTCAACAAGAGCTATATTAGGAACAGTGATCTCAATTATCTAATCCAAACTTTGTGCCATGATGACATACATCTTTCTAATGGTTTATTATGAAGGAAAAATTCAGGTCCCTGGCACTTTTTCCTACTAAGCCCACAAAGATATGCTATTGGCCCCTGTGAAGCATGTTACATCAGGTCAGTATTAATACTACCGCTATATGATTATAAAATAACTGTCCTAAAAAGTGAAAGCTCTTTCTAGTATTATATATATTGCATTCATTTGTACTTCAAATCTACTTAAGAGAACTTGCTATATGCTTTTCAGAATTAGAAACCAAAGAGAAAAAAATTCATGAATAATGTATATTCTTATTTTTATTCTTATCCAGCATAAGAAAGACCTAGAAGGTAAATTTTATTTTATTTTTTTTTTTTCACTTAGAATAACAAAGTTGAGTTAGGACAGGAAAGTGAGCCACTGGCAAAGTCTGAATCCTTTCATGTGAAACAGAGTAGGTTTTTTGTTTTTTTATTTGTTTGTTTTTTGTTTTTTTGCACAGTGTCTTCTCCCACCAAGTAGTTTTCACAATTTCACTGTGCTAATTTAACATTTTATTCAATAAAAAAATAAAATTTGCCATAATTAGTCCTCTTAGAAAAGGTAGCAAAGGGCTTCAAATCTGAGCCAGCAATTTATTGCATGAATCTTGTAAGTTGTATAAAGATGATGAACCATGAATTTGAATTACTAAATTATATGAAGATTATAAATCATATTTCAATAGGCCACTTTTTTATGTAAGACAAACCAATTAAGAAGCATGAACAACACAACTAAAAAGCATTCAAGGATTATGGTGGTAACTGAATAAAATGAGAGTAAGGCTCCATAGTGACGGTACTGATGTCAAGCAAGACTATTGAAGAGTGTAGTAGTGTCAGGGTTAGCAGCATGGTTATCACCACAGTTCTGGAAAGCAGTAAGTTGCATGTTTGATTCCCAACTCCAGCACTGTGGAGCTGTGTGCCTTTGAGAAAGTTACTTCACCCCTGTGGGTATAATTTCCCAGATCTGTAAAATGGGGCTCATAATACCTTTCATAGGGTCCAGGTATGCATTAAAGGTGATATGCATATGTAATAAGATGGAGAAATATTTATTCACCAGCACTCCAGAAAATTTGAAGAAGATAGAAACTGCCTCATCAGGGCAGCCTATCCCTATTCCACCCTCATTTCTAAGAGGAGCAGTTGAAAGGCTGAACAATACTTCTCAAAGAAATGCCTACTGTGGCAGGGTCAAGAGGGATGAATGCAGGTTTGGTGGGGGTGGGAGGAGGTGTTAGAAACATTTTTTGAGGAAAACATATGAGATTATCTTTGTGAATTGGAGGTAACAAAAAATTTATTGGAGAGGTCACAGTGAACAATAACCATAAACAAAAAATTGATAATTAGATTTCACCAAAATTAAGAACTTCTGCTCATTATTGTACACCACTAGCAAAATTAATAAGACTACTAATCTAACAAAGCACTGTTATCAAGGATTTAACAAAGAATACAGTAAACAACCCTCAAAAATGGGCAAAAATTTGAATAAACACTTTATAAAATAAGACATACAAATGACCAGTTATCATACAAATATATTCAGTGTCATTAAGTAATTAGAGAAATACATTTTTTTACTTTTATCTTAAGTTCAGGGGTACATGTGCAGGTTTATTATACAGGTAAAACTTATGTCATGGGGGTTTATTGTGCAGATTAGAGAAATGCAAATTAAAACCACAATAAGATACCACTACAATACCCACCAGAATGGCTAAAATAAAAAATATGGGCAACATCAAATATTGGCAAAGTTATAGAGCAATTAGACATCTCATACATATTGGTAGGAATATAAAATAACACAATCCTTTGGGAAAAGGTTTGTCAGTTTTAAAAATAACACTGAACATAGGCCTAACCTGTGACCTACCAATTCTACTTCATGATGTCTACTTTTACCCTAAAATAAAAACATATATTCACAAAAAGATGTGTACAAGAATTTTCACAGCAGCTTTATTTATAACAGCCAGAAACTGGGCATTGCCCAGGCATCCATCACCAGGAGAATACAGAAGTAAACTGGTACAATGGAACATTGCTCAGCAATAAAAAGAAAAGAATTACTAGTGAATGCAACAATGTGGGTGGATCTCAGAAACATGCTGCAAGAAAGCAGCTACAGCACACACTATATGTTGAGAACTGTGAGAGGTCTGAGATTTTACCCTACTTTCAAGCTAAACAGTTAGTCTGCCACCTTTTTATGGATGTTGGTAAAAGACATAAGACTCCTGGGTCAGAGAAAAAATGACTTTATTACTCACAGCTGTACCAGTAGCCAGAGTATCAGCATTTTCTTGAGCTGATTTCCCAAGCCCAGTTCCTACAGAGTGACATGAAGAGGGCCAAGTGATACCTGCACAGGCAGTGAAGAGGATCCCTAAGCTTAGTGAACCTGCATCTTCTATAGTACTCTTTGCTCCTGAGGGAGATACTATCTCTGTATTCCAAAACCGCTAGCTAATCAACATTTTTGAAAAGAGTCTGGAACAAAGGCTGTAAGTGTCTGTGCTAGCAAGATGTGGAGAAATGTGAGCAATCCATGGAGAACTGTATCCCAACACTGTATAATTCCACTTACATAAAATTCTAGAGGCAGCAAATTCATTTATGGTAGAAAACAACCAGAACAGTGCTTTCCTCTGGTGGTGGTTAGAGGAGGTAGTGGTGGTAGGGAACTTTCTGATAGGGCTTTCAGTTATATAGATGTATACATTTGTCAAAACTCAGTGAAAGTACACTTAAAATATGTGCATTTCATTTTAAGTAAATTTTATATCACACAAAAGACTAAACAAATATTGAACTCCGGGAAATGATATGCATGCTGAGGTAGTTAGAGGGGAAGCATAGCCTACTATCCGCAATTTACTTTGAAAGCACCAAAAGTAAGCTGGATTAGTGGATTGAAAAAGGGATGAGCATTTTTTTGGATGAGTCCTTAGGGTTTTCCAGGTATATGATAATATCACTGGCAAACGGCAACAATTTGACTTCCTCTTTTCCAATTTAGATGCCCTTTATTTCTTTCTCTCGTCTGATTGCTCTAACCAGGACTTCCAGTACTATGTTGACTATAAGTGGTGAAAGTGGGCATCCTTGTCTTGTTCCAGTTCTCAGGGGCAATGCTTTCAGCTTTTCTCCATTCAGTATGATGTTGGCTGTGGGTTTGTCATATATTGCTTTTATTACTTTGAGGTAAGTCCCTTCTATGACTGTTTTGTTGAGGGTTTTTATCATAAAGCAATGCTGGATTTTAGCAAATGTTTTATCTGCACCTATTGAGATGATCATATGGTTTTTGTTTTTAATTCTGTTTATGTCATATGTCACATTTATTGACTTGTGTATAAAGACTTAAATCAAGACCTGAAACCATAAAAATTCTAGAAGATAGCATCAGAAAAACTCTTCTAGACATTGGCTTAGGCAAAGAATTCATGACTAAGACCCCAAAAGCAAATGCAACAACAACAAAAAATAAATAAATGGGACCCAATTAAACTAAAACGCTCAGCAAAGGAAATAATCAGCAGAGTAAATAGACAACCCACAGAGTGGAAGAAAATATTCACAAACTATGCATCTGACAAAGGACTACTATGCAGAATCTACAAGGAACTCAAATCAGCAAGAGAAAAACAAGTAATCCCATCGAAAAGCAGGCAAAGGTTGATTCCATGTCTTTGCTATTGTGAATAGTGCTGCAATGAACACATACGTGAATAAGAAAATATGGTACATATATACCATGGAATACTATGCAGCCATAAAAAGGAACTAGATCATGTCCTTTGCAGCAACATGGATAGATCTGGAAGCCATTAACCTCAGCAAACTAACACAGGAACGGAAAACCAAACACCACATGTTCTCACTTATAAATGGGAGCTGAACAATGAGAACACATGGACGCAGGGGCAACACACACTGGGGCCTGTCATGGGGATGGGGGAAGAGAGAGCACCAGGATAAAAGCTATGCCTGCAGGGCTTAATACCTAGGTGATGGGTTGACATGTGCAGCAAACCATCATGGCACATATTTACCTATGTAACAAACTTGCACATCCTGCACATGTATCCTGGAACTTAAAATTAATTTTTTTAAAAAGTAGGCAAAGGATATGAATAGACAATTCTCAAAAGAAGATATAAAAACAGCCAACAAACATATAAAAATACTCTATATCACTAATTATCAGGGAAATTCAAATTAAAACCACAATGAGATACCACCTTACTCTGGCAAGAATGGCCATAATTAAAAAGTCAAAAAACAATGGCTGTTGGCATGGATGTGGTGAAAAGAGAACACTTTTACACTGCTGGTGGGAATGTAAACTAGTACAACCACTGTGGAAAACAGTGTGGAGATTCCTTAAAGAACTAAAAACAGGACAACCATTCAATCCAGCAATCCCACTACTGGGACCTACCCAGAGGAAAATAAGTCATTATATGAAAAAGACACTTGCACACACATGTTTATAGCAGTACAACTCGCAATTGCAAAAATATGAAACCAGCCTAAATGCCCATCAACCAATGAGTGGATAAAGAAAATGTGGTATATACACACTATGGAATACTACTTAGCCATAAAAAGGAGCAAAATATCTTTTGCAGCAACGTGGGTGGAGCTGGAGGCCATTATTCTAAGTGAAGTAGCTCAGGAATGGAAAACCAAATACCATATGTTCTCACTTATAAGTAGGAGCTAAGCTATGAGGATGCAAAGGAATAAGAATGATATAATGGCCTTTGGGGACTTGAGGGAAATGTTGGGAATGGGGAAAGAGATAAAAGACTACATATTAGGTACAGGGTAAACTACTTGGGTGATGGGTGCACCAAAACCTCAGAAATGACCACTAAAGACCTTATCCATGTAACCAAAAACCTTCTTTACCCCCAAAACTATTGAAAAAAAAATAAAAATTATTTAAAAAGGGATAAACAGATGGGTAGCTATGCATAAAGCAAGTATAGTAATGTGTTAATGATAGACTCTAGATGGTGTGTATATAGGTATTCTATTTAAAGTTAACTTGCTGTTTGAGTGTTTTTATGACTACGATGTTGAAGAAATAAATGAAAGTCTATAAGGATAAGACAAAGACATAGATGAACATGAAAAGGCAGTCTTTGAAAAACCATAAAAGGAAACAAATGAGATGACTAATGATTTTTTAAACTTGCCTATAGGCAAAATGCTCCCCTTCACACATACATATATGCATAAAATGAAAGGGTAAATGATACACTGTGGAAAATAAGTACAATATATCTGATAGTTCAACTACTAAGAGTTCTCAGAAATAAAAAAAAAATTATTAATACCAGTTGAAAAATGGGCAAGGGTCATGAACAGGCAATTCACAAAAAAAGAATATAAAAATTAATAATCTGTTACAAACAAAAGAGGCAGCATCACTAGTAATCAAACAGATGCAAACTAAAATATAAATAAGATGACATTTGCCTTGCTAGGTTGGGGAAATTATCCAGGATCCATATTCAAATTCAGGAAATACAGAGAATATCACAAAGATACTCCTTGAGAAGAGCAACCCCAAGACAAATAATCATCAGATTCGCCAAGGTTGAAATGAAGGAAAAAATGTTAAGGGCAGCAAGAGAGAATGGTTGGGGTACCCACAAAGGGAAGCCTATCAGACAAACAGCAGATTTATCTGCAGAAACCCTACAAGCCAGAAGAGAGTGGAGGGCCAATATTAAACATTTTTAAAGAAAAGAACTGTCAACCCAGAATTTCATATCCAGCCAAACTAAGCTTCATAAGTGGAGAAATAAAATCCTTTACAGACAAGGAAATGCTGAGAGATTTTGTCACCACCAGGCCTGCCTCACAAGGGCTCCTGAAGGAGGCACTAAACATGGAAAGGAACAACTGTGCAAGCCACTGCAAAAACATGCCAATTGTAAAGATCATCGATCCTATGAAGAAAATGCATTAACTAACAAGCAAAATAACCAGCTAGCATCATAATGGGAGGATCAAATTAACACATAACAATATTACCCTTAAATGTAAATGGGCTAAATGCCCCAATTAAAAGACACAGACCCACAAATTGGATGAAGAGTCAACACCCACTACTGTGCTGTATTCAGGAGACCCATCGCAAGTGCAAAGATACACACAGGCTCAAAATAAAGGGATGGAGGAATATTTACCAAGCAAATGGAAAGAAAAAAAAAAAGAAAGCAGGGTTTGCAATCCTAGTCTCTGATAAAACAGACTTTAAACCAACAAAGATCAAAAGAATCAAAGAAGGGCATTACGTAATGGTAAATGGATCAATGCAACAAGAAGAGCTAACTCTCCTAAATATATATGCACCCAATACAGGAGCACCCAGATTCATAAAGCAAGTTCTTATGGACCTTCAAAGAGACTTAGACTCCCACACAGTAATAGTGGGAGACTTTAACACCCCACTGTCAATATTAGACAGATCAATGAGACAGAAAATTAACAAGAATATCCAGGACTTGAACTCAGCTCTGAACCAAGTGGAACCTAATAGACATCTACAGAACTCTCCATCCCAAATCAACAGAATATACATTCTTCTCAGCACATCACACTTATTCTAAAATTGACCACATAATTGGAAGTAAAACACTCCTCTGCAAATGCAAAAGAATGAAAATCATAACAAAGAGTCTCTCAGACCACACTGCAATCAAATTAGAACTCAGTATTAAGAAACTCACTCAAAACCGCACAACTACACGGAAACCGAACAACCTGCTCCTGAATGACTACTGGGTAAATAATGAAATGAAGGCAGAAATAAATAAGTTCTTTGAAACCAATGAGAACAAAGACACAGTGTACCAGAATCTCTGTGACACATTTAAAGCAGTTTATAGAGGGAAATGTACAGCACTAAATGCCCACAGGAGAAAGGAGGAAATATCTAAAATTGACACCCTAATACCACAATTAAAAGAACTAGAGAAGCAGGAGCAAACAAATTTAAAAGCTAGCAGAAGACAAGAAATAACTAAGATTAGAGCAGAACTGAAGGAGAGAGCGACACAAAAGACCCTTCAAAAAATCAATGAATCCAGGAGCTGGTTTTTTCAAAAGATTAACAAAATAGTAGACCAGTAGCCAGACTAATAAAGAAGAAAAGAGAGAAGAATCAAATAGATGCAATAAAAAATGATAAAGGGGATATCTCCACTGATCCCACAGAAATACAAACTACCATCAGAGAATACTATAAACACCTCTATGCAAATAAACTAGAAAATCTAGAAGAAATGGATAAATTCCTAGACACATACACCCTCCCAAGACCAAACCAAGAAGAAGTCGAATCCCTGAATCGACCAATAACGAGTTCTGAAATTGAGGCAGAAATTAATAGCCTACCAACCAAAAAAAGCCCAGGACCAGACAGATTCATAGCCAAATACTACCAGAGGCACAAAGAGGAGCTGGTACCATTCCTTCTGAAACTATTCCAAACAAAGAAAAGGAGGGAATCCTCCCTAACTCATTTTATGAGGCTAGCATCATCCTGATACCAAAACCTGGCAGAGACCCAACAAAAAAAGGAAATTTCAGGCCAATATACCTGATGAACATTGACACAAAAATTCTTAATAAAATACTGGCAAACCGAATCCAGCAGCACATCAAAAAGCTTATCCACCACGATCAAGTCAGCGTCATCCGTGGGATGCAAGTCTGGTTCTACATTAGCAAATCAATAAACATAAACCATCACATAAACAGAATCAATGACAAAAACCACATGATTATCTCAACAGATGTAGAAAAGGCTTTTGACAAAATTCAACAGCCCTTCATGCTAAAAACTTTCAATAAACTAAGCGTTGATGGAATGTGTCTCAAAATAATAAAGGCTATTGATGACAAATCCACAACCAATATCATACTGAATCGGCAAAAGCTGGAAGCATTCCCTTTGAAAACCGGCACAACACAAGGATGCCCTCTCTCACCACTCCTATTCAACATATTGGAAGTTCTGGCCACAGCAATTAGGCAAGAGAAAGAAATAAAGGGTATTCGAAAAGGGAAAGAGGAAGTCAAATTGTCTGTTTGCAGATGACATGACTGTATATTTAGAAAACCCCACGGCCTCAGCCCCAAATCTCCTTAAGCTGATAAGCAACTTCAGCAAATTCTCAGGATACAAAATCCATGTGCAAAAATCACAAACATTCCTATACTCCAATAATAGACAAACAGAGAGCCAAATCTTGAGTGACTTCCCATTCACAATTGCTACAAAGAGAATAAAATACCTAGGAATTCAACTTATAAGGGATGTGAAGGACCTCTTCAAAGAGAACTACAAACCACTGCTCAAGTAAATAAGAGAGGACACAAACAAATGGAAAAACATTCCATGCTCACAGATAGGAAGAATAAATATCATCAAAATGGCCATACTGCCCAAAGTGATTTATAAATTCAATGTTCTTCCCATCAAGCTACCATTGACTTTCTGCGAAGAATTGGAAAAAAACTACCTTTAAATTTGATGTGGAATCAAAAAAGAGCCCATATAGCCAAGACAATCCTAAGCAAAAAGAACAAACCTGGAAGCCATCACGCTACTGACTTCAAACTATTCTATAAGGTTACAGTAACCAAAACAGCATGGTCCTGGTACCAAAACAGATATATAGACCAATGCAACAGAACAGAGGCCTCAGAAGTAACACCACACATCTACCACCACCTGATCTTTGACAAACCTGATGAAAACAAGCAATGGGGAAAGGATTCCCTATTTAATAAATGGTGTTGGGAAAACAGGCTAGCCATATGCAGAAAGCTGAAACTGGATCCCTTCCTTACACCTTATACGTAAATTAACTCTAGATGGATTAAAGACTTAAAGGTAAGTCCTAAACCCATAAAAACCCTAGAAGAAAACCTAGGCCATGACATTCAGGACATTGGCAAATAACCTTATATAAAATGATACAAAATTTAACAAAAATTAACTCAAGTTGGATTAAAGACTTAGACATAAGACCTAAAACCATAAAAACTCTAGAAGAAAACCTAGGGCATACCATTCAGGACACTGGCATGGGCAAAGACTTCATGACTAAAACACCAAAAGCAATGGCAACAAAAGCCAAAATTGACAAATGGGATCTGATTAAACTAAAGAGTTTCTGTAGGACAAAAGTATCATCACAGTGAACAGGAACCTACAGAATGGGAGAAAATTTTTGCAATCTATCCTTCTGACAAAGGGCTAATATCCAGAATCTACAAAGGACTTAAACAGATTTACAAGAAAAAAACAACCCCATCAAAAAGTGGGCAAAGGATATGAACAGACACTTCTCAAAAGAAGACATTTATGTGGCCAATAAACATAGGAAAAAAAGCTCATCATCACTGGACATTAGAGAAATGCAAATCAAAACCACAATAAGATACCATCTCACGCCAGTTAGAATGGCAATCACTAAAAAGTTAGGAAACAACAGATGCTGGTGAGGATATGGAGAAATAGGAACACTTTTACACTGTTGGTTAGAGTGTAAATTAGTTCAGTCATTGTGGAAGACAGTGTGGCGATTCCTCAAGGATCTAGAACTAGAAATAGCATTTGACCCAGCAATCCCGTTACTGGGTATATACCCAAAGGAGTATAAATCATTCTACTATAAAGACACATGAACACGTATGTTTATTGTGGCACTGTTCACAATAGCAAAGACTTGGAACCAAGCCAAATGCCCATCAATGATAGACTGGATAAAGAAAATGTGGCACATATACACCACGGAATACTATGTAGCCATAAAAAAGATGAGTTCATATCCTTTGCAGGGACATGGATGATGCTGGAATCTGTCATTCTCAGGAAACTAACGCAAGAATAGAAAACCAAACACTGCATGTTCTCACTCATAATTGGGAACTGAACAATGAGAATATATGGACACAGGGAGCGGAACATCACACACCTGTCATGGGGTAGGGGGCTAGGGGAGGGATAGCATTAGGAGAAATACATAATGTAGATGACGGATTGATGGGTGCAACAAACTACCATGGCACATGTACACCTATGCAATAAACATGCACGTTCTGCACATGTACTCCAGAACTTAAAGTATAATGAAAAAAAAAAAGATGCCATTTGCGGTTTTTGCTACTTACTTGGCAAAGAAATTTTAAATTATAATACCCAGTGTTGGTGTGGATATGAAGCTGATTTAACTGGCCAGACTGTATGAGTCTGAATCCTAGTTCCTCCACTTAACAAGCTGACTGACCTTGGGCAAGGCACTTAATCTCACTGTGTCTCAATGTCCTCATTTATAATACTGGAAAAATAATAATATCTATTAAATTAATGCACTCCATTTCAACAGTGTTTTAGTTACAGATAATAGGGCAACAGTCCAAACACTTCATTCCACTCCCTACCAAAAAATCTCAGTATGTAGATTATTGGGCAGGTAAGAGCGGAGTATTAACAAGGTCTTAATCATGAACTCAATCATGGTGGGAGGGACTCTGTTCTACGGAAAAAAATTAATCTCAAGTATTTTTTAGATAAATATATAGCTAACTTGTCATACAAAGATTACCTGGTTGTCTGCAAACACATAGCTAATTCATTTTCTGAGTAGTCTAAATGTAAAACTAGTGCATTATTTTATCCCCAGAAGTAAAACATTTACTATAGCGAGCAGAAAGGAATGTACATCTTATAGATACTTTCACAAAGTCATTTGAATTTTTATTTACTTTTTTCCTTTAATAAACAAGATAGAACAAAAATAAAATTATTTCAGCAAAAGGTTTTTCTACCACTGGACAAGTTAAGAAAAATGCAATGAAAGCAAGAGAAGACACTTTAAAAGCTGGGTTAAGTTTTAAATTTAGCAACATCTAAGAGCCAGAGCAATCCTGGAACCATTTTAGGATCGCCTTTTCCCCTTCAATCATAGCAGCTCTGGAATCGTCATTGCCTGCTTCTACAGGCTTTTTCTTCCTACTTGTCTAAGGGCTGGGTATATACCAGGTTGCAGAACTTGAGCATCAACTCCCAGTTGAAATCACAGACATCTCCTCCCTTTCCTGCAAATGCCTGGACATTTTTAAAGTACTGCTTTCAAGTGCCCTTTCCCCTTTACTACTATTTTGTGACAAATTTCCTGTCACTTTTGACTTTTAAAATTGGTCTACTCCAGTTAAAAAACGTCAGCCTAAATACTTGATTCAGCCTATGACTCCCTCCCTGGTCATAGACTAGACTAGGGGCTCACAGGACTTCCAGTAGGAAAGGGGCTATGGGCTGCCTCTGATCTCTCTTCTATCCACCCAAGCCCAACTCCTCTGGGGTTGGGGTGGGAGCTGAACAGAAGGGCAGAATGTTCCTACATAGGAGTGGCCATCTGATGGTGGGAGTTGTCTCTGATCTCTTTTCTGGTTCACTTTGGTACCAGGTGATGCTGGTGGGAGGCTTGCATGGCTTTCTTGGTGTGGGGTTCATTTGCCTTCTAGGTCCCTTCATCAGTGAGCAAGCCTCTCCAGCCGCAGGGCACTCATGCCTCTCTATAACTCATCCCCTCCATTATTCTCTGCCTTCTAGGGGAGCCATGAGAATCACAGCTTCTCCCTTTCATACCCTCCCAGTGCCTTGGAGAGCTGAATGGGGTAGGGGATGATATTGCCACCTTCTTCCCAACATCCCACGCCGCTGCTGGCACAGGCTGTTCCTCGGGCCTCTCTAGACCACAAATGAGCACCAGTCTCTATGTTTGCAGCCCCCACCCTAGGCCTCTGGCGCAGCAGTCCCCACACTTTTTGGCACCGGGGACTGTTTTTTCCAAGGACAATGGGGTGAAGGGATGGCTTCAGGATAAAACTTCCACCTCAGATCACCAGGCATTAGATTCTCATAAGGAGCATGCAACCTAGATCCCTCACATGTGCAGTTCACAATAGGGTTCGAGCTCCTATGAGAATCTAATGCCGCCACTCATCTGAGAGGAGGCAGAGCTCAGGTGGTAATGCTCACTTGCCTGCTGCTCACCTCCTGCTGTGTAGCTGGGTTCCTAACAGGCCACAGAACAGTACCAGTGTGCAGCCAGGAGGTTGGGGAGCCTGGGGGTTTGGAACCTCTGCCCTAGTGGCTCCTGAAGAGCTCTTCCTGGCCTCCCTCCTGACAGAAACATTAAAATGCATCTGTGGGTTGAGTAAAGCACCATATGCCAGTCTTCTCTTCTAGAAGGCAGGCACCCTCAATATTGAAGAGTGATTTTCCAGGCATCCCCTCATCTCACTTGGTTCTGATGAAAACAATGTTCCTTTTGTCCTCTCTCTCAGGAGTTTCCCCAGAGGGATAGCGTTGGTAGGTAGATTGTGTAGCTCCTTAGTTAGCTGCCTGGGAGGGTTTAGCTCCAGTCATGGGCAGCTTACAGGATAATTAGCCCTTTTTGTTTTGAGCTATGGGTCTTAAGTGTATATCAGAATACTGGGAAAAGTCTCATTTTATATTATATGTGATGTGTATATTTCTTCCAGAAATTTGGATAAAAGAGTATATAAATATAAATAAATCTATATTTTTTATCAATGCCAGAAGAAGCAGATATTCAAAATGTTATGGGAGAAGTGGGTTATATCTTTAGTGCAGATAAGGGTAAGCAGTATTATTATTAACTCTGTGAATCAGACCTTTAGGCCTCCCACTTCTGGTGGCATCAATTGTGAGATTTGCACTAACCAGCAGATAAAAAAGTCAAGGTCATGTAGGAAATCAATCAGGTAAGGCCTTAGAGAAAGGGTAGAGTACTTGACTTCACCATCAGATGGTAGACTCCAAATTTATTTAGGTTACTTTGAGGGAATTTGAAGAAGAGAACAGAAAATGAGGTAATTAAGGAGGGCCCTAATCCCTTTGGTTAGAAATGAACAATTACAGTAAATCTTTGGCTTCAGGCATCATTGGTAATGACAGGTGATATTCCCCAAGAGGCACAATTATTACCTTTTTTCAGTTAATAAACCTCCTTTCATTTTTCCTATTCTATTTTATTTGGATTGAATCTTTCAGAGCAATGATGTGCTTCTTTACAGTCCTAAACAGAGTCTACTGATCACATCACACTCTCCTTAATTGTTCAAGGGTAATTATTACAAATCCTAGTTGGTGTTCAAGAATTTAATACAGAGACACACTCAAAAGTAATTTGACATGAGTAGGCTCTTTGCCCCAGAGACTAAACAACCCTCAAATTGACTGTCTTTTGTATTTATTTGTTTGTTAGAGACTTTTCAAAATTTTACTTATGAGCAGTCGAGGGACTCTTCTCACTGCTGCATACTGCCCACCAGAAGTCTTTATCATCTGGTGTTCCTGGTCTTTGGGCTTGGAAACCAGATAACCATGTTCATTTGAACTACATGAAAACCAATAGTAAATAAGTTATGAGAGTAGGTCTGAGCAGATCTCCAAGAAACAAAGTACATGATCTTCAACACATGTGACATTGGGATTTGCTGCTCAAGGACCTTTTGTGGTTATGTCTTGGTTCTTGGCTGTGTTTGAGATGGGCGAGATTACCAGAAACCTGAGTTCCAAATACATAATGTTTAACCATAGTTTCTAAGTAGAAAGTAAAGCATTATGGAGGAGGCGTTGATTCTCATATTACTGGGTCATTATTTCAATAAAAATCTATTAAGAGATGAAAATAGTTGGTGCTTCTTTGAAAATGCCTTAATGTTACCAAGGAGTCAGTTACTCACTTACCTGGCCCATATTTTGAAATTAATTCCTAAAGCTATTTATACTACTCAAGCTGTCCCTAGAGCCTCTCTTTAAAGGATGCTATTTCCAGCATGAGCTCAGTCGTTCAGGGCAGTATCCTGGGGTTTTCAGTTCAAAAAATCAAATTAGTGCAGCTGGGCCGATTACCAAAAGCCATTAGAAGACTTTGGTTCCCTTTTTAACAGCTCCCTCCTCTCCTGCACTCCTCCTGCCTTGGAAGCTCAGATGTTCAGCATGAGAGCCTTTTTTTCTGAATTGCTTTTGGCACAGACTGCAGGCGGGCAAGCATGCAGTTAGAAGATTGTCCAAAATCACAGTTATATGACAACATTGATCTTGGCTCCAAAAGTCAAATGGAGAATTCCATTTCGGCACAAGACCTTTTCTTCTAACCCATGTCAAGGATACTCATTTATTTTTCAAGGCTTTTGATAACCTCATATCAATGTTAAAATGTGGATCCCAACATAATTTTTAAAGGATTGTGAAAGTCTTTATTAATTATATTTTTAGATTTCTTAAGAATTATTTTCTTTCTAGGTTTGTTATGACTGAATTATGTCTCCCCCACCCCAAATTTATATGTTGAAGTCCTAACTCTCAGAACCTCAGAATGTGATAGTATTTAGAGATAAGGTCTTTATAGGAATAATTAGGTGAAAATGAGATCATTAAGATGGCCCTTAATTCAATATAACTGGTGTCCTTACAAGAAAAAGAGATTAGGACAGACACAGAGAAAAGACTAAGTGAAGACACAGTGAGAAGGTTGCCATCTACAAGCCTAGGAGAGAGGCCTCAGATGGAACCAACTTGCTGACACCTTGATCTTGGACTTTCAGCCTCCAGAACTGTGAGAAAATAAATTTCCTTCATTTAAGCTCCCCAGTCTGTGATACTTTGTAATGGCAGCCCTAGAAGACTAAGGCAAGGTTTCACTGGCTGAAAATCCACATTATAAACCAAAGAGGTACAAGAAAACTCATAACCATATACAGGAACAATGGTACCATGGGACGTATTGAATTAAATTTGGAGAGCATCTTTTTGCTCTGTAACTAGACCTGTTTATATATCTGCTATGTGTATAATTTGGAGCCACCTATGACTGGTCTCCAATAAATAGCTGCTATTTGAACACTGGTATTCTTTGTCCTATTCCAAACAGGAAACATCTTTCTCACTCTGAACATTTTTCTCATCTTTTAGAGCAAATGAGCTCTTTTGAATTCCAAGCTCCGTGTCCTTAGTGAGTCCTCCACAGTCTGTGCATCAGCAGAGCTAACACTTTCCCTCTCTAATATCAGCTAATTAGCCTCTCTGCCTGCCACCTCCTGTGCCCTTTATTCTTCTATCAAAAGGAGAGACCCTCCTGCAAGACATACACAGAGGCAGGTGCTGCTTTTCAATCCCTTGTGGTTTACCTCCTTTACTGGCCTTACCTT
Organism: Homo sapiens; assembly: GCF_000001405.40. Lineage (NCBI taxonomy): Eukaryota > Metazoa > Chordata > Mammalia > Primates > Hominidae > Homo > Homo sapiens. Next base: position 57,687,748 of record NC_000014.9, read on the forward strand.
AGTCTACCAGGAACTAATGAGCTATTAGTGATAGATTCCTTTATTTGCAAAAAGAAAAACATTCATCAATGTCCTAAAATGTAATTTCTGAAGAATATAAACAAGAGAACTCTAATTTGAGAAAAAAATGTTTTCAACATATATGAAGACTGAAGCAGCTGCGCATTCAGGTTAAAATTGTGGTACTGGAAGATGAATTGTCACACTGCAAGATTGTAGAATCATCAATATGGACTTGCTTCCAGAGAGGGATAGTTCTCAATTCCAGTGCACACTAGACTCTCCTGAGGAATGTTTAGAGAATTCTGATAGATATCATTTATAAAGAGCCTGAATTAATTAGTGTGGAGTAAAGCCCATTCTTTGGTATTTCAAAAATTGACCAGGAATTAAAAGGATGGGTTACTAATGAGGAAAAGAGAGAAAGAAAGCAAAAAAGAGAGAGACAGAGGTCATGAGAGAGACAGACAGAGACTGAGAGATAGAGGAAAAAAAAAGGTATTGGTTAATTTTTTGTTCCTGACTACTACGTACAGACATGTGGGACCTAATGTTTCCTTTGCAAGTAAAATTTGGGATAAATTAGGTTTGATTGCAGCTAAGAGCATATTAAGACCTTGGAAAAACAACTCAAATTGTTGCATGGCAGAATGGATGTTATCTTTAACTATGGCATCACCATAAGACAGCTTTATAAATTACAGGGTACGATGGATTATTTTGATGAGATTATGGGTTCTTTATATTGCTTACTCAGACAGGGATAATAACAGAATACAACCACATATGTTTATAGTTTCTGTTGGAAAAGACCTTCAAGATGATCTGGATGAAATGAACAATGATCGCATCTCCACGGTATGTTTTCTTTATAATGAAGTTGGTACCATCTCTTAATCTGAGCAACCATATTTAGACATCAAGGTGAGAACAATTCTATCTAGATGTAACCAGTGGTCTACTATCTAACTGCAGTCAAGCTTTCCCTGCTATTCTTCCTACTGGCTCATACTCATTTGTTGATCTTGTGTTCCTTAAGTGACAAATGCTTGAAAATTCAAGCAGAATTGTGCATTATTACAAAGGGCTCCTCATTATTTACCATTGTAAATTAATTTCTGTCATTTACAATTCTAATAGGCAATTAACCTGGTTAAAACAGTGCTGTGGCAGTATGATGGTTAGTACTAGAGAAAATAACCATGCTTGGGGAAGTTGCCTAAGATGATGTCAAAGTTACTGTGTACCTATTATTTGTTAGGCAACTGCAATAAGAAATCTCTTTATAAAGATATTAAATAAAAACACATCATCAAGAAAACCATGGTTTTTCTCTATCCTCTCTTTCTCCACTGAAATATCCTATAAGTGCTTCAAATTCAGCATTCCACAAAATGAACTAACTTCTCCTCACTCGAAAATATGTTGGCTTTTCCTATATTGTTGACCTCAGTTAACAGCATCCTCCTCCAATTGAATTAGTAAGCCTCATTCCACCCTCAACTCGTCTCTGTCTTACCCCCAGGCCATTCACCCTGTCCTGCCAAGTTGACCTCCTAATTTCTTCTGGAGTCTATCCCACCTTTTAGCTCATTGTTACTGGCTTAATTCAAGTCCACACCATTACCTAGAGAATTCCAAGAGTCGCCCAAGAAAGAGCCATCTCAAATGCTAAACTGCTTTTAGGAATGAGGCAGCTATTCAAATAGCAACAAACAACAGAGCAGGAAGAACAAAAAAACCCTGCTCCCGGTCTCACTGTCCACCACCACCCTAGAAGCCATTTTCTATAACAATAGAGGTGTTTTTTGAAAATAAAAATTGAATATATCATTCCTTTGCTTAAGAATTTTCAATGGCTACCTATTGCTTTAAAGACTATCACAGGGACAAAAAACCAAACACTGCATGTTCTCACTCATTGGTGGGAATTGAACAATGAGAACACTTGGACACAGGAAGGGGAACATCACACACCGGGGCCTGTTGTGGGGTCGGGGGAGGGGGGAGGGATAGCATTAGGAGATATATCTAATGTAAATGACGAGTTAATGGGTGCGGCACACCAATATGGCACACGTATACATATGTAACAAACCTGCACGTTGTGCACAGGTACCCTAAAACTTAAAGTATAATAAAAAATAAAAATAAAAAAAAATAAAGATACAGCTCAAATTTTGTTTTAGCATGTAACCACTTTGTCTTTGCCTAAACTAAATGAGTTCATTTTCTTTTCCTCGAACAAATCATGCTTTCTGCCACCTCTAAATCTTTGCACACTCTCTCTTTCTAGAATGTTCTTTCATACTTTCATCTCTACTTCTAAACTCCTTCTATACTTCAACTTTTAAGCCTAAAATCACATATAACCAATTGACCAAGTCAGCATCTCATGGAATGAGTTAGCTACTCCTTCCTGTCAATGGCCCTAACACTTTTTACAAATCCCCATTATAAGCTGTTTATTTGGCAAAAACTATTGAGCACCTACTGTGTGCTAGGTACTACGAATACAGTAGCAAATAAGAAAGGTAAGGTCTATGTTCTCATGGCACTATTATAGTGGGGAGAGATAGTTAATAAATAAGCAAAAAGAGCACTACCTTTGGTGAAGTAGGACAAAAATTCAACTGGGCTAGATTGAAGAGAGAATAGATAAGGAAGTGGAGACAGCTTAGCAGATTTTGAGATTTTCATGTTTTTCTTGTCTTCTATACCAGCAGTCCCCAATCTTTTTGGCACCAAGGACTGGTTTCATGAAAGACAATTTTTCCATGGATGTAGGGGAAAGGGGTGGTGATGAGGGATGGTTTGGGATGATTCAAGCACATTACATTTATTGTGTACTTTATTTCGCTTATTACACTGTAATATACAAAAAATATAATTATACGACTCACCATAACGCAGAATCAGTAGGAGCCCTGAGCTTGCTTTCCTGCAACTAGATGGTCCCATCTGGGGGTAATGGGAGACACTGACAGATCAGTCACTAGATTCTCATAAGGAGTACACAATCTAGATCCCTGGCATGCACGGTTCACAATACGGTTCATGCTCCTGTGAGATTCTAATGCCACTACTGATCTGACAGGAGGTGGAGCTCAGGCAATAATGCAAGCAATGAGGACAGCTCTAAATACAGATGAAGCTTGGCTTGCTTGCCCGCTGCTCACCTCCTGCTGTGCAGCCCAGTACCTAACAGTATTGGTACGTAACAGTCTAGAGCAGGGGTCCCCAACCCTGGGTACCATGGTATCGGTTTGTGGCCTGGGGATTGGTGACCCTTGCCCTAGACTGTGACCTACAAAACATGAAGTAATGACATCTGATTTATTAATGTAAATGAGGTCATGGCACAGTGTATGGCTTGTAAGAAGTAATCAACAAATGTTGGATAAAGAAAAAAAGAAAGAAAGGGAGAGAGGGTGGGAGGGGAGGAAATGAAAAGGTGAAACCTCATGCTCACTTTCTGCCAACCAGCTTTTGGGTAACATAGCAAACCAACGGCAGAAAGATGAAATGCTAGTTAACATATCACACACTATAATGGACTGAAACCTAACTTCTTTTTATACATTGAAGGTCAAAGGAAACTGCAGTCTGCAACCAAGGACAGAAGTTCAAGGGTAGTAAAGGATTTTATACATGTTATAAAATTATATCCAAAACTGGTATCAGGGCACATATAATGGTGGACGTGCTATTTAAGAAAATTAAGAACAGAAGTGTTGTCTATAATACTAGCATGTGAATAAATCAACAGAATAACTGAAGCTTATACTGGCTATGCAAAAGTAATATTAATTATAGTCATTTATGTGAACTTCTGACCTTTTATGTTTAATTATCTTGCAGCAAAATAATTTTTATGTATATAACATTACATTTCAAAGATGATATTTGTTTATTATGTTTTTCAACTAATATTTATTTAGTGACTGCCATTTAAAGATATTCAGCTGGGCTCTATTAGGGGATATGAAAAAGCTCAGAAAAGAAGGCCCTTCTCTTAAAAAGCTACACTCTAATAGGAGAGACGAGATACTTATATAACATGATAGCAAATGTGACAGACTTAGATGAACAATGCTACGGGGGTGGAGGGCCTTACAAAGGAGGTCTCAGTGAGATCAATCTTGCAGGATGTGATAGAAGAGGGTGAGGAGAGAAGACATTCCAGAGTGAACAAAGTTCAGATGTGGAACACGATAGTGTGTGTCCAGGAAGCTGGAGAATATAGTCTGATAGAAAACTGTAACATGCAAAAAGGTGAAATAGGAGGTAAGACTGGAAAACTAGATTGTGATGAGATCATGATAGCCAAGTAGAAAACTTACATGTTGTTCACTTCCATATAAAAATTTCCAGAAAATGTTCAACAGACTATATTTGAAATTCTCTATATTGCATCCAATAGGTTTTCTTATTCCCAATCGAAGCTCCTAGTACGACGAAGTTCTACCGTGGAAGGACTTTTCTAACGTACAGCTCATTTGTGGTAAATCCATTGTTTTCACTCAGTAAAGGGCCAACTAGCCCTTTGTTGGTCTCAATGTCGAATTGCTATTAACTTGTGTTATATATGGATGGTGGTACCCCTTTAAAATGGTCATATATTTATTTCTATAGCTAATAGTCTATTGATTTTTAATTTATAATCATTTTATCTTCCAGCAGAGGTTTTGAGACAGTTTATCACTTATTGTTTGGAAAATCAGTCTTGTTTGTCAATAATTGATTTTAGTTCACCACTTAATCTGACGAAGTTCCCTGCTCTAAGGAATTAAATAACATTTTCTTTCTATTTCAAGAGATTCCCTGGCACTCTCCTGTGGTGCTATTGTGGATGGCACTTAAATTTTTAAATTTTCTGCTTATTGCTGATACGGAATTACAATTACCTAATTGTATATTTCTAACACAGTAGCCTTGATAAATTCTCATGTTAATCTGTAGTGAGGGATCAGCTTCTTTTTGTTCATACCTGACCACCAAGAAGGAGATACAATTTAACTGAAAAACCCTTACTTATAATCCACAAGGCTAAGTAACAGGCCTGTAGTATACAGCAGCTACTCATTTTTCCATATTATTTGTGTGCAAATCTCTACCTACAGGTGGAGCTAGTGTCCTAAAAAGTCACTGAAATGTACACAAGTCCATTTAGATCAGTGCTTCCAGAAGTATCCATCACCTACACAACTGTATCACACAATTTTTATAAATACCTATTTGAATACTCTAAACATGACAAAAATTAAAAAATCCCATATGTTTCATTATTCCAGTAACTATTTTATTAATTAAAACTTTTTTCAACAGTAAGTATGAGAGCCCGTTTTGATTCTTAAAGAGCAGATTATTTCAAGAAAACAAATACAGGCAGTTCTACAGTACTTTCTTTTTCTATTCAATTCATTTTACAATGTGTATACTTCTCTGTAAAGAGCTAAATTTACCAAATGAGTAGGGCACTAAGACAACATTTATGTAAGGTCAGTATTTTCCAACAATAAAATATTATTTGTTGTTGGTAATAGGCCCCCAAAATCTGGCCATAAATTGGCCCCAAAACTGGCCATATACAAAATCTCTACAGCACTGTGACATGTTCGTGATGGCCATGACGCCCACACTGGAAGGTTGTGGGTTTACCGGAATGAGGGCAGGAACACCTGGCCCACCCAGGGCAGAAAACTGCTTAAAGGCATTCCTGAACCACAAACAACAGCATGAGCGATCTGTGCCTTAAGGACAAGCTCCTGCTGCAGATAACTAGCCAGAGCCCATCCCTTTATTTTGGCCCATCCCTTTGTTTCCTGTAAGGAATACTTTAAGTTAATCTATAATCTATAGAAACAATGCTTATCACTGGCTTGCTGTCAATAAATACGTGGGCAAATCTCTGTTTGAGGCTCTCAGCTCTGAAGGCTGTGAGACCCCTGATTTCCCACTCCACACCTCTATATTTCTGTGTGTGTGTCTTTAATTCCTCTAGCACCACTGAGTTAGGGTCTCCCCGACTGAGCTGGTCTCGGCAATTTGTCCCCTAACTTTTTTTTTGCTTAATCTGTGTAGGTTCTATGCCCACACAGCACAGGTGGTTAGATCCCCAATCAGAATTTGAGCACGTATCAGACGAATATATTTTCCCAAGAATTCTAAATCTGGTATATTTATGATGCTTGAACCTAGTGTCAAACTTCAGAGATGAAAAAATTTCACCCAGTTCAACTCCTTCATTTACTAAAATTCCTTTAGAAAACAGTAAATTATAACATGGATTTAGAAAAGTAAACGAACTGAAGACACAGAATTCAATCATTTGTAACATAGTCAACAGCATGTAACCCCTTCCCATGTCAAGAAATAGAACATTGGGAGTACCTGAGATGATCTCTTCATACCCTCTTGAAATCCTACCTCTACCTCCAAGTATAATTGCATCTTTGGCATTCTTCATGGATTGACCACCAAAGAATGGATCCTTAAACTCTATTGACTAGCTTTGCTTCGTTGTTTTCAACATTCAAATAGGTACTTATCATTGTTTTCAATATTTAAATAATCAAATAGGTATTTATCAAAAATTGTGTGATACAGTTGTACATCCTTTACATAAACAGGATCAGATATCACTTTTTGTGTGCCTTGCTTTTTTCATTTTACATAATGTTTGTGAGACTCATAGAAACATTTTCTGTAGCTCTAATGTACTCATTTTTATTGCAGAATATTATTCCCTTGTATGACTATATCACAGTTAGTTACATATTTTCATGTTAATAGAAACAGTTTTTCCAGCTTGTAACTATTTGAACTAATGTTGAGAGTTTGATAGATATTTCACAGAATCTATCCCTCAGTTTGGGGAAAACTGACATCTCCACACTACTGAATTTTCCAATCTGTGAACATAGCATATCTCTCCATTTATTTCTGTCTTGTATTTCTGTCTTGTCTCTCGATAATATTTTACAGTTTTCTGTATAGAGGTCTTATACATAATTTGTCAGATTTATTCTTATTTGATTTTTGATGCTATTGTAGATGGCATTTCAATTTTTAAACTTTCTGTTTATTGCTGATTTAGAATTACAATTACCTAATTGTATATTTCTAATATAGTAGCCTTGATAAATTCTCATATTAATTTAAAACTCCTCTGTAAGTTCTTTTGGATTTTCTATGTACAAAATAATATCATGTGTAAATAATGAGGATTATTTATACATCCCTTCTTTACACGTTATACAAAGATTAATTCAAGATGGATTAAAGACTTAAATGTTAGACCTAAAACCATAAAAACCCTAGAAGAAAACCTAGGCAATACCATTCAGGACACAGGCATGGGCAAGGACTTCATGTCTAAAACACCAAAAGCAATGGCAACAAAAGCCAAAATTGACAAATGGGATCTAATTAAACTAAAGAGCTTCTGCACAGCAAAAGAAACTATCATCAGAATCAACTGGCAACCTACAGAATGGGAGAAAATTTTTGCAACCTACTCATCTGACAAACGGCTAATATCCAGAATCTACAATGAACTCAAACAAATTTACAAGAAAAAAACAAACAACCCCATCAAAAAGTGGGCGAAGCACATGAACAGACACTTCTCAAAAGAAGACATTTATGCAGCCAAAAAACACATGAAAAAACGCTCATCATCACTGGCCATCAGAGAAATGCAAATCAAAACCACAATGAGATACCATCTCACACCAGTTAGAATGGCAATCATTAAAAAGTCAGGAAACAACAGGTGCTGGAGAGGATGTGGAGAAATAGGAACACTTTTACACTGTTGGTGGGACTGTAAACTAGTTCAACCATTGTGGAAGTCAGTGTGGCGATTCCTCAGGGATCTAGAACTAGAAATACCATTTGACCCAGCCATCCCATTACTGGGTATATACCTAAGGGATTATAAATCATGCTGCTATAAAGACACATGCACACGCATGTTTATAACAGCACTACTCACAATAGCAAAGACTTGGAACCAACCTAAATATCCAACAATGATAGACTGGATTAAGAAAATGTGGCACATATACACCATGAAATACTATGCAGCCATAAAAAATTATGAGTTCATGTCCTTTGTAGGGACATGGATGAAACTGGAGACTTTTATATTATTATTTTCTAATAAAATACAAAAATTAACTCAGGATGGATTAAAGACTTAAATGTAAAACCTAAAGCCAGAAAAACCCTAGAAGAAAACCTAGGCAATACCATTCAGGACATAGGCATGGGCAAAGACTTCATGACTAAAACACCAAAAGCAATGGCAACAAAAGCCAAAATTGACAAATGGGATCTAATTAAACTAAAGAGTTTCTGCACAGCAAAAGAAACTATCAGAGTGAACAGGCAACCTACAGAATGGGAGAAAATTTTTGCAATCTATCCTTCTGACAAAGGGCTAGTATCCAGAATTTACAAGGAACTTAAACAAATTTATAAGAAAAAAACAAACTCATCAAACAGTTTGAGAACAGACACTTCTCAAAAGAAGGCATTTACGCAGCCAACAAACATGAAAAAAAGCTCATCATCACTGGTCATTAGAGAAACACAAATCTAAACCACAATGAGATACCATCTCACACCAGTTAGAATGGCAATCATTAAAAAGTTGGGAAACAACAGATGCTGGCGAGGATGTGGAGAAATAGGAATGGTTTTACACTGTTGGTGGGACTGTAAATTAGTTCAACCATTGTGGAAGACAGTGTGGTAATTCCTCAAGATCTAGAACAAGAAATACCATTTGACCCAGCAAGCCCATTACTGGGCATATACCCAAAGGATTATAAATCATTCTACTATAAAGACACATGCACATGTATGTTTACTGCAGCACGATTTACAATAGCAAAGACTTGGAACCAACTCAAATGCCCATCAATGATAGACTGGATAAAGAAAATGTGGCATATATACACCATGGAATATTATGCAGCTGTAAAAAAGGATGAGTTCATGTGTCCTTTGCAGGGACATGGATGACGCTGGAAACCATCATACTCAGCAAACTAACACAGGAACAGAAAACCAAACACTGCATGTTCTCACTCATAAGTGGGAACTGAACAATGAGAACACATGGGCACAGGGAGGGGAACATCACACACCGGGGCCTGTCCGGGGTTGTGGGGGAAAGGGGAGGGAGAGCATTAGGACAAATACTTAATGCATGTAGGACTTAAACCCTAGATGACGGGTTGATAGGTGCAGCAAACTACCATGGCACGTGTATACCTATGTAACAAACCTGCACGTTCTGCTCATGTATCCCAGAACTTTAAGTAAAATTTTTAAAAATATATTTTATTATGTAAATTGCTCTCTAAGCAGGTTTTAGATTCATCCTACAAATTTTGATATGTTGTATTTTTATTTTCATTCCATGCAAAATATTTCTAATTTCTCTTATGACTTTCTCTTTGATACATTGGTCATTTGCAAGTGTGCTATATAATTCTAAATATTTAGGGATTTTTCAAATGTCTTTTTGTTATTTCTATTTTAACTAACTTATGGTCAAAGAGCATAATTAGCATAATTTTAAACAAATTTTTAAAATGTATTAAGGTTGGTTTAATGGCCCTGAATATGATTATTATAGAACATTTAGAAAATCCATGGCCAGGCACAGTTGCTCATGCTTGTAATCTCAGCACTTTGGGAGGCCGAGGCGGGCAGATTGCTTTGAGCTCAGGAGTTCGAGACAAACCTGGGCAACATGGCAAAACCCCATCTCTACAAAAAATACAAAAATTAGCCAAGCATGGTGACATGCATCTCTAGTCCCAGCTACTTGGAAGGCTGAGGCTGGAGAATCGCTTGAGCCCAGGAAGCAGAGGTTGCAGTGAACTGTGATTGTGCCACTGCATGCCAACCTGGGTGACAGAGTGAGACCCTGTTTAAAAAAAAAAAAAAAGAAAGAAAATTCATGTAAGTAAAAATATTTGTTAAATTCCATTGCCAGAATAAGTTAACAGTCTGACATTTCCTTTTTATTCTTTTCACTATACTCCTATACAGACATACATGTGTATGGGTGTATACATATAGACATACACAATCACAAATGGAGAATCATACTGTACAATTACTTTGTAATCTACTTTTTGTCTGTAAGGTAGAATAAATGAGTGCTTAAGACATGAGGTCTGAAACAACACTGCCTGGGTCCAAATCCAGATTTCACCATTTACCGGCTACATGATTTGGGGCAAGGTTCTTAAATTGTTTGTGCTTCAGTTCTTCACATGTAAAATGGGGATAATAATAACAGCACCTATCTCATAGAGATTCTTAAGAGAATTGAGTTAATATAAACTACTTAGAACAGCACCAGACATCTTCTTAGATTATGTAAGTATCTACTAGTTTCTATGATTGCTTTCCCCTATCATGGCTGCAGTGTAAGGATATATCATAATTTATTTAGATCATACCCTGGTAATGAGCATTTAGATTACTTTCAGTATTTGCTATTACAAACTCACTGTGATAAAGATCCTTGTTAGGGCACACTTACGATTATATTCTCCCTTAGGATGAATTCATACAAGTGCAATTGCTATTTTGAAGAATGGACCTATTTTGAAAGGTTCTTAATGCTTTTGCCCAAGTCCCCAGAGAAGGTTTTTGGTTTTGTTTTTTAATTCATTTACCAACTCACCACTATACAACAAAGTGTGAAAACATATCATTTTAGAAAGCATTTTTCAAAGTCTTCCAAGATACATACTTCTTGAGGTTCAAGCAGATAATGGAATTGGAACACAAATTAATAGGTTAAGTTTCAAAGAGCTACCCTGAGAAAGAATTGTATTCCAGCACCACATAGCTAAACATGTCACTTTTTTTTTTTTTTCAATGGAGTCTTGCTCTGTTGCTCAGGCTGGAGTGCAGTGGCATGATCTCGGCTCACTGCGACCTCTACCTCCCAGGTTCAAGTGATTCTCCTGCCTCAGCCTCTAAAGTAGCTGGGACCACAGGTGCCTGACTAATTTTTGTATTTTTAGTAGAGAAGGGGTTTCGCCATGTTGGCCAGGCTGGTCTCAAACTCCTGACCTCAGGAGATCCACGCACCTCGGCCTTCCAAAGTGCTGGTATTACAGGTGTGAGACACCATGCCTGGCCATGAACATGTTACTTTTATAAATGAATCCCAGAAGGATGACAGCAGATGCCAACCAAAAAAGGAGAATTTGCTGTTTCATTGAGCAAATCTGGAAAATCAATGAACTGATTAAGGGAAATTGTATTAAGGCACTTATAGCTCTTTTAAGTAAGATGTAAGTCTGCCTTCTGTAGGAATAGACCATATAGACATTTTATGAAATGAAAATGTTTAATAGCATATAGAATACACAGAAAGAAATTTTATAAAGAAGAATGTTGTTTCCAATCATGACTATTTAGCTCTCTGATTTGATAGAGAAGTGCACTTCATACAAAAGAACAAAAAAATAGAGGATTTGGGGACAATATCTTTCACGTTATAGTACTGAAATCTTTAATGCCAATGTTTAGGAAGGTGATGAATATGTCATGAAGAGGCCCCCAAGCTTTTATTTTAACACTTTTTCAGATTAGACCCCATTTCCCCACGTGAATAGCAAATGTTCAAGAGAACTCTGCTCAGCAAGTAAATACAACCAAACCCAAGAATCCCTTACGTGCAAGAATTTCTTGTCACCAGGAAGTGTGGCTCATGAAACCAGGCCAGACATTCTCACTTATTAAGCCAGGCCTCAAAGGTAAGCAGCATGAGGCTTTCTTCTTTCAAATCAAGATTTTCCATAGGATAAATTTAATCACACCAAATGTGCAATCTCTCCAGGGAAGCCATCTTACCTTAAGAAAACTACAGCAAAACAAAAAGGCACCCCTCTTTTGGGGGAAAGAATTGAAGAAATTCTATTTCCTTATAGTAAACAAGCCAACTAATAGGGAACAAACTGATCTACTTTAAGGACACATAGACCCAGGGAACTAGAAAAATGAGGTCCATATAAATTTATTCATTTAAAAAGTCTCTAAAAGGAATTACAATTTCTTCTAAAATACAAATTCCAAGATTAACTTTCCTTTGAGTTGAGAGTCCATGGGATTTTTGTGCAAAATTTAAGGTCTAATTGCACAGGATAACTGATTTACTACAGTAGTCTTCCCTTATCTGCAGGAGATACATTCCAGGATCACCAGTGGATGTCTGAAACCACAAATAGTACTGAACCCTATAGGTACTATATTTTTTCCTATACAATCTTAAGTTGCTTAATGATGAGGATACTTTCTAAGAAATGCATTGTTAGGTGATTTTGTCATTGTGTCAACATCGTAGAGTGTACTTATACAAATCCAGATGTATAGCCTACTACATACCTAGGCTATATGGTATAACCTGTTGCTCCTAGCATACAAACCCCTACAGCATGTTACCGTACTGAATACTATTTGCAGTTGTAACACACTGTTCAGTATTTATGTATCTAAACATTAAAAAGTACAGTATAAAAGACAGAAAATGGTACACCTGTATAGGGCACTTACGATGAAGGAAGTTTACAAGGAAGTTTACAAATTGCTCTAGGTCAGTGAGCAACTGGTAAGTGGATGTGAAGTCCTAGGACATTACTGTACACTACTGTAGATTTTATAAACACTGTACATTTAAGCTACTCTACATTTATATTTTAAAAATTCTTTCATTAATAATAACTTTAGTTTGTAACATTTTTTACTTTATAAATTTAAATTAAAAAATTTTTGACTCTTTTATAATGCTTAGCTTAAAACACACATTGTATACCTGTACAAAAACATTTTCAGGCCAGGCATGGTGGTTCATACCTGCAATCCCAGCACTTTGGGAGGCTGAGGCGGGTGGATTGCTTGAGTCCAGGGGTTCGAGACCAGGCCATGGGCAACATGGCAAAACTCCATCTCTACAAGAAATACAAAAATCTGACCAGGCATAGTGGTGTACACCTGTAGTCCTAGCTACTCAGGAGGCTGAGATGAGAGGATTACCTGAGCCTAGGGAGGCAGGTGCTGCAGTGAGCCAAGATCACATCATCGCACTTCAGCCTGGGTGACAGAGTGAGACCCTGTGTCAAACAAACAAAAAAGCCCCCCAAAAACAACAAAAAATTCTTTTTTATATCCTTATTCCATACTTTTTTTCTAGCTTAAATTTGGTTTTGTTTGCTGTCTTTTTTATGTACCTATAAAGACAGGGTCTCACTATGTTGCCCAGGTTGGTCTCAAACTCCTGGGTTCAAGCAGTACTCCCACTTTGGCCTCCCAAAGTGCTGGGATTATAGGCGTAAGCCACCATGCCTGGCCTATTTTTTTTTAACTTTTTACATTTTTGTTATTGTTGTTAAACACTAAGACACACACTTTAGTCTAGACCTACACAGGGTCAAAATCATCAATATCACTGTCTTCCACCTCCACTTCTTGTTCCACTGGAAGGTTATAAGAGCAATAACATGCATGGAGCTGTCATCTCCTATGATAACAATGCCTTCTTCTGAAATACCTCCTGAAAGACCTGCCTGAGGGTGTTTTACAGTTAAATTGTTTTCAAAAAATGAGTAAAAGTAGTACACTCTAAAACAATGATAAAAAGTATAGTTATAGTAAAAACATAAACTGTTAACACAGTCATTTATTATCATTATCAAGTATTATATACCATACATAATTGTATGTTATATTTTTATACAGCTGGCGGCATAGTAGGTTGATTTACACCAGCATCACCACAAACACATGAGTAATACATTGTGCCATGATGTCACTAAGCAATAGGAATTTTTCAGCTCCACTATAATTTCACGGGACCACTGTTGCGTATGTGGTCAGTCATTGACCTAAATGTCGTTACGTGGCACATGACTGTATAAACATACCTATGATAAAGTTTAATTTATAAATTAGGCACAATAAGAGATTAACAACAATAACTGATATGGAAGTCGAACAATTATAACAACCTACTATAATAAAAGTTATATGAATGCGATGCCTCTCACACTCAAAATATCTTACCGTATTGTACTTACCCATTCTTCAGACCTCAGCTGACCACAAATAACTGAAACTGTGAAAATAGAAATTGTGGATAATGGGGGACTACTGTATATTTTCAATATTCTAGGAATGGGAAGGAGACTAAATATGCAATAGTAATATGAAAGAGACAGCCATGAGAGACAAAGCTGTATCCATAAGTTTGATTAGAGGGTGGTCTGTTTGGAAAACAGGATGCTTCAAAGGCTACCACAAAGTTACAGGAAAACAAACTTCTGCAAAGGCATTTGACCAGCCACTGCCTGTCCCACCCTGGACTGGCATCACCCTTGTTACTCATCCTTGTAGCCAAAGATAATTATCTCAACACTGTGAAGTAATCCTCTTGTATTTTCCCCTTAAAAACCTTTGTCCTCCTTTACCCCCCTGAATACGCACAGTTTACTATGGCACACATATTCCCATTGTAATGCACTATGCCCAAATAAATATCATTTTCTTTAAAAAAAAAAAAAAAAAAAGGAAAACAGGGTGCTTAACTGAAAACTGATACCAAACCTGTGCCTGTTCTATTCATTGTACTTCCCTCTATTTTAAATAATATTCTGTTACAGTTGTGACTTGATATGTCCTTGCATATGACAGGTCATCATGTAAAAAATCCATTTAACTCTGGCATCTTTAATTTAGTTGAATAAAATATCTCATTCTACAAACTGGTAATGATAGTTTCTCAAAATGTTTGCTCTGTGCCTCTGTCATAAGGGTGAATATTAACAAAAACAGTGAAAAATATGTCAACTCCACCTCTAATTTAAACATCTGAAGACTAAGAGAGATTTCAAAACTGATTTGTTCTAGGCCAGCAAATTACAGCACCAGCAGCACACTTTCTCTTTCCAAAGTGCTTTTCCATTATTAATCACATTTTCTGCACGATGTTCCTTCCGTGAGCTGATTCAGTCTAATCCCCATTTTATGGATGAGTATATTTAGGCATATAAGGAGATGCTAATCTTCTGTAGGCTATAAAATAAAGGCAGTGGACAGTGGCCATAATCAACGAGGATAATAATTTTCTGAGTTCTGATCCTACATTTTCTGTGGGTTGTTGGGATACATTGTCTTTGTTTTTAAAAATACACACACATACACACATATTCTTTATATCAAGCTACAGTGTAGATTGATTTTGCACACATAAATATAAAATGAACCACCAGCTCTTCTGCTAAGCCAGATGGCACGGCAGAATAATAGGAAACTAGAACTTTAGAGTCAAGCAGACCAATTCAAGTCAGGTTTTTTGCCACCTACCAGCTATATAAACCTGAGTGCTATTTTCGTCCATCAACTTCATCTTCACAGACTGGTAGTGAGATAGAGCAAATGCAAGCAGAGTAACTGGCATGTAATACATGCTTGAATGTCTGTTCCCTCCATCCTTCCCCACATCATCAGAAAAATACAGTAGGTGGCAAATTAAATCAGTGTCCTTTACTACTTACCCTGGACAAATGACAATTTGCAAGTTTGCAGTGCATGGCTCTCAAATAGCACAGGGCAGGGCTAAGTTGGAATGTGCCATCCTCAAACATGCTGCTCCCAAGAGGCCAACAGACAAATGTGAGTAATCCCCTTGTCTTTGCCATCACCTACGCTGTCCAAAGGGCTAATGGTAGTGGCAACTGCCAACAAGTGGGCAGTGGTAGAGGTGAACCTTTATGAACAGGGCTAAGCCAATACCAGATTATTATTCCCCATACAATTAGGGGTCACAGCTGAGTACAGCAACCTCATCCTTAAGCACGTCTATTTCCCCTGGATGCTAAACTTGACATAATCAAGCTATTCTCATACTCTTTTGACTTACTAGCATTAGGCTCAAAAACTCCTCAGGAAATTATTTGTCATTCATTCTAAAGGGAATCACTCTAATAAGCTGAAAATATCCAGATAGCTTTTCAAATCACTTTTACACTGTTTCAATACTCTATTATTATACTTTATCAGCTTGAAAACAAGTGCCTTAAAGGGCGTAATTTTTTCCTAAAAAACAAAAACAAAAACCAGGCTGTATCCTGTTCTCTGGAAAATGAACCTCTGGGATGATGCAGTGAGCCACAGAACTCCAAAGACCCTTAGAATTCCCTGCTGGAATTTTCCACTACTGCCATCCCAGATCCAAAATCTAGAGCCTTGACCCCAAAGTATTTCTCTTCACCTTTTCTATAGCAAAGAACTATTTCTCTAGGCAGGACTTAGAACTAGAGAGTTCAAAACTATTTTATTTTGGTGTGAAGAAACATAGTCACCCAAAATTTTATTGCTTGACCTTGAGTAAGTGTTCTAACTTCTCAGGACTCCAAAGGGGTTGGAAGCAAGTTTGGCCTCTGTTAACCACCACTTTGTGGTTTCCTATGTGTAAAAGTCTGGTCGGACGGAAACCTCTGAACTAAGAGTTGGAAAGCTGGGGTTCTGGTCCTGGTTCTGATAATACCTGTGTGGGACCTGAACTTCTATGGTTTCAGTTTCTCCATTTATATAGTAAGTGTCAATGGCCAGATAGTAATTCTTGCCTTTAAACAAATTCTGATGAAAGCTGGACTGTCTTAGAAAAAAATGTTCATCGTTACAAAGATTGGCATAAAATGTTAGGAGCTGCTCCAGCCCCTTTGAGGACCCTATGGTTACTATACTGGACACTCTGACAAGATATGACATGATACCCACCCCCTGACAAGAAGGGCTATCTCCTGACACACTGGCCCCTGTTGCGGGAGACAAGGAAGAGTGGATTAAGGAGAAAGATGCATGAGAAGGCCAAGGTGAGATATAATGACTAGATCAGTAGCTAAGATATACTCTCCCTACACATAAATTTAGGCCTCTGTGCAAAGAAAGAGCTCGCTTCTGTGGCCCTGTGTGCATTTACACAGGAAGTCAACCAAAATGTCTCATTTACTGTTGATGTTATGTGCATGAGAGAGCCCCTGGCCTGTAATCACTCCTTTCCTAGCAATACTCAGGCAGAAGCTCACCCTGCATACAAATTGCCCATCAGGGCTTCTTGCAGCAGAGTGGAAGTCAGAAGTGCTCCTGAGTCAGTGGCTCTTTCCCAATTAGGGTTGGACAGCAGAGGCTGCTTACTAGCAATAGAATGTCACCAGGAGTACCTCAGTGCACAAAAAGAATTAGGATAAAGAATAATGTATAGTTCTGCATTGGCTACTAATTGCGCAATACTATATCCAGCTCATAAAATTGTTCTGAGAATCAAATGAATTAATATATGTTAAAAATTTTGAATAGTGGCTGGTACAAAGAGAGGACTAATAAATGCTAGCTAGTAAAATTACTGGAATTCAATCCAGCAGTAGGTTTTGAATCAAACCTACTGCAAATGGAATCAAAAAGATCTTATTTTACTCAATAATTGAACAAAAGGGCCAGAAGGTAGAATATATGGTAAGTCCTTAATTCATTTATTTAGAACAATACAAATAGCAATTCTAGTGCATACACAGTTATTATTACAAAATCTAGCACTAATTGTATACTTCCTGTGCTGGTTCTCTGTCTGACTCCACCTTACTCCACTTATTCTCTGCCCTTCTCTGCTCTACTCCGCATCCCAGAAAGCTGCCCTCCATTGACTCTTATGATATGGGCTTTCTAACTCTCTGACTTTTGACTAGGTCTAGACAAATGGAGGCACCAGCATGAGATGAAAGCAGGTATGTTCCTCCATGGCCAAAGCTCCTGTTGAGTAGCCCCACTTCCATGACCCCAGCTTGCTCAGGGTTTGGGTATCACTATTCTTTCCCTCTGCTTCTTGAGACCAATGGATGATGTCACTTTTCCACTGTGATTAGACTCTGAATGTTTCACCATCCCTTACTGGTCCTATTAACCCTGTACACACCTCTATATATAGTCCATAACACTTTTTAATTAAAGCCTTTGACTGCATCTGTTTCCTACTGGGAAACTAACATACTGTCATATTTTCTTATATAGATGTTTCCTCGAAGTTAGTTTTTTTTCTCCCTAACTAGAGGTTAGAAGAGTTGTCTTCAACTTTTCCCACTTCAAACAGAAAGAACAATGTGTTCAGGGTACATGCCTAGTGCTCCACTCAATCCTGTGTTTCCTCCAAAAGAAGGCACCTTTAACTAAAGAAAGCATCTCTAAAACTTGATGTGCCTACTGCAATGAGTCTTTGTGCTTCCTTAGCTGAGCTGTTCTAGATAATTGGATCAATCATTCTCCACTGTAACGTCAGCCTCAACAGAGTGCTTGAATCAACTGTGAACTGTGAATGATCGGTTACTAGTAATAACTATGCCTGCATATTACAGAGATTATGTCTGTGTCCATCTATGTAAAAAATTTAAGGCAGATTCAAGTTTTTGTCAAAAAATGACATCATTGTCCTAGATTGCAGTCTAGTCTTCTTAAAGTGAGAGGGAGAAACGGGTGGAATTGCCAATGGGACATCAAGAATTCTATAGGAAAAAGCTGAAAATGTAACTTCAAAAATTGGACATGTTTCTGAGACTGTCATATATTCACTTACTACAGGTTTATTGAAGGTGGCCATGTTGCAGGCCTGTGTCAAGCACAGAGGATACAGCAGTAAACAACACAGAAATGGTTTCTACCTTCAAGGATCATGCAGTGTGACTTAAGTTCATAAATATAAGGAATGTCATGAAGAAGAAATTCAGATGCTATTTGAGCATATAACAGGAGTCTCAACTTACCCTGGGTAGTCAAAGAAGGCTCTGTGAGGAAGCAAAGTTCAAGCAGAGCCCAGTAAGACTGGCATTTGGCCACATGAGTGGAGAAGGTGGAGTGGGCGAAAGAAAGCTGGAACAGCATGTACCACCAAGAGATGGGAAAGAAGATCATGTGTTCAAGGAGCTGAAATAGGCCACTGTGGCTATAGTAGAATGAATACAAGATGAGGCTGGAGAAGTGGGCCAGATAACGCAGGACTTTGCAACCAAGTCAAGAATGTGAATTTTCTCTTAAGGCCAATAGGAAGCTATTGAAGGGCTTTGAGAAGGAGAGAGTCATTACCAGATTCTGAAAAGATCTCTCTCTCTGGCTGCAATAGAAAGGTTAGATTAATGAAGGCAAGAATGGATGTGAGAAGACTGGTTTGGAAGCTGGTGTATTTAGTCCAGGCAAAAGATTATGTCAATTTGAACCAAGATGGAGAGAAGTATTTGGATTTAAAAGGTATTGGGAAAAAGAATCAGTAAAACTTTGAAACTGGGGGAATGTGGAGAATAAAGGAGAAGGTGTAGTTTTGATAACTCCCACTTATCTGATTTGGGTAGCTGGATGATGAAGATGTTACTTCCTGAGATAAGGTGACACAGAATAAAGACAGAGCTGCAAGCATGATAATGTGGTCTGGCTTTGTCCCCACCGAAATCTCATCTTGAATTGCAGTTCCCATAATCCCCACATATCATGGGAGGGACTTGGTGGGAAGAGATTGGATCACGGGGGCAGTTTCACCCATGCTGTTTTTATGATAGTGAGTGAGTTCTCATGAGATCTGATCGTTTTAAAAGCATCTGGCATTCCCCCTGCTTGCACTTCTCCCTGCTGCTACCTTGTGAAGAAAGTACCTTACTTCCCCTTCACGTTCTGCCATGATTGTAAATTTCCTGAGGCCTTCCCAGCCGTGAAGAACTATGAGTCAATGAAACCTCTTTCCTTTAGAAATTACCCAGTCTTGGGTATTTCTTCATAGCAGCATGAGAATGGACTAATACAATAAATTGGTACCGAGCTAGTGGGACATTGGTAGAAGATACCTGAGAATGTGGAAGAGACTTTGGAACTGGGTAATGGGCAGAGGTTGCAACAGTTTGGAGGACTCAGGAAAAGACAGGAAAATGTGGGAAAGCTTGGAACTTCCTAGAGATTTTGAAACTGCCTTTGCAAAATTATAACTGAGGAAATTATGACAGTGAAAGAAACCAGACCTAACTGATTCCATCTTGCTTCTAAACTTTAAGCTGTCCTTGTTCATTCCTTGGTGTAGGCCGAACTAACTTTAGGTAGGAATTCAGTTTATGGTTAGACTCTGAAACAAAGTTGATTAACAGCCCTTTCCCAAAAATACCCCCTTATTTCCTAGGGACCAGTCTGCCTCTGCAGGATTAACAAATTAGCCACAAGATTAGAAATTACAGTTTAGGGATCGTGTAGCCTCTGGCTCCAAGAGTCTGAACCTCCCCCACTTGCTCCTGGGGATAACATGACTATTGTAAAACCTAAGATCAGTGCTTGAGATATTTTGCAGACCCTGCACTTGATGGATCAGCTGATGCCACCCACACCAGTGATCTGGCTCAACCAGTTCTGCTATCCCAACCAGTAACAGAAGACAGCAAGAAAATTTCACTTTGACCCCCTATGATTCCATCTCAAACCTGACCAATCAGCACTCCCTACTTCCCAAGCCCCGACCCACCAAATTATCTTTAAAAACTCTGATCCCCAATTGCTCAGGGAGACTGATTTGAGTAATAATAAAACTCTGGTCTCCCACACAGCCGGCTCTGTGTGAATTACTCTTTCTCCTTTGTAATCCTGTCTTGATAAATCAGTTATGTCTAGGTAGCAGACAAGGTGAACCCATTGGACAGTTACAACTTGTTGAATGGTTTTGACCAAAATGCTGATAGTGATGTGGACAATGAAGTCCAGGCTGAGGTGTTCTCAGTTGCAGATGAGAAACTTGTTGGGAACTTGTAGGGTACAGCCCCACAGAGTCGGTAGGTTTTTCTCCCCATGTGCGGAGACGAGAGATTGTAGAAATAAAGACACAAGACAAAGAGATAAAAGAAAAGACAGCTGGGCCCAGGGGACCACTACCACCAAGACACGGAGACCAGTAGTGGTCCCGAATGCCATGCTGCGCTGATATTTATTGGATACAAGACAAATGGGTAGGGTAAAGAGTGTGAGCCATCTCCAATGATAGGTAAGGTCATGTGGGTCACGTGTCCACTGGACAGGGGGCCCTTCCCTGCCTGGCAGCTGAGGCAGAGAGAGAGAGGGAGAGAGAGAGAGACAGCTTACACCATTATTTCTGCATATCAGAGACTTTTAGTACTTTCACTAATTTGCCACTGTTATCTAAAAGGCAGAGCCAGGTGTATAGGATGGAACATGAAAGCGGACTAGGAGCGTGACCACTGAAGCACAGCATCACAGGGAGATGGTTAGGCCTCCAGATAACTGCGGGCAGGCCCAACTGATGGCAGGCCCTCCACAAGAGGTGGAGGAGTAGAGTCTTCTCTAGACTCCCCCAGGGAAAGGGAGACTCCCTTTCCTGGTCTGCTAAGTAGCAGGTGTTTTTCCTTGACACTGATGCTACCGCTAGACCATGGTCCACTTGGCAATGGGTGTCTTCCCAGATGCTGGCATTACCGCTAGACCAAGGAGCCCTCTGGTGGCACTGTCCAGGCATAACAGAAGGCTCGCACTCTTGTCTTCTGGTCACTTCTCACTATGTCCCCTCAGCTCCTATCTCTGTATGACCTGGTTTTTCCTAGGTTATGATTATAGAGCGAGGATTATTATAATATTGGAATAAAGAGTAATTGCTATAAACTAATGATTAATGATATTCATATATAATCATATCTATGATCTATATCTAGTATAACTATTCTTATTTTATATATTTTATTATACTGGAACAGCTCATGCCCTCGGTCTCTTGCCTCGGCACCTAGGTGGCTTGCCGCTCACAAAACTGGAATAAAGGTGCTCTTGCTATGCATTAGCAAAGAGACTGGCAACATTTTGCCCCTGCCCTAGAGATCTGTGAAACTTTGAACTTGAAAGAGATGATTAGATTTCTAAGGTATCTAAGGGTAAGATCTCTTAGATACCCTAAGGTATCTGGTAGAAGAAATTTCTAAGCAGTAAAGCATTCAGAGGTGACTTGAGTGCTCTTAAAAGCATTCAGTTTTATGCATTCACAAAGATATGGTTTGGAATGGGAACTTATGTTTTAAAGGGAAGCAGAACATAAATGTTTGGAGAATTTACAGCCTGATTATGCAATAGAAACGAAAAACCCATGTTCTGAGGAGAAATTCAACCTGGCTGCAGAAATGTGCATAAGTAACAAGGAGCCAAATGATAATCACCAAGACAATGGGGAAAATGTCTCCAGGGCATGTCAGAGACCTTTAGAGCAGGCCCTCCCATCACAGGCCCAGAGGCCTAGGAGGGAAAAATGGTTTCCTGGGCTGGGACTCCTGCTCTGTGCAGTCTCAAGACATGGTGTCCTGTGTCCCAGCTGCTTCAGCTCCAGCTATGGCTAAAAGGGGCCAAGGTACTGCTCAGGCCATTGCTTCAGAGGGTGCAAGCCCTAAGCCTTCACAGCTTTCACATGGTGTTGAGCCTGTTCGTGCACAGAAGTCAAGAATTGAGCTTTTGGAACCTCTGCCTAGATTTTAGAGGATGTATGAAAATGCCTGAACATCTAGGTAGAAGTTTGTTGCAGGGGTGGAGCCATCATGGAGAACTTCCGCTAGGGCAGTGCAGAAGAGAAATGTGGGGATGGAGCCCCCACACAGAGTCCCTACTAGGGCACTGCCTAGTAGAGCTGTGAGAAAAGGGCCAGCATCCTCCAGACCTCAGAATTGTAGATCCACTGACAACTTGCACCATGCACCTGGAAAAGCCACAGATACTCAAAGCAGTCTATAAAAGCAACCAGGATGGGGGCTGTACCCTGCAAAGACACAGGGGTGGAGCTGCCCAAGGCCATGGGAGTCGACCTCTTGCACCAGTATGACCTGGATGTGACATGGAATCAAAGGAGATCATTTTGGAACTTTAAGGTTTAATGACTGCCCTATTGAATTTTGGACTCACATGGGTCCTGTAAGCCCCTTAGTTTTGGCCAACTTCTCCTGCTTGGAATGGGGATATTTAACCAATTCCTGTAACCACATTTTATCTTGGAAGGAACTAACTTGTATTTTATTTTACCTGCTCATAGGTGGAAGGGACTTGCCTTGTCTCAGATGAGACTTTAAACTTGGACTTTTGAGTTAATGCTGGAATGAGTTAAGACTTCGGGGGACTGTTGGGAAGGCATGATTGTGTTTTGAAATGTGAGGATATGAGATTTGGGAGGGGCTAGAGTGGAATTATATGGTTTGGCTGTGTCCCCACCCAAATCTCATCTTGAATTTTAGTTCCCATAATCCGCACATATCATGGGAGGTACCCAGTGGGTAGTGATTGGATCATGGGGTGGTTTCCCCTGCTGTTCTCATGATAGTGAGTGAGTTCTCATGAGATGTGATGGTTTTATAAGCATCTGGCATTTCCTCTGCTTGCACTTCTCCCTGCTGCTACCTTGTGAAGAAGGCACCTTGCTTCCCCTTTGCCTTCCGCCATGATTGTAAGTTCCCTGAGGCCTTCCCAGCCAGGCAGAACTGTGAGTCAATTAAGCCTCTTTCCTTTATAAATTACCTAGTCTCGGGTATTTCTTCACAGCAGCGTGAGAATGGACTGATACACATGGGAACACTACCCATCAGGTTTAGAAGTAAAAAAAAGTGGTTATGACCGAGTTAAACTATGAGTTGAATCATATGAAATGGCCATTATGAGACCATTTTTTATGTACAATAATGGAAATTTAATTTGGCCCAACCTAATAGCAATAGCACTGGCACAAAAGCCTCTGTTCCAGAATTAACATACTGTTGAAAGAACCACCATTTGTTATGGTGCTCTATCAGACTTTCCTCAAGACTAGCTCAGGAATCTCTATAGTCACAGTCAATAATGAACCACAGAAAGAGGGTATAAGGGTCACATGTACACACATATACCAGAAAGCCAAATCAAGATATGATGAGGCACAGACTTATCAAACCGAAGCGCAGAAAATTAAGCTGCATGCAGCACTACTGTAAGATCAAACAAATCCAATGTACCCCAGAGCTATTTTAGAACTATTGGAAAACACTTATCCAATTAACTTACAGCCTTCAGTGAAGTGAGAGTTTAGAAACTGGTTCACTTATTTACCATAATGCCAGGAAAAGCAGGCAAGAAATGTACTGTGTCTGTTTCTAATTTTAAGTAAGAATCCAGGTTTCTCACTCTGTACATTACTTAGAGAAACAGGTACATAGCATGGCATATGGAGGTTTCATCCTAGATCTTGGATTATTGTCAATTGTCTCTACTATACATTGAAAGGTTGCAGCTCTTCTTTTATAAATGGAGTGCAAAAGGCTCCACAAAGGACAATAAGGTATATTAGCCAGGGTCTAGCATTCCTCATTGCACTTTTTGAGAGGAACATGCCACCTTCTCGGGCTGTGTTCTCTGCTACTGAATCCCTATTTATCTTGAAGCCAAATCACAACTGTAACATGAGGTGGCATCATTTGCCTACACAGTATGAGGTTGTTTTCACTGCACACAGCTTTATCCTGAAGGTCGTTTCAAATTAGTGATTCGTTTCACTTTGCTTCTATCTGGTTTTAGCACATAAGTCATGATTAACAGGGAAATATCCTGCTAGTGAAAGGTAAAATTGCATGTTTATAAGAGCCAAACCTAATACATTGGCTACTAGCTCAAGTTATTAGCCTAGAGTTTTTCAAGGTATTGACATTAACAAATTGGTATCTCACACGTAATATTTTCTATGTGAAGTCTCATTACCAGGTTTGTTTCAATGTAGCTGTTTTCTTCACTCCTTCTAACCCTGGGGGGAATTTATACCCCACAGTTAATTACCTTCTTCATTTACTTTCATTTCAGAACTGCTTAACAAATAGATTTTTAAAAGTAGAAAAGGAGTATTTTTGAATTTACATAACATTTGTTAGTTTCTCTCAAGAAAATAATGCATATTTATATTCCATAATTTTAAAAGAGCTTTTAAATGTCTGCCAAAAGTAAAAGAAGTTATTTATAATCCACTTAATGGGTGATGTAAACAATTTTAAAGATGTATCTGAGACTAGTTGGTCACAGTGAGTTAGAGCAGTAATTCCCCACCTTTGAGGAGTTTCAGTACCCGATTGTTCTTGGTTTGGTTTTATATTTTCTGCCACCTCCACGCTCTCAGAAATGGCATTTGCACATATTCATTTTATAAGTCATCTAAGTCAGAAACTTAAAAAAAATCCCGAATTTCTTTTCCATTATCCAACCCTCTTTCCAGATTAAATCAAGTCACCAAATTCTGCTCATTCTCCCAATTAAATGTTTCTAATCTCTCCACATTGCTCCATCCTCACAGCTACTACCTTGGTTTAAGTCTTATTATCTGTCACCTGAACAACTACCAGGGCTCCCCAACTCATTTCCCTGCTTTCAGTTATTTTTGCAGTTCAAGCAGTCCTACACAGTATGACAGCATGATCTTTCTAAAACACAGATCTGTTTCTTTCTTTCCCATTAAAACCCTTCATTGGCTCTCCCTTGCCCACAGAATAAAACTCAATGCCCTTGATGTGATGTGTTAGACCCTCCATCTGGTGGTTCTTTTCCTCTTTCTCCAGTTTTATTTCCCCTCCCCTATCCCATACCCCCTAGTTTAAGTACCAGCCATGACCAAGAATACACACTATGCTAGTTCACACCTTTACACCATCAAACATTTTATTCTCTCTACAGAGAAATTTTCTCTGCCAAATTAAGTTTTTCCCCCTTCAGTGCCAGAACAAAACTGGGTAAGTACTGTGTTTCTCTGTTTGCATTTACTACACTGTACAATAATTTTGTTTCCATAGCTGCTTTCCTTTGCAGAATACAAGAAGGGTAAGGAGGTTTTCTTATTCATTTTACCTTTGCCAGAGTCTAGCCTGGTATCTGACCTAGGGTACGTGCTCAATGAATGGACGGAGGGGGTGCCAAATGGAATGTGCTCAATTTTTTAAAAAATCAAATTAATGGACATGATTTTGCTGTAAGAATATTGGGAATTCCTTCAGACACATGAAGAAATCACAAAATGTTGTCCAATCTTCCATCGAACTGCTGTTGTTGTAGCCCTACCTCCCCCACCCCCCATGGGTCAGCTTCTTTCTGCTCAAAATACAGATAACCTACAATTTCTAACCACACAAATATTTCTGCAGATAATTGCTAGGCACAATGTGTTACCCAGAAAGCAAAAAATACTTAAAATACACCTAACACAGGGACAGTAGCAGCCTCTTTATATATGACATGACATTTATTGATACAAACTTAGCATGTGAAAGGAGAAATGCCTACTCAGAATCAAAGAGTATAAGAAAATCTTTCTTTATAGCAAAACCAACTTACTTTCTAAAAATCATTATTCTTTGACCCATTCCAAAACAAAGTTTCTCCATAATTGGTTAAGTCATAGACCTGACAATAATGCATCCACTCTTTAAGCCAGAAAATAGGAGAGTTTTGCCTCAAAACATGATAAATAAAAATCCCAGGGCCTGAGCAACATTTTATTATTCACTCTTTTGAGATGTTCTACCAGACCAGCTAAAATGTGTTTTTCCATTGAGAGTCTTAAAAACAAACTTTAAACTTAGGAATTCTGTGAATCCAATTCCTTTACAGAGCAAAACCATTTTATTTGTTGACTTTTCCTACAAGTGAAAGCACACAGCCTCTGTTTAGTTTAATTAAACAAGGATATAAATTGCCCTGAAGTGTTTGTTTTTCTTGCTCTTATAAATCAGACCACCAAGAAAGAATGCAAACGATATTGCCTGCCTGAGTGCATTCACTCATTCAGCAAATACCTACTGAAAGTCTTGCTAGGCCCTGAGGCTACTGAGATGAATAATTCACAGTTTTTTCCTTTAAGAGGTTTCCAGCTCAGTGGGGAATGTGACACCTAATCAGGTAATTGTAAAACCCTGTGGGAGATTAGTGATAGAGAGATGCACTGGGTTTGGTATAAGCCCAGAAGAGGACGATCTACACCACAGGTGGCTGAGCAGAAGGACAGACACTTATTTTGGACTTAACGGACCAAGAATAGCCTTGTTGGAAGTAAATTTGTAGTGAAATGCAAAGAGTGGGAAGATGAGGGAGTTTGCAGCTACAAATCTCAGTTCGTTCAACGGAGGAGGATTCTTGCTCATTTGCTGGGAGAGGAGTCAAAGACTGAGTAGAAGGAGCTCTTCTAAAAGTAGTAAAAGTGTGGAATTATTTTTGAGAGGAATAGGAAAGAGAGGCGAGTAAAGATGGAAATGATTGAAGGGTGATTCTGAGGGCTCAGTTAGGGAACTGAATGTCTAGATAACCCAGTCTGCAGGGTTATAGGGGGAAAAAAAAGGCAAATGGCAGCGCAGTTCCAGGTTGGCAATTTATAGACAATAATGCAGAAGAATGCAAGAGGAAGAAAGAGGGCCAGCAAGAAATCAGTTCAGATGGCTAACCACAAGTTGAATAGGAAAGGAAAATTACCCAGAAGTGATGATAGCTAACGTGATCATACATCCCTGTTTGCTCAGTATCATCTTGGCATAATTATTACAGCATCCACTTTCACTTGCAAAATATTATCTTTTGGACAATAAATTATATGGTCCTCCTAATGGTGGCCTGAGAAAAGTAATACAGGAGTGAATCTCTATGAGATCAAAGGGCTAGGGTGTTGTAACCAGAGTTGAATGAAGAAATTACAATTTAAGAAGGGAGGGGTCCTTGACAATGACAAGACAAAGGGTATGGTCCTGGGAGTGAGTGACTAAAATGGCATGGAGATGACAGTTTTTGAAGTTAAGGTAGCCCAGGAACTATGGAGCTAACTGGTTGGATGAGTCATTTTCATGGCCATTGAAATGAGCATCTGGCACTTAGTAGATGTTCAGTAAATGTTGGATGATATTGCAGAGATGGACTGGGAAGGGAGGATATGAATCAGTTCCCAGTATTTCAGACAATAGGAGAGTTAAACTAGAAGAGGAGAGACAAAAGTGAAAAGGGTTCAAGATGGCATAGGTATATGCCAAGATGTAATATAAAAATGTACTTTTAAAAGAGGAAGAGTGGTGATCAGACAGCAGTCAGAAGTAGAGGAGAGACAAAAGTGAAAAGGGTTCAAGATGGCATAGGTATATGCCAAGACGTAATATAAAAATGTACTTTTAAAAGAGGAAGAGTGGTGATCAGACAGCAGTCAGAAGTAGTTTATTGGATGTGGGAAAATAAGAACCTACAGTGAGAGCTGCAGAAAGTGATGTCTTCAGGAGAGAGGAATGGTGAACACCACTGTGTGCGTGCGGGTTTTCATGCCATTCATCCACTGAAGGCAGCAAAGGTGCCATTAGGGGAGGGGGCATGGACTCTGTCTCAACTTAAGTAAACCCTTCTGAAGTCAAAAAAGGTCCAGAAACCAAATTCCTATCTTAACAAGTAGTTTGAGGGTACCAGGTAATTTCTCATTTTCACTTTTTTTTTTTCTGTCTTTTGTAATACTAACCTATACCTTAACCATTTATGCCGGATGTTGCAATTTTTTGAATTGCAGACACATGTGAAAAATCAGACCTTGGCGATGACCTTGAGCAGTAGAATATAAATAACTCCCACATGCTTAGCGTTCCAATAATAGAACACTAGGCATAAATGGATAGAGATGGTATAATAAAGATGATTCACTGTTTTAATTTTTCTGGTCTAAACTGTTCATTATGTTACTTTATGCTATTAACAATTACTCAAAAATCCACTTCCCATATATATCTTTTCTAAAAATTTTAATTGGCACAAAATAATTGTACATATGTATGGAGTACAGTGTGATATTTCAATACATGCAATGTGTAATGATCAAATTAGGGTAATCAGCATATTCATCACCTCAAATATTTATTATTTGTATGGGGAACATTTGAAATCCTCTCTTCTTGCTGAAAATATACAGTAAATTATTTATAATTATAGTCATTCTACAGTGCTATAGAACACTAGAACTTATTTCTCCTATCTAGCTAAAATTTCTTTCTGTTAACCCACCTCTCCCTATTCCCCTACCTGCTTCCAGCCTCTAGTAACCATTATTCTACTCTCTACTTCTATGAGATCAACTTTTTTAGCTTCCACATATGAGTGAGAATATGTGATATTTGTCTTTCTATGCTTGTCTTATTTCACTCAACACAGTGTCCTACAGGCTCACCCATGTTGCTGACAGCATTTTTATATGACTTAATAGTATTCCATTGTGTATTTAAAGCACATTTTCATTATCCTTTTATGTAGATGAACCCTTAGGTTAATTTCATATCTTGATTATTGTGAATAGTGCTATGATAAATATGGGAGTGCAGAAATGTCTTTGACATACTGATTTCATTGCCTGGATACTCAGTAGTATTTGTCATATGATATGACATACTAGAGCATATGATAGTTCTGTTTTTAGTTTTTTGAGGATCCTCATACTGTTTTCCATAATGGCTGCACTAATTCACATTCCTACCAACAGTGTATAAGAGTTCTTCTTCCAGCTGGGCGCGGTGGCTCACCCCTGTAATCCCAGCACTTTGGGAGGCCGAGACAGGCGGATCACGAGGTCAGGAGATCGAGACCATCCTGGCTAATACGGTGAAATCCTGTCTCTACTAAAAATACAAAAAATTAGCCAGGCGTGGTGTCGGGCGCCTGTAGTCCCAGCTACTCGGGAGGCTGAGGCAGGAGAATGGCATGAACCTGGGAGACGGAGCTTGCAGTGAGCCGAGATCGCGCCACTGCACTCCAGCCTGGGCGACAGAGCGAGACTCCGTCTCAAAAAAAGAGTTTTTCCTTCACATCATTGACAGAATTATTTTTTGGTTTTTAATTTTAAAAAACTTTAATTTCTTTTACTTTTAATTTTTGTGGGTACATAGTAGGTGTATATATATTTATGGAGTACACGAGATATTTTGCTACAGGCATGCAATGTGTAATAATCATAACATGGAAAATTGGGTATCCATCCCCTCAAGCATTTATCCTTTGTTACAAACAATCCAATTATACTGTTTTGGTTATTTTAAAATGTACAATTAAATTGTTATTGACTATAGTCCTGCTGTTGTGCTATCAAATACTATTGATAGCACTCTTATTCACTCTTGTAACTACTTTTTTGTAGCCATTAACCATCCTCCCCTTCCCCTAACACCAACTCCCAACTACTCTTCCCAGCCTCTGGTAACCACCCTTTATTCTCTATCTCCATGAATTCAATTGTTTTGATTGCTGGATTACACAAATAAGTGAGAACATGCTATGTTTGTCTTTCTGTGCCTGGCTTCCATCCATGCTGTTGCAAATGGTAGTCTCATTCTTTTTTATAGCTCAATAGTACTCTATTGTGTATAAATATCATATTTTCTTTATCCATTCCTCTGTTGATGGACATGTAGGTTACTTCCAAATCTTGACTATTGTGAATAGTGCTGCAACAAACATGGGAGTGCAGCTGTCACTTCAATATACTGATTTCCTTTCTTTTGAGTATTTACCCAGCAGTGAGATTGCTGAATTGTATGGTAGCTCTAATTCTAGTTTTTTGAGGAACCTCCAAACTGTTCTCTGTAGTGGTTGTACCAATTTATATTCTCACCAACAGTGTATGAGGATTCTCTTTTATCCACATCCTTATTAGCATTTGTTACTGCTTGACTCTTGGATAATAGCCATTTTAACTGGACTGAGATGATGTCTTGTACTTTTGATTTGCATTTCTCTGATGATCAATAATGTTGAGCACTTTGTCATATGCCTGTTTGCCATTTGCATGTCTTCTTTTGCGAAATATCTATTCAAATCTTTTGCCCATTTTTAAACTGGATTATTAGATTTTTTCCTATAGAGTTGTTTGAGCTCCTTATATATTCTTGTTGTTAATCCCTAGTCATGAGTCATTTGCAAATATTTTCTCCCATTTTGTGGGTTGTCTCTTCACTTTGTTGATTGTTTCCTTTGCTGTACAGAAGCTTTTTAATGTGGTGTGATCCCATTTGTCTATTTTTGCTTTGGTTGACTGCTCTTGTGGGGTATTACTTAGGAAACTTTTGCCCAATATCTTGAAGAACTTCCCTAAAATTTTCTTGTAGTTATTTCATAGTTTAAGGACTTAGATTTAAGTCTATAATCCATTTTGATAAGATTTTTGTATAAGGCAAGAGATAGGGGCCAAGTTTCATTCTTCGGCATGTGGATATCTAGTTTTCTCAGCAGCATTGATTGAAAATACTGTCTTTCCCCAGTGTATGTTCTTGGCACTTTTGTCAAAAATGAGTTCACTGTAGATGTGTGGCTCTGTTTCTGGCTTCTCTATTCTGCTTCATTGGTTTGTGTGTCTGTTTTTATGCCAGTACCATGCTGTTTTGGTTACTATATCTCTGTAGTGTAATTTGAAGTCAGGTAATGGGATTCCTCCAGTTTTGTTATCTTTGGCTATTATGGGTCCTTTGTGATTCCATATGAATTTTAGGATTGTTTTTCCATTTCTGTGAAGACTGTCCTTGGTATTTTGATAGAGATTGCATTGAATCTGTAGATTGCTTTGGGTAGTATGGACATTTTAACAATATTGATTCTTTCAATCCATGAACATGGAATATCTCTCCATTTTTTGGTGTCCTCTTCAATTTCTTTGACCAGTGTTTTATAGTTCTCATTTTAGAGAACTTTCACTTTTTTGGTTAAGTTAATTCTTAGGTATTTAATTCTATTTGTGGCTATTTTTCCTGGGATTTTTTTTTTTTCATATTGTTGACTGTTGGCATAAAGAAATGCTACTGATTTTTGTATGTTAACTTTGTATCATGCAACTTTACTGAATTTATTGATCAGTTCTAATAGTTTTTTGGTGGAATCTTTATATTTTTCCAAATATAAGATGGTAGCATCTGCAAACAATGATAATTTGGCTCCTTTCTTTCCAATTTGGATACCCTTTATTTTTTTCTCTTGTCTAATTGCCCTAGCTAGGACTTCCAATACTATGTTGAATAACAGTGGTGACAGTAGGCATCCTTGTGCTCCAGATCTAAGAGGAAAGGCTTTCAGTTTTTCCACATTCAGTACAATAATAGCTGTGAGCCTGTCATATATGGTTTTTATTATGTTGTGGTATGTTCCTTCTATACCCAGTTTTTTGAGGGTTTTTATTATGAAGATATGTTAAACTTTTTCAAATGCTTTATCAGCAACAGTTGAAATGATCATATGGTTTTTATCCTTCATTCTGTTGATATGATGTATCACATTGTTTGAGTTGCATATCAAATCAATGATATGCAAATATCATTGAACCTTCCTTGCATCCCTGGGATAAATCCCACTTGATCATGATGAATAATTTTTATAATGTATTGTTGAATTTGGTTTGCTAGTTTTTTTCTGATAATTTTTGCATCACTATTCATAATATAGGTTGGCCTGCAGTTTTCTTTTTTTAACGTGCCTTTGTCTGATTTTGTTTTCAGGGTACTACTGGCCTCATAGAGTGAGTTTGGAGTATTCCTTCCTCCTCTATTTTTCAGAACTGTTTGAGTAGGATTAATATTAGTTCTTTCTTAAACAATTGTTAGAATTCAGCAGTGGAGCCATTGGGTTCCAGGCTTTTCTTTACTGGGAGATGTTTTATTATGGCATTGATCTCATTACTTGTTATTGGTATAAGGTTCTGGATTTCTTCCTGGGTCAATCTTGGTAGGTTGTATGTATCTAGGAATTTGTCCATTTCTTCTAGACTGTGATGGCTAATACTGAGTGTCAGCTTGATTGGATTGAAGGAGGCAAAGTATTGATCTTGGGTGTGTCTGTGAGAGTGTTGCCAAAGGAGATGAGCATTTGAGTCAGTAGGCTGGGAAAGACAGACCCATTGTTAATCTGGATGGGTACCATCTAATCAGCCGCCAGCATGGCTAGAATATAAAGCAGGGAGAAAAATGTGAAAAGACTAGACTAGTCTAGCCTCCCAGGCTACATCTTTCTCTCATGCTGGATGCTTCCTGTCCTCAAACATTGGACTTCAAGTTCTTCAGTTTTGGGATTTGGACTGGCTCTTCTTTCTCCTCAACTTGTAGACAGCCTATTGTGTGACCGTGTGATTGTGTGAGTTAATAAACTCCTCATATATATATATATATATATATATATATATATATATGAGTTAATAAACTCCTCATATATATATATATATCTCCTATTAGTTCTGACCATCTAGAGAACCATGAGTAATACAGATTTTGGTACCAGGAGTGGCTCCAGAGGAACAGAATATTAAGGATGGAGTTCTTTCACTGGTTTTGGGGTTTTTGGCATTGCTTGCTTAATATGATTAGAACCAAAAGTGCTAAGGTCTCTCCTTTAATAGTATGGAGAACACTGATACTGCTTGGCATGAACTGTTTAGAGAGTTATGCAAAATAAATGCATTTGACACTCCTGATTTATCGCTCATGAGAGGCAAGGAATTTAGTGACTCTGTACATAATACCTTTGACCATATGTGGAGAAGCAAGGAACATAATGAAGTTGGTTGTTTGCTCCTAAGTTCAGTGGACAAAGTGATGGAAGAAAATGATGAACTCAGGGATTTTAACTCCCATCTTCAGAAACAGATACTGACCCTCAAATCTGCTAATATCACCTTGAGTGAGAGTCTTATCTCCTGTAGAGAAAGAGCTGAAATTGTGGAAAAACACACACAAGCTCTTATCATGTGAGTGGCAAACCTGCCATGAAAAGTGCATGCACAGCATCACAAGGTGTCTACTGTTAAAGTGAAGAAAATTGGAAAAGAATGGATGAAAAGACTGGAAAAGAATGGGACTCTGCAACTTGGAATGGGGACATGTGGGAGGACCCTGATGAAGTGGGGGACACTGAGTTTATAAACTCTGATGAACCTTTTTTGCCAGAAGAAACAGCTTCCCCATCCCCAGTAGTGGCAACATTGCCTCCCCAACCCATGCTGCCATCAGCCTTTCCACCTTTATCTGAGGAGATAAACCCTGTGTCTCCTGAGGCAACAGTGATGGCCCCCCCTGAGGCAGTTGCCAGGCAAGATAATGTTGATTCTCATTATCTTGCCTGTGATGGCCACCCCCAACACTCCTGTTTTCTTCCAGATCTATAACTAAAGTCCTTGTGGGCCTCCAGAGGTGAGGTTGAGAGTGTGACCCATGAGGAGGTACACTACACTCAAAAAGAACTGCTTGAGTTTTCTAATTTATATATGCAGCAATCTGGAGAGCAGGGATGGGAATGGATATTAAGGGTGTGGAATAATGGTGGAAGGAACACAGAGTTGGATCAGGCCAAATTTATTGATTTGGTCCCATTAAGTAGGGACTCTGCATTTAATGTTGCAGCTCAGGGAGTTAAAAAAAGCTTCTAATCATTTATTTGGTTAGCTGAAATATGGATTAAGAGATGGCCCACTGTGAGTGAGCTGGAAATGACTTATTTCCCTTGGTTTAATGTACAGGAAAAGGATCAAAAGGCTTAGGGAGATTAGAATGGTGGAGTGGATTAGTCACTTTAGACCTACTCATCCCAGCTGGGAGGGTCCAGAAGATACACCCTTGACCAATGCCTTGCAAAATAGATTTGTGAGGCAGTACCTGCATCTTTGAAGAGCCCTGTAATTGCTCTTCTCTGTATGTTAGATCCAACAGTGGGAGCTGCAGTCACTCAACTACAAAATTTAACTGCAATGGGAGTAATTGGATCCCATGGTGCCAGGGGCCAAGTAGTGGCACTCAACCGTCAAAGGCAAGGTAGGCATAGCTACCATAATGGACAGCAGAGGCAAAGCGGCAATCAGAATAGTCTGACTTCTGTAGAGCTCTGGCATTGGCTAATTAATCACGGTGTTCCTAGAAGTGAAAATGATAGGAAGCCTACTGCATTCCTCCTTAATTTATATAAGCAGAAAACTTCTAGGTTGAATGGACAAAAGACAAATTTGAATTATACAAACAGAGAATCATGGACCCTCAATCAATTTCCAGACTTGAGCTGGTTTACAGACTCAGAACACCTTGAATGAAGGGGAAGGCTGGGTTCCCTTGAGGAAGGACCCCACTATACTTCTGACAATTTATACTGTTCATCTTTCTCCTGTCCTTTCCCAAGGAGACCTCCAACCTTTTACCAGGGTAACTGTGCACTGGGGAAAAGGGAAATGCAGATATTTGGGGGACTACTGGACACTGGCTCTGAGCTGACATTGATTCCAGGGGACCCAAAACATCATTGTGGTCCTCCAGTTAAAGTAGGGGCTTATGGAGGTCAGGTAATTAATGGAGTTTTAGCTCAGGTCCAAATTACAGTGGGTCCCCAGACTCATCCTGTGGTTATTTCCCCAGTGCCAGAATGCATAATTGGCATAGACATACTTAGCAGCTGGCAGAACCCCCACATTGGCTCCCTGACTGGTATTATGGTGGGAAAGGCCAAATGGAAACAATTAGAGCTGCCTCTACCTAGAAAAATAGTAAATCAAAAACCATATTGTATCCCTGGAGGGACTGTGGAGATTAGTGCCACCATCAAGGACTTGAAAGATGCAGGGGTGGTGATTTTCACCACATCCCTGTTCAACTCTCCCATTTGGCCTGTGCAGAAGACAGATGGATCTTGGAGAATGACAGTGGGTTATCGTAGGCTTAACCAAGTGGTGACTCCAATTGCAGCTGCTGTACCAGATGTGGTTTCATTGCTTGAGCAAATTAACACATCTCCTGGTACCTGGTATGCAGCCATTGACATGGCAAATGCCTTTTTCTCCATTCCTGTCCATAAGGCCCACCGGAAGTAATGTGCCTTTTGCTGGCAAGGCCAGCAATATACCTTTACTATCCTACCTCAGGGGTATATCAACTCTCCATCTTTGTGTCATAATCTTACTCAGAGAGATCTTGATTCCTTTTTGCTTCCACAAGATATCACACTGGTCCATTACATTGATGATATTATGCTGATTGGATCTAGTGAGCAAGAAGTAGCAAACACACTGACCTTATTGGTGAGACATTTGTGTGCCAGAGGATGGGAAATAAAACCAACTAAAATTCAGGGATCTTCTACCTCAGTAAAATTTCTAGGGGTCAAGAGGTGTGGGGCCTGTCGAGATATTTCTTCTAAAGGATAAGTTGTTGCATTTGGCCCCTTCTACAACCAAAAAAGAGGCACAATGCTTAGTGGGCCTATTTGGATTTTGAAGGCAACACATTCCTCATCTGGGTGTGATACTCTGGCCCATTTATCAAGTGACCTGAAAGGCTGCCAGTTTTGAGTGGGGTACAGAACAGGAGAAGGCTCTGCAACAGGTCCAGGCTGCTGTCCAAGCTGCTCTGCCACTTGGGCCATTTGACCCAGCAGATCCAATGGTGCTTGAGGTTTCAGTGGCAGATAGGGATGCTTTTTGGAGCCTTTGGCAGGCTCCCATAGGTGAATCACAGTGGAGGCCTCTAGGATTTTGGAGCAAGGCCCTGCCATCTTCTGCAGATAACTACTCTCCTTTTGAGAGACAGCTGTTGGCCTGTTACTGGGTTTTGGTGGAAACTGAACGTTTGACTATGGGTCATTAAGTCACCATGTGAACTGAACTGCCTATCATGAACTGAGTCCTTTCTGACCCATCAAGCCATAAAGTGGGTCATGCACAGCAGCATTCCATCATCAAATTGAAGTGGTATATACGTGATTGGGCTCAAGCAGGTCCTGAAGGCGTAAGTCAGTTACATGAGGAAGTAGTTCAAATGCCCATGGTCTCCACTCCTGCCATCCTGCATTCTCCCCCCCAGCCTGCACCAGTGGCCTCATGGGGAGTTCCCTATGGTCAGTTGACAGAGGAAGAGAAGACTAGGGCTTGGTTCACAGATGGTTCTGCACGATATGCAGGCACCACTCGGAAGTAGACAGCTGCAGCACTACAGCCCCTTTTTAGGACATCCCTGAAGGACAGCGATGAAAGGAAATCTTCCCAGTGGGCAGAACTTTGAGCAGTGCACCTGGTTGTGCACTTTTCATGGAAGGAGAAATGGCCAGATATGTGATTATATAATAAGTCATGGGCTGTAGCCAATGGTTTGGCTTGATGGTCAGTGACTTGGAAGAAGCATGATTGGAAAATCAATGACAAAGAAATCTGGGGAAGAGATAAGTGGATGGACCTCTTTGTGGTGTGGTAAAAAAACTGTGAGGATACTTGGATCCCAAGTGAGTGCTCACCAATGGGTGACCCCAGCAGAGGAGGATTTTAATAATCAAGTGGAAAGCATGACCATTCTGTGGACACCTGTCAGCCTCTTTACCCAGCCACCCCTCATCACCCAATGGGCCCATGAACAAAGTGGCCATGGTGGCAGGGATGAAGGTTGCACATGGGCTCAGCAACATGGACTTCCACTCACCAAGGCTGACCTGGCTATGGTCACTGCTGAGTGCCCAATTTGCCAGCAGTAGAGACCAACACTGAGCCCTCGATATGGCACCATTCCTCGGGGTGATCAGACAGCTACCTCGTGGCAGGTTGATTATACTGGACATCTTCCAACATGGAAAGGGTAGAGGTTTGTCCTCAATGGAATAAACACTTACTCCAGATACGGGTTTGCCTATCCTGCATGCAATGCTTCTGCCAAGACTACCATCCATAGACTCATGGAATGCCTTATCTGCCATTATGGTATTCCACACAGCATTGTTTCTGCCCAGGCACTCACTTTACAGCAAAAGAAGTGTGGCAGTCAGCTCATCCTCATGGAACTCACTGGTCTTATCATGTTGCCCATCATCCTGAAGCAGCTGGATTAATAGAACAGTGGAATGATCTTTTGAAGTCACACTAACAATGCCAACTAGGTGACAATACTTTGCAGGGCTGGGGCAAAGTTCTCCAGAAGGCCATGTATACTCTGAATCAGCGTCCAATATATGGTACTGTTTCTGTCATAGCCAGGATTCATAGGTTCAGGAATCAAGGGGTGGAAGTGCAAGTGGCATGACTCACCATCACCTCTAGTGATTCACTAGCAAAATTTTTGCTTCCTGTTTTCACAACATTAAGTTTTGCTGGCCTAGATGTCTTACTTCCAGAGGGAGGAACACTGCCTCCAGGAGACACAACAATGATTCCATTAAACTAGAAGTTAGGATTGCCAACTGGATACTTTGGGATCCTCTTACCTTTAAGTCAACAGGTTAAGAAGGGAGTTACAGTGTTGGCTGGGGTGATTGACCCAGACTATCAAGACTAAATCAGTCTACTACTCCACAACAGAGGCAAGGAAGAGTATGCACGGAATTCAGGAGATCCATTAGGGCATCTCTTAGTATTACCATGCCCTGGGATTAAGGTCAATGGGAAACTATAATAGCCCAACCCAGGCAGGACTACAAATGACCCAGACCCTTCAGGAATGAAGGTTTGGGTCACTCTACCAGAAAAAAAACCAGACTTGCTGAGGTGCTTGATGAAGGCAAAGGGAATACAGAATGGGTAGTAGAAGAAGGTAGTCATCAATACCAGCTATGACCACATGACCAGCTGCAGAAACAAGGACTGCAATTGTCATTAATACTTCCTCCTTCTTTTGTTAAAAACATGTTTGTGCATATATACACTTGTACTAATATATTTTATTTCCTTTTCCTTTATCACATGACGTAAGATTTATTGACTTCATATCAGCATTTAAGTATTGTTAACTTTATGTAATAGTATTTGGGTTGGTGATTAGTGTGTTCATGGTTGTACAAAGGATAGCTATATTATTTTAGGTGTGATTGTGACCTTATTATTGTCTTTATTCAATGATTATGTATGATCTCAGGAGATGTGTATGGGTTCAAGTTGACAAGGGGTGGACCTGTGATGGTTAATACTGAGTGTCAACTTGATTGGACTGAAGGATGCAAATTATTCATCTTGGGTGTGTCTGTGATGGTGTTGCCAAAGGAAGTTAGCATTTGAATTAGTGGGCTGGGAAAGGCAGGCCCACCCTTAATTTGGGTGGGCAGCATCTAATCAGCTGCCAGCACAGCTAGAATATAAAGCAGGTAGAAAAACACAAAAAGGCTAGACTGGCCTAGCTTCCCAGCCTACATCTTTCTCCCGTGCTGGATGCTTCCTGCCCTCAAACATCGGACTCCAAGTTCTTCAGTTTGGGGACTTGGACTGGCTCTCCTTGCTGCTCAGCTTGCAGATGGCCTATTGTGGGACCTTGTGATCGTGTGAGTTAATACTTAATAAGCTCATATATATATGTATATATGTACATATATATATATATGTATTCTATTAGTTATGTCCCTCTAGAGAACCCTAATACATAGACTTTCCAATTTATTGGTATATAGTAGCCACTAATGATCTTTTGAATTTCTGTGATATAAGTTGTAATGTCTCCTTTTTCATCTCTGATTTTATTTGGATATTCTCTATTTTTTGTTAGACTGGCTAAAGTTTTGTCAATTTTATCTTTTCAAAAAACCAGTTTATGTTTTGTTGATCTTTTATGTTTTCTTCATTTCAAATTCACTTATTTTTGCTCTGATTTTTATTTCTTCTACTAATTTTGGGTTCAGTTTACTCTTGTTTTTCTAGTTAAGATGCATCATTAGGTTATTTTTAGCTTTTTTTTTTTCTTTTTTAACATAGGCACTTATAGCTATACACTTTCCTCCTAGTACTGCTTTCACTGTGTCCCATAGGTTTTGGTATGTGGTGTTTCCATTATCATTTGTTTCAACACAATTTCCAATTTCTTCCTTAATTTCTTCATTTACCCACTGGTCATTCAGGAGAACATTAATTTCTATGCGTTTTTATAGTTTGCAATATCTTGTTATTGATTTTTATTTTTATTCCATTGTGGTCAGAGAAGATGCTTGATACTATTTCATTTTTCTGAATGTTTTAAGACTTGTTTAATGACCTAACATGTGGTCTATCCTTGAGAATGAACCATGTGCTGAGGAGGAAATCATGTATTGTGCAGCCATTGGATGAAATGTTCTGTAAATATCTATTAGTTCCATTTGTTCCACAGTGAAGATTAAGTCCAATGTTTCTTGGTTGATTTTCTGTATGGGAGATCTGTTCAGTGCTGAAGGTGAGGTGTTGAAATCTCCAGATATTATTGTATTGGGATTTATCTCTCTCTTCAGCTCTAATAATATTTGCTTAATTTATCTGGGTGCTCCAGTATTGGGTGCATATATATTTATAAGCATTATTTCCCCTTGCTAAGTTGACCCCTTTAACATTATATCATGACCTTTTTTGTCTCTTCTTACAGTTTTTGTCTTGAAATATATTTTGTCTTAAATAAGTATAACTACTCCTGCTCTTTTTTGGTTTCCACTGGCATGGAATATCTTTTTCATCCCTTTATTTTCAGTCTGTGTGTATCTTTATATGTGAATTGTGTTTCTTGTAGGCAACAAAGCATTAGTTCTTGTTTTTTCATACATTCAGCCACTCTATGTCTTTTGATTATACTATTTTGTTTTACTGCATGCTTACTGTTACCAGGGAGTTTTGTACCTTCCATTGATTTTTCTTCTTTTTTCTTTCTTTCTTTTTTTTTTTTTTTTTTTTTTTTTGAGATGGAGTCTCACTCTGTCACTCAGGCTGGAGTGCAATGGCACGATCTCGGCTCACTGCAACCTTCACCTCCCAGGTTCAAGTGATTCTCCTGCCTCAGCCTCCCAAGTAGCTGGAATTACAGGGGTAATTCCACTACGCCCAGTTAATTTTTATATTTTTAGGAGAGACAGGATTTCAACAAGTTGGCCAGGCTAGTCTCAGGGGGAAGTCTCAAATGCCTGACCTCAAGTGATCTGCCCTCCTTGGCCTCCCAAAGTGCTGGGATTACACGCATGAGCCACCACACCTGGCCCCTTCCATTGATTTCTTATTGTTCATCTACATCCTTTTCTTTCAGATTCAAGAACTCCCTTTAGCATTTCTTTTAGGAAAGGTCTGGTGTTGATAAAATCCCTCAGCTTTTGTTTGTCTGAGGTTTTTATTTCTCCTTCATGCTCAAAGAATATTTTCACCAGATACATTATTCTAGGGTAAAAGTTTTTTCCTTCAGCACTTTAAATATGTAATGCCACTCTCTCCTGGCCTATAAGGTTTCCACTGAAAAGTCTGCTGCCAGACATTTTGGAACTCCATTGCATGTTGTTTCTTCTCTCTTGCTGTTTTTAGGATCCTTTCTTTATCCTCAGCCTTTAGGAGTTTAATTATTAAATGTCTTGAGGTAGTCTTCTATGGGCTAAACCTGCTTGGTGTTCTATAACCCTCTTGTACTTGAACATCAATATCTTCCTCTTAATTTGGGAATTTCTCTGATATTATCCTCACTGTGGCTGAGCTGGTATTTGGAGTACAAGACAAAGTCCACTTTACTTTACTCTCTGCTTTTCTCAAACA
This sequence comes from Homo sapiens, assembly GCF_000001405.40. Taxonomy (NCBI): domain Eukaryota; kingdom Metazoa; phylum Chordata; class Mammalia; order Primates; family Hominidae; genus Homo; species Homo sapiens. The sequence goes on from NC_000014.9 coordinate 57,729,302, forward strand.
GAAGGAAAGAGTCTTTTACCGTAGCCACAAGAGCTGGAAATGTGCTGGATAACCCCTGGAGCCAGCATGTCTCAGAGCCCAAGGCCTGTGGCATACTCCTCGGGTATTGCTGTTAGCTATTCAGGAACCAAGGGCTCTTTAGTCAGCAGGTGATGAATCCTGCCAAGACTGAGTCCTTCCCTTCAAGGCAGTGGGTTGCCAGTTAGCCCAGGATGTATCTAGAAATGTCCAGGAGCTAGGGCTTGGGATGGGGGCCTCATGACTCTGCTCAGTGCCTTATTCTGCTGTAGCTGAGCTGGTATCCAAGGGGAAAGACAAAGTCCTCTTTACTCTTCATTCTCCTTAAGGAGAGCTGCACTGCCTGGGACTGGGGGAGGGATGCACAAGCACTCCCTTAGCCATGCCAGCTGCTGTCTCCCTAGGTCACTTGCTATGCTAGTTCACTGACTCTAAGCCCAGCCTAGCACTAGCCGTTGCCTAGGAATTTCAGTCCTGTGTCCTAGACAGCCTTTCAAGTTTACCTGGGACCCCAGAGCACTTCAGGCCACAGTGGTAAGTCTTGCCAAGAAACTCAAGTCCCAGCTACTGAAACGGGTGATTCTCCTCTCACTAGAGCTGGTCAAAATGTTCCCTTCATACACAGGCACTGCCTGAGCTCAGCACAGCTTTACTCTCTGCTGTAACAGAGCAGCACTGTGTTCAATGTAAAGTTCCCCAGTTCCTGTGCCCTCCCTCCCCATAGGGCACAGATGGTCTCTCTGCACTGCATGGTGGCTGCTGGGGTACGGGGAAGGGGTAGTGCTGGTGATTCAAGACTGTCTCTTTTGCTCTCCTCAATGCCTCTTTTGGCAATATGAAGTAAAAACCAGGTACTGTTATTGCTCATCTGATTTTTGTTTTTTGTGAAAGTACTTTTTTTTGTGTGCAGATAGTTGTTAAAATTTGGTGTTCCCGCAGGGGACAGGAAGTATGTAGGCTTCTATTCCACCATCTTTCTCCATCTTCTCATCTTTTGTCTTTCTGATAGCCATTCTAACTGGGGTGAGATGATACCTCATTGTGGTTTTGATTTGCACTTCCCTGATGATCAGCGATGTTGAACTTTTTTTTTTTCACATACTTCCTAGCCATTTGTAGATCTTCTTTTGAAAATTATTGATTTAGATGTTTATCTCACTGGCTGTCTACTATGTTGTCATGAGTTTTCTTTGGGTCAATCCTAGTCTAAATATCAAACAAGATAATAGAAAGATTGTAATTGAGGTCACCAATTGTGTAGAAATAAGAAAGGTGACTTTTATTTTGGCTTGTTCTTATGAGGAACTCTTGTGTGAATAATCTAAACTTAATAAAAATATCACTGTCTGAGCTAGGGGCATCCATGAAAAATGGTAGCAATACAGTGTGCATTATTTTATTTCTCCCTGTTTCATTATTTAGATCCACATGCTTCTGCAGCGACAGGTACCTGTATTTATCTCATAAGTCTGTCAAGGAAGTCTGTCAAGGAAGCACTGGAGCTGCAACTATGGGTTCAGCCAACAGATACAAAGAAGAGACCAGTTTCCTTTTAAAAGGATTTTAAATTTCAGATCAAAATGTCATATTACATGGTGAAAGATACACGGCTTCTCAGAATGCGCCCTGTGTTAGGGGCAGTGGTAGCAGTTATAGGTAGAATTGCCAAGGGAGAATATTATATTTAAGTTAAAGTAACAGTGGGAAATACCTCTTGGGAAGGAGACATTTTATCTCTTAGATTCCTAGAAAAGGGGACCTTGACAAGACAAAAGGGATCATTTGATAAAACCTCATCTTATTGAGGAAAGGATGACAACCTAGAGTTTTTTTATTTACTCAAAAACCCACAGCAGAGCCCCGATGCGACCCTGAAAACAAGACACACTAAAGGTGGGGTCAGTGTCTCTACTTCCCCAGAATCTTCTTTAATAAGTGGGTACCAAGTTGTGCCTTCATGTTTGAAAATAATATGCAGCAGGAGTTTACACTTAACACTACATGATTTTGACAAACACCTGCCATTATTGATCCCCAAACATTATTTTCTAAAATTCTCTGATTGCTTTTGTGGAATCACCTCTCTCCTACTGAGAGGGTTCTTCATGGGAGGGTCATCCAGACACCTGCCCTTTCCACTGTGGAAGCTAAAGCAGACTGGAGTTTCTTTTGCCAGAGCCTTTTTCTTTCATTCTACAGCATCCAGTGGCAGACATATGGTTGTCTTCACTGGTTCGAGCAGCAGATCCAGGCAAGATTGTCAGGTAGTCAGTTCCTACTCCTGAGACTTTGTACCTGTCTCTCCTAAGTCTTTTTTGAGCACTGCCTTTAATCTGAGAATCTTCCTGCATCTTTGCAATAAATCTCTTTTATTTTATATTAAAGTCAGAGTTGATTTCTGTTCCTTACAACCTGAAACCTTTTGGAGGAAAAGAATTCAGAAAGAAGTCCAAGGAACAGTGAGATTATAACTTATTCTGAAACTAGACACATTAAAGGTAGTCCTTTAATTAAACATCTCTGCTTGTGGCAAAAGCATAGAAAAGCTACAAGTCTGCAGATATTTGGGTATAAGCAAGTGATGAAGTTTTGATGTCATGCCAGCATTATTGTGGGGGTTAATATCATTGAACCTAGAGCTTTTTAGAATAAAGCTTCAATTCCAAGATAAAATTTAAGATGAGTTAGGAGGAAGCAATACACATAGTCTGGCTAAGCCAGGGTTAGGTCAAAATTTAAGAGGTAACAGTAAGATCAACATGAAAGGTCTCATATTTATATTTCAAAGTTTTCTCTATATTTACTTTAACTCAGTGTTAGGTAGTTTCATAATATTAAATTTTTCTGTTTTGAGCTTTATTTTTTGAAAAATAACAGAGTGAACAAAATGGTTAAATGGAGAAGAAAAATCTATCTCAGACTATAACTTAGTCTGTACTATGCCCATGACTGAAGCATGATTGCCTCTTCTAATTACAGGTTTTATTTCTTTGAATAAACCCTTTGAAAGACTGAAATTACAAACTAAAGTATAAAAACAAGCACAGTAAAGTTATAATGTGTATGCAAACTAGAAAAAAATGCATCTTATGTAACAGGAAAAGCTTTTTAGTTCCAAAATGCTGTAGGAGTGAAAGTTTGGTTGATGGTAATTAAGACAAGCTAAATGTTCAATCATATTGCTCTATATGTCAATTTATCATCATAAGATTTATAAATCAATATGTTGAGCCAACAACTCTTTGCAACCAGAAGTTGAGCCCTTCAATTGTAGTAACTGGGCAGATGGCACTACAAATAGAGTTAAAGAGCTTTAGTTGAAGCAACAGGCAGGACCTGCTGTGAAAGATTCTACAAGGAGGGATGAGGAAAACTCAGACAGAGCTAAACTGAGTTATGGGAATGCAATAAGAAATCTTATTATAGTTGGAAGGAAGATCTATCCACAAAAAGAGTCATCCAGAATATCATACATCAAACTGTTCATACAAGCAGATAGAAGCCAACATGAATTTCTAACACTTTGAAACCATTTTCAAAGACTGCATGCAAAATAAAAGACTTGACTTCAAAATTCACACTGCCTTTTGAAAACAAACCATCTGTTGTTTATGTAAAAAGTGCTAAAGTTTTTGAAGAAAAGGATATGAATTGAGCTTCAGAATTAAAGGTGACAGGAAGGGCAGTGATTCATGTATAAATGTGTAAATATGAAAAAAAAACCAGCCTCCAGATTCCTAGAACACAGATAATTTATCACCAGAAATTGCTAACATGAGGAGCTGTGCTGCTTTGCCTTTGCTACTGTTTAGCTTGGGCACTGGTCCAACTGCCATATTATAGGTTTGTGTAGGCAATGTCAGAAACACTAGCTCTCCGGCCTACTGATTTGGAAAGTACGTACTTTGAAAATGAAAGTTTCATATTCATAAGTCAGGACAGAAATTCGACTATGGATTTTTTCCTTTTATCTCTTGCTGCCTTGTCTAAGAATGGATTTTTAAAGATACATGTCTGCTACAAGGAGAGTCAATTTTCTTTAAAAAAAAAAAAAAAAAAAAATCCCAGCAAACCAAAAACTGGCCATACTTCTAAAATCAGCTTATATACACAAAGTTAAGTAGAAAGATATTTAATCAACCAATAAATTTAGATATAGCCAGAAAAAGCTTTTTTTTTCAGCTTAGAAGACACAGAGGAAACAAGATTTATTGTAAAATGTATACGTTAATTGAAAAAAAAAGGCATCTTATAATTTCAAGAGTGACATGTATTGAAAAGCACTGGTACCTTTTCCACTGATGTATGGATAGCATTAAAGAAAAATATTTTATGTTAAAATGCAAAAGCTGAATTTCAAACATTTTTATTATGGAAAATTTCAAACCTACGCAAAAGTACAGAGTACTTTTGCTTCCAAGTGCCCTTCAGCCAGGTTTAGTGATTATTAATTCAGGGCCTAGGCATGTTATAGCCTAGGAATGTGGACAGCAAGCTCAATGTGTTATAAAGGATAATGCTTGCCATTTAGTTTCCAAAAGAACTGTTTAGCTTTACTGTATTCCATGGCTTCCATATGTATTTTATTTATAAATCTAGCTAGTATTTGTAAAATATGAAAATGTTTTTGCTATTTTTAGAATGAAAAAACAGAGATCTTAGTACATATCATCTATTCAGCCATGTCATCCCTCAATTCAAACCCCTTATCCATGAGCCCCATGTAGCGTAAGGAAAGTCTTTCTGGAAATAAGAATCACTAAAATTGGGGGGAAAGCTGTCTTATGAAGTAGCAGTTGCCCCATCCCTGGGAACATTGAGATATAGGCTGGAATTAAGTAAACATTTCACATTATGGTACAGTGGAAATAGGGTGTGTTTGGAAGACAAACAGTCCTGAGTTTGAATCTTGGCTTTCCTACTTGGTAGTTGTGCATTCTTTCTGAGCCTCAACCCTTTTTATGATAGGGTTACTATTAGGATCCAATTAAGTAACATAAAATGTCTAGCAATAGGAGATACTTAATAGATATCTCTTTGTTTAATCTCCCTTTCCTCCCAAAATAAGTTGCACAAAATGACAGAGAAAGCACGCACAGAAAGATATCAAAGTATTTTACTAAATAAAGTCACATACACGTATAATTTTCAATCTCTCTCTCATTGTGGAGTAACATATTACACTGGCAGAGTTTTCCCCATGGCTAGACTTTTCTCCATGCAATCCACATGTAAAAAGGATTGGAGAATATTGTGCATTCTTATCACTATATTAAGCTGGGACAACACAGGGAAAATCACTCCAGGGATTTATAGCAATATATACTGAATCAATGTTTTTCTTTTAGTCACAGTCTATGTCATAGATAAAATACCAAATTTGGAAAAAGAAAAGGCTTTTGATAGAAGCCTACTCTATTAAATGAAAAAAAATCCTAAAGTAGATAATATTCTTAATTACTCTTTCTCTCACTAGCTTAATACCCAGGTCCACTGTCATATTTCAAGTTAGTGACTTCCAGGTGACTTCATTGCCTATGAAACCTCAGTATAAAATAAGTCCCCATGTAGCCTTATGCCTGTGATCAGCACTTCTCTGGGGGAATGGCTGGTTCTCTCTGACTTCCAATATACTCTCCCAGTTAGGAAAAATTTTAACAGCTACATGAAGCATCCTGATTATTCTATATGGAGCCAGAGCTGTTTTTTTTTTAAGACTCCTTCCTAGCAATTCCTGCCACATGACAAGTACTGACATCTGTGACATACAAAATACAACAGGATGAGGCATTTGAGAGTCTCTCTGGATTTTCCCACTTATGATACTTAGGGTATTCGTGACTTAGTTGCAGACTTTTTTTTCTTCTTGAATATTGTGTTTTGCTGTTCCTCTTTCGACAGATGTCCTACAGCACCAAAGTAAAGCTAACCCTATTTTAAAAGCCTAAATATTAAAGTTATTTCTTGAGGGCATTTCAGTTAGCCTGTGCTGCATAACAAGTCAGCCCTAATTTGTTGGCTTCAAACGATGCTTTGTGATATCTCATAATTCTGCAGGTTGGTGGAGCTGTTACTTTGCTGGTTTTATCTGAGCTCATTCACACAGCTGCATTCAGCTAGAGAGTTGGCAGGGCCAGAAGGTTCCAGATGGCCTTCCTGATGTCTAGCAGTTGATGCCAGCCATCAGCTGGGATGCCTCAGTTCTCCTCTACTTACCACTTAGCCTCCAGCATGCTAGACTAGCTTTCCCACATGACTGTCTCAGGGCAATGCCTGTGTCTGAAGTAGTATAAAGTAAAAAGTACAATGTTCCTCAAGGCCTCACCCTGGAAGATGCATAATGTTATTGCCACTGCATTCTATTGCTTAAAACAAGTCAAAACTCCAACATAGCCACCCCCTTTTGTTTTTTTTTTTTTTAAAGACAGAGCTTCACTCTATCACTCAGGCTGAAGTGCAGTGGTGCAATCATAGCTTACTGCAACCTCAAACTCCTGGGCTCAAGCAATTCTCCACCTCGGCCTCCCAAGTAGCTGAGACTACAAGTGTGTGCCACCACCCCCGGCTAATTTATTTTTACTTTTAGAGATGGGGGTCTCACTGTATTGCCCAGGTCTTCTCCTGGCCTCAAGGGATACTACTATCTCAGCCTCTAGAGTAGCTGGGATTACAGGCACAAGTCACTGTTCCTGGCTAGACTCCACCTCTTAATGGGAGAAGTGGCAGTCACAATACAAAAAGGCTTAGGGAGATAATGCTACAGTCATCTCTGAAAACAATTTACCACAGAAGGTTTTAAATAATGGTGTGGAATAAAGTGTCTTGCCCTCTCAGAACTAAGCTTGTCCTGTCTAAAGCCCACATGAAGCACAATGCCTCTGGCTGTGGTCCTCTAAGAGTCGAAATCTAAGCCTTTTCTTAGAATTGCAGCATGTCTCTCAGTGTTCTGGCTGCATTAAAAATCCTTTACCCCAATAGAAGTTTGAGGAAGAAAAGGGTTTTCTCCCCTCCACAGTAACTTTTTTCCACAAGTGGGAAGAATAATCCAAAAAACAATTTCAGTAACTTACAATACCAGCTGTGATATGTATTTACTGCACAGGAGGGCCTGTATAGTAAAATCTTCAAGGTCCACCTGTGGAAAACTTAACTGGGATAGCACAGTGGTCATTAGTGGTCACAGCGGTCATTAGTGCACCCCCACGATGTTGCAGTGAGCACAGAGTGCTCTCTCCACATATTCAACAGGCCCCGACAAGGCCCAGGAGGCAGCTGATCAGCAACAAGTGGATGGGTCATGCCTGGACTGGTACTCAGAAAACTGGAGCTCTGAACTCTACTATTACCACAAGTTATTATCTGACCATGAACCTGACCCTTGTGTCTCTCTCTGTATGGCAATATTGCAATTGCTCACAGGCTATGCAGAAAGCATTTTAGATGTCTCCGATAATGATTTTTCCAAAGCTTTGGCTACTGCTAACCAGTGAGGCATTTTAAGAGATTATAGTGCAAATGGGAACTTACCCTAAGTTTAAAGATATTTCATTTGGAAAAATACAGAGTTTTGGGAGCTGCAATTTGGTTTCATAGCCATCATACTAAACAATAATGAGAAACACTGCACTGTTTTTTTTCTATAAATCAATGATTAGTATCTTTCTTCTTAAAGGATTTTATGCAAGATATCTCAAGGGGTCAGATGCTTACTTAGTGTTTTTGCTAGATTAGCATTTTTCTCTAGTAACAGATACAGGAAAATGACATTCTTTCTATCTTTGTGTGTGTGTGTGTGTGTGTGTGTGCATGTGTGTGTGTGTTAGGAGAGAGAGAATGAAAGGGAGGAGATCTTATAGGCAAGGTACGCCTAAAGTAGTAATTCCACTTACTATCCAAAGCAATATGTGCTACTATGGATTAGTTGTCAATCTTCCAAATTGGTTCCAGTCAGTGATTAGGAATACCTGGGCTGACATATCACCCCTATAGATCTCTTTTCCTCCAATCTACTCCCTATTCCTCACCTGCCCAGATTTCCCAGTTTATTTTCTGCCTCCTTTTCTGGGGTGAACTGATGACACATATTTATTACTTTGAAAGTATATAAGCTTGCCATCATCTTTTGACTCTTAACTGTGAACTGGGGCACTTAAAAAGTGTACAGTGTCCAGAACAGCGAACACATAACTGGAAAGGAGTTAATAGCAAGGCTGCAGCAATGGTAAAACAACCCAGTTAGCTGTCAGAGGTTAAATGTATAAGCTGTGGACGTAAGTACTCACCAAAGCCTCCAGTTTTAGAATACTCAGGTCCAGACCTCAGATTCTGACATATCCTCTCTCTAAATTCGCCTGTAGTATCATAGTCCACATTTTCTTACTGTAAGCCGTGCTACATTGGCCTTTTTCAAAGAGTGATGAAACGCTAACAGCTCCAGCAGAATGTGGCAGAGCAATTGGAACAAAACCACAGATGAGCAGAAGCTTGGCACTCACTGCCTCCAAGGGCAGAGCAGTTGAATTAATCCTTTCCAAATGCAACTAATTGGATCTTCAACTCCAAAGTAAATAGAGATAAGGCTTATTAGATTACAATATTCATAAGTAGGGAAGATTCAGCAAGTACTAGGGGTAGGCAGAAAAAAAGCAATTCTATTAGGGCCAAGATTTAAACATGCTAAAACTTGGAGCAAGAAAAAACATATAACTAATCTTCACATAAAAAATGTTTGAGAGGTGTATTAATTATGTCTGCAAATGAAGGTTCAGTAATCTAGGAAGTAAAATGCCCACTCCAGAAATGCTGGTACATCTCTATCTCAGAGATCATTAGGATTCATTTGACTCCAAGGGGGAACCACCTCATCTGTACCCATCTGTTGATTGCAAAAACTTTTGTTGAGTGTCTATTTATATGGCTCACATACATCTCAGTGTCACAGGGAGTATAAATCCAGACAGAAAGCAAAATGGCCTCTGTCCTAGGAAGAGAAATCGCCAATATTATGACTGCTAAGACACGCTTTCTTCTAAGCGAGTGTACCTGACTTCTCTATTCTCATGAACTTCCCAGGACCTGACTACCTTGGACCTATGTCTCCCATCTGCTTCGTTCTCCATTTGATTCTCACTTCTGTACTGCACATGGGTTCTTGCTGACCTCAGGGTCTGACTCTGCCTAGCTGGTTCCTGCCACATACTGTTCTGGCTTCCCCATGACTGCCCATGTTCTGGTATAGATTATATAATACATGCAAAGATGTTTAAGGGAAAAAAATGAACAAGCAGATTTAACAAACCTGCTTTTCAGCCAAATTAACTTGCTTTTATTTCTCAAAATCATGGGAAGTCTGCCTACTTCCACTAGATATACCATTCTAAATTTATTAGCACCCATAGAAAGCCTTTATTTCATAATATTTGAATTTTCATATATATATATATATATATATATATATATATATATATAGGCTTCATATGTATACATGTATATATATATGTAAATATATATATAAGTACTGTATATATATATGAAATTTAAACATTATGAGATATATATATATCTCCATCCTACTGTCAAAAATGTGATTCAGGAGAAATCTAGGAGTTGTTCTGGATAGCTATCCTCCAGAGGATACAAAGAAACAACTTTCACTCTCTTTGCAACTTATAAAAGTAATACAAAGTTTCTTTTTTATCCATTTGCTAATGATGGCCAGGCTTTGTGTGTGTGTGACATCATAGCTCTTTATCCGAAGACCCCCATGGGAACATTCATGGCTTATGCATGCTGCCAAGAGGTGTAACTTTTGGTGTCCAAAAACAGGGCTCAGAACAGTCTTGGGACAGAGAGTCCTGAGGGTACCTCCGGGTGGTAAATGGAATCATTTCAACTTCTCTTGGTGTCATAAAATCTCCATGAAACATTTCACCACCATCCACCAGAAGGTCCCACATTCGAGACACCTCACTCCAGGACTCAGGCATTCAGGGAGTAGGAGGACCAACGGCATATCAATGTTTAGCATTTGCTAATTACTTTTCTCTCTTTTATTGACTGCTGGAAGGTTTCTTTGCATGATAAGAGTAAAAAAACACAGAACTGGTTTGGGGAATTACTTGTTCTTAACTACAGACTTCCTAGGTGTAATTGGGAAGTGCCGTTTCCACAAGCAAGAAGAAAAGGTAATATCAAATGGGTGATTTTTCTTCCTCTTCCTCTTCTTCTTTTAATGCTGGTAAGCAAAAAGCCAGAAACCAAGGATCCTCCCTTCCTGGATCAAACTGCCGTTTGTGGATTGTGTTGCAGAATGGGCCTGGCATCCTTCTTGAGGAGTGAGATTTAGGAGGAGACAGTGTGGGCTTTCAGTCCAGGCCTGGGCTTGAAACCTGCCCATGCCATTTATTACATTCCTTATCTCACTGAGTTTCATCTATAAATCACAAGTAATAATTCCTACCTGACAAGTTCAGTGTGAGGAGAAAATGTAATTGATGGTGGGGCACCTAGCGTAGAGCCAACTCTCAGCAAACAGTGGCTATTGGTTTGTTGTTGTTTTGAGACAGTGTCTCACTCTGCTGCCCAGGCTGGAGTGCAGTAGTGTGATCTTGGCTCACCGAAACCTCTGCCTGCGGGGTTCAAGCAATTCTCCTGCCTCAGCCTCCTGAGTAGCTGGGTTTACAGGCATGGACCACCATGACTGGATAATTTTTGTATTTTTAGTACAGATGGGGTTTCGTCATGTTGGCCGGGCTGGTCTCTAACTTCTGGCCTCAAGTGATCCACCTGCCCTGGCCTCACAAAGTGCTGGGATTACAGGCATATTGTCATTTTAAATTTAAAATGCAAGACAATGATAACCTGGCTCTTGGGAGACTACTGTATCTAATTGAAAGAATGATATAAAAAAACCACAGAACTCTGTTTTTTTAAGTGATTAAAACTCAAATCTATGATAATTTGTCATATACTTCATTTTCCAAGTACTCACTGACATAATTTGGGCTATTTTATTTCAGACTGTGGGTAAGTTACTTAATTGTATTTCTATTTTTCCAACACCATGCATATTTTGTCTCCAAATAGGCTGGAACTCTTAAGGTACTTAAACTTTACTCACAGAAAATTCTCAATGAATTCTTGTTGGAAGAATAAAACAATTTACAGAGGCTGGGAAGGTTATGGGGGAGGAAGGATAAACAGAAGTTAATTAATGGGTAAAAACATACAGTTTGATAGAAGAAATAAGACCTAGTGTTTGAAAGAGAAGTAGGGTAACTATAGTTTACGAGAATATATTGTACATTCTAAAATAGCTAGAAGAGAAGAATTCAAATATTTCTACCATAGAGAAAAGACAAATACTTATGGTGATGGCTATCCCAAGTACACTGATTTGATATTTACAGATCATATGAATATATTATCACATGTATTCAAAAACTATGTACATCTGTTACGCACCAATAAAAATGCTTTTAAAAGATCTGAGAACAGACATACTGCCTCCTCAAGTGGGTTCCTGACCCCCAAGTAGCCTAATTGGGAGACACCTCCCAGTAGGGGCCGACTGACACCTCACACGGCCGGGTGCCCCTCTGAGACGAAGCTGCTGTTGTGCAGCCTCCGCTGGTGATACCCAGGCAAACAGGGTCTCGAGTGGACCTCCAGCAAACTCCAACAGATCTGCAGCTGAGGGTCCTGACTGTTAGAAGGAAAACTAACAAACAGAAAGGACAAACACTCCAAAACCCCATCTGTACATTACCATCATCAAAGACCAAAGGTAGATAAAACCACAAAGATGGGTAGAAACCAGAGCAGAAAAGCTGAAAATTCTAAAAATCAGAGCGCCTCTTCTCCTCCAAAGGAATGCAGCTCCTCGCCAGCAACGGAACAAAGCTGGACGGAGAATGACTTTGACGAGTTGAGAGAAGAAGGCTTCAGGTGATCGGTAATAACAAACTTCTCCGAGCTAAAGGAGGATGTTTGAACCCATTGCAAAATAAGCTAAAAACCTTGAAAAAAGATTAGACAAATGACTAACTAGAATAAACAGCCTAGAGAAGACCTTAAATGACCTGATGGAGCTGAAAACCATGGCACGAGAACTACGTGACACATGCACAAGCTTCAATAGCCAATTCGATCAAGTGGAAGAAAGGGTATCAGTGATGGAAGATCAAATGAATGAAATGAAGCGAGAAGAGAAGTTTAGAGAAAAAAGAGTAAAAAGAAATGAACAAATCCTCCAAGAAATGAGACTATGTAAAAAGACAAATCTAAGTCTGATGGGTGTACCTGAAAGTGACTGGGAGAATGGAACCAAGTTGGAAAACACTCAGCAGGATATTATCCAGGAGAACTTCCCAAACCTAGCAAGGAAGGCCAACATTCAAATTCAGGAAATACAGAGAATGCAATGAGAAGAGCAACTCCAAGGCACATAATTGTCAGATTCACCAAAGTTGAAACGAAGAAAAAATGTTAAGGGCAGCCAGAGAGAAAGGTCGGGTTACCCACAAAGGGAAGCCCAGCAGACTAACAGCAGATCTCTTGGTACAAACTCTACAAGCCAGAAGAGAGTGGGGGCCAATATTCAACATTCTCAAAGAAAGGAATTTTCAACCCAGAATTTCATATCAGGCCAAACTACGCTTCATAAGTGGAGGAGAAATAAAATCCTTTAAAGACAAGCAAATGCTGAGAGATTTTGTCACCACCAGGCCTGCCCTAAAAGAGCTCCTGAAGGAAGCACTAAACATGGAAAGGAACAACCGGTACGAGCCACTGAAAAAACATGCCAAATTGTAAAGACCATCCAGGCTAGGAAGAAACTGCATCAACTAACGAGCAAAATAACCAGCTAACATCATAATGACAGGATCAAATTCACACATAACAGTATTAACCTTAAATGTAAATGGGCTAAATGCTCCAATTAAAAGACACAGACTGGCAAATTGGATAAAGAGTCAAGACCCATCAGTGTGCTGTATTCAGGAGACACATCTCATATGCAAAGACAAACATAGGCTCAAAATAAAGGGATGGAGGAAGATCTACCAAGCAAATGGAAAACAACATAAAGCAGAGGTTGCAATCCTAGTCTCTGATAAAACAGACTTTAAACCAACAAAGATCAAAAGAGACAAAGAAGGCCATTACATAATGGTAAAGGGATCAATTCAACAAGAAGAGCTAACTATCCTAAATATATATGCACCAATACAGAAGCACCCAGATTCATAAAGCAAGTTCTTAGAGACGTACAAAGAGACTAAGACTCCCATGCAATAATAATGGGAGACTTTAACACCCCACTTTCAACATTAGACAGATCAACAAGACAGAAATTTAAAAAGGATATCCAGGAATTGAATTCAGCTCTGGACCAAGCGGACCTAATAGACATCTACAGAACTCTCCACCCCAAATCAACAGAACATATATTCTTCTCAGCACCACATCACACTTATTCCAAAATTGACCACATAGTTGGAAGTAAAGCACTCCTCAGCAAATGTAAAAGAAGAGAAATTATAACAAACTGTCTCTCAGACCACAGTGCAATCAAACTAGAACTCAGGATAAGAAACTCACTCAAAACCGTTCAACTATATGGAATGTGAACAACCTGCTCCTGAATGACTACTGGGTACGTAACAAAATGAAGGCAGAAATAAAGATGTTCTTTGAAACCAATGAGAACAAAGACACAACATACCAGAATCTCTGGGACACATTTAAAGCAGTATGCAGAGGGAAATTTATAGCACTAAATGCCCACAAGAGAAAGCAGCAAAGATATAAAATTGACATCCTAACCTCACAATGAAAAGAACTAGAGAATCAAGAGCAAACACATTCCAAAGCTAGCAGAAGGCAAGAAATAACTAAAATCAGAGCAGAACTGAAGGAAATAGAGACATAAAAAAACCCTTCAAAAAATCAATGAATCCAGGAGCTGGTTTTTCTGAAAAGATCAACAAAATTGATAGGCCGCTAGCAAGACTAATAAAGAAGAAAAGAGAGAAGAATCAAATAGACGCAACAAAAAATGATAAAGGGGATATCACCACCAATCCCACAGAAATACAAACTACCATCAGGGAATACTATAAACACCTCTACACAAATAAACTAAAAAATCTAGAAGAAATGGATAAATTCCTGGACACATACACCCTCCCAAGACTAAACCAGGAAGAAGTTGAATCCCTGAATAGACTAATAACAGGCGCTGAAATTGAAGCAATGATTAATAGCCTACCAACCAGAAAAACTCCAGGACCAGACGGATTCACAGCCGAATTCTACCAGAGGTACAAAGAGGAGCTGGTACCATTCCTTCTGAAACTATTCCAATCAATAGAAAAAGAGGGAATCCTCCCTAACTCATTTTATGAGGCCAGCATCATCCTGAAACCAAAGGCTGGCAAAGACACAACAAAAAAACACAATTTTAGGCCAATATCCCTGATGAACATCGATGCAAAAAATCCTCAATAAAATACTGGCAAACCGAATCCAGCAGCACATCAAAAACTTATCCACCATGATCAAGTGGGCTTCATCCCTGGGATGCAAGCCTCGTTCAACAGATGCAAATCAATAAACATAATCCAGCATATAAACAGAACCAACGACAAAAACCACGTGATTATCTCAATAGACGCAGAAAAAGCCTTCAACAAAAATTCAACAGCTCTTCATGCTAAAAACTCTCAATAAATTAGGTATTGATGGGACGTATCTCAAAATAATAAGAGCTATTTATGGCAAACCCACAGCCAATATCATACTGAATGGGCAAACACTGGAAGCATTCCCTTTGAAAACTGGCACAAGACAGGGATGCCCTCTCTCACACTCCTATTCAACATAGTGTTGGAAGTTCTGGCCAGGGTAATCAGGCAGGAGAAAGAAATAAAGGGTATTCAATTAGGAAAAGAGGAAGTCAAATTGTCCCTGTTTGCAGATGACATGATTGTATATCTAGAAAACCCCTTTGTCTCAGCCCAAAATCTCCTTAAGCTGATAAGCAACTTCAGCAAAGTCTCAGGATACAAAATCAATGTACA
The DNA here is from genome assembly GCF_000001405.40 of Homo sapiens. Taxonomy (NCBI): domain Eukaryota; kingdom Metazoa; phylum Chordata; class Mammalia; order Primates; family Hominidae; genus Homo; species Homo sapiens. The sequence goes on from NC_000014.9 coordinate 57,744,403, forward strand.
AAAATCACAAACATTCCTATACACCAAGAACAGACAAATGGAGAGCCAAATCATGAGTGAACCCCCATTCACAATAACTTCAAAGAGAATAAAATGCCTAGGAATCCAACTTACAAGGGACATGAGGGACCTCTTCAAGGAGAACTACAAACCACTGCTCAATGAAATAAAAGAGGATACAAACAAATGGAAGAAAATTCCACGCTCATGGATAGGAAGAATCAATATCATGAAAATGGCCATACTGTCCAAGGTAATTTACAGATTCAATGCCATCCCCATCAGCTACCTTTCTTCAGAAAGAAAGCTGACTTTCTTCAGAGTATTGGAAAAAACTACTTTAAAGTTCATATGGAACCAAAAAAGGCCCACATTGCCAAGACAATCCTAAGCCAAAAGAACAAAGCTGGAGGCATCATGCTACCTGACTTCAAACTATACTACAAGGCTACAGTAGCCAAAACAGCATGGTACTGGTACCAAAACAGAGATATAGACCAATGGAACAGAACACAGCCCTCAGAAATAATACCACACATCTACTAACCATCTGATCTTTGACAAACCTGGCAAAAACAAGAAATGGGGAAAGGATTCCCTGTTTAATAAATGGTGCTGGCTAGCCATATGTAGAAAGCTGAAACTGGATCCATTCCTTACACCTTATACAAAAATTAATTCAAGGTGGATTAAAGACTTAAATGTTAGACCTAAAACCATAAAAACCCTGGAAGAAAACCTAGGCAATACCATTCAGGACATAGGCATGGGCAAGGACTTCATGTCTAAAACACCAAAAGCAATGGCAACAAAAGCCAAAATTGACAAATGGGATCTAATGAAACTAAACAGCTTCTGCACAGCAAGAGAAACTACCATCAGAGTGAACAGGCAACCTACAGAAAGGGAGAAAATTTTTACAATCTACCCATCTGACAAAGGGCTAATATCCAGAATCTACAAAGAACTTAAACAAACGTAAAAGAAAAAATCAAGCAACCCCATCAAAAAGTCCACAAAGGATGTGAACAGACACTTTTCAAAAGAAGACATTTATGCAGCCAACAGACACATGAAAAAATGCTCATCATCACTGGCCATCAGAGAAATGCAAATCAAAACCACAATGAGATTCCATCTCACACCAGTTAGAATGGCGATCATTAAAAAGTCAGGAAACAACAGGTGCTGGAGAGGATGTGGAGAAATAGGAACACTTTTACACTGTTGGTGGGACTATAAACTAGTTCAACCACTGTGGAAGGCAGTGTGGCGATTCCTCAAGGATCTAGAACTAGAAATACCATTTGACCCAGCCATCCCATTACTGGGTATATACCCAAAGGATTATAAATCATGCTACTATAAAGACACACGCACCCATATGTTTATTGCGGCACTATTCACAATAGCAAAGACTTGGAACCAACCCAAATGTCCATCAATGATAGACTGGATTAAGAAAATGTGGCACATATACACCATGGAATACTATGCAGCCATAAAAAGGATGAGTTCATGTCCTTTGTAGGGACATGGACGAAGCTGGAAACCATCATTCTCAGCAAACTATCGCAAGGACAAAAAACCAAACACCACATGTTCTCACTCATAGGTGGGAATTGAACAATGAGAACACTTGAATACAGGGTGGGGAACATCACACACTGGGGCCTGTCATGGAGTGGGGGGCAGGGGGAAGGGATAGCATTAGAAGATATATCTAATGTAAATGATGAGTTAATGGGTGCAGCACACCAACATGGCACATGTATACATATGTAACAAACCTGCACGTTGTGCACAGGTACCCCAGAGCTTAAAGTATAATTAAAAAAAAAAGAAAGTACTCAATGATTCACCATTGTTTATGATGTTAACTGTAGTGTTAACAGGTTGAGAAAGTTAATCAGGTTGATAAAGTCCCCTTCTGTTTCTATTTTACTGAGACTTTTCATAATAAATAGTGGTTGAATTTTGTTAATACTTTTTCTGTATTTTTTGTAATGATCATATTATTTTTCTCTTTGCTAACAATGTGGGTAACATTGAATTGACTTTCTGTGTAAATCAACCTTGCATCTCTGGAAAAAACTCCAATTGATCATGATGTGTTATCCTTTTTATACATTGCTGTATTCAATTTGGTAATATATTTATTTTTTGTATCTATTTCATGAGGGATATCAGTATGTAATTGTTTTTTCTTGTCATATCTTTGTTAAAAAAAGTTTTTAAAAATAAAAAAGTGCAAAAAAATGACAAATTGTAGTGATTCTTGTGTTTTGTTGTATTTGTGGTATGTGTGTGGTTGGTTGGTTGATTGGTTGTTTTTGCCTTCAAAAGCTTTGTACACTTTCAAAATGACTCAAGGGGTAGCTATTCTGCAAGCTACCATTTATTAACCAGAAATGCAAAGTTAGAGAAAATATGTTTTTTAAACGACAGAATGGTTGTTATAAAAGGGTAAAGAGTGCAGTTGGGACCACATGTCTGGATTCAAGTCCATTAGTAAGGGCTTTGAGGTATGGCCATCTACCTGCCATCTCCTGCCCTACACAGGAAAGAAACCTGGAAGAAATCCTAAGCACAGAAGTTTTTGAGATAGTTCACTTTTTCTACATGAACTGAGATTTTTAAAAATATACAGTATCCATTCCATTGGGACATTCAGCATCTTGAGGAATAAAACAAAACAAAAAGGAAATAAACATGTAAGCAATAGTACTCCCTAAAATATTTGTCTTGCTCTTTTGAAGGTTATCTCAGAACAAAGGGCCTGGCTGTTATGATACACGCAAATAAAAAGACTCGAGTCATAAAGTTGAGAGCCTTAGAGGGCACGTGCTTACTGCACTGGGCATTGCTGGGCTTCATGCCATCAGGGACTGATAAGAGACTCAGTGACAAATTGAATGAAAACGTGAAGTATTTGCTGGGTTAGCCTACCTTTGCAATAAACATAACCAAAAGATTGGACTATGTCTTAAGTATATTACTAAGGGTGTTTCTAATTTTGACTACCTTTTAAAAATATTTTCATATGAAACATTTCAAATAGGATGCAAGAGTAAAGAAAAGGGTATGATGAACCCCCAGTATGGTATTGTGAACCCTAATGTACCCACCATCCAGCTCCAACAATTGGCAACCCTTGGGCAATCTTGCTCCATCTATTCTGCTAACTACTTCCCTGCTTCTGGATTATTTTGAAGCAAATCTCATTTCATTACATCACTTCAACCATCAATACTTCAGAATATCTCTTTAAAAGATTAGAATTCTATTCTTATACCTAGCTGCAATACTATTATGCTACCTAAAAACATTTATAGTAATTTCTTGATGTCATTAAATATTCAACTCCAACTACTTTTTGCATAATTATATACAAGTTAATTGTATAAAAGCTGACATATTCACATGAAAATGACAGCTGCCAAAGGCAGAGGCCCAAAATCCCTGAATGTTCTTAGTTAGATTTAAATTATTGATAGAAAAGAATGTCTTGCCTAGGCTTCAAGAACAAAAGTCTATTTCAGTAAAGAAAGCAATTCACTTTTAGGAGCATTTACTTTCCCCAGTGTACTTAAACAGTACATTTAATCCATCCACTTAACTAAAAATGATGGAGTGCCTGCACATGGAAAATTGAAAGCATTTTATTTTTAGGCTCAAGTTGTAGAACTCTATACATGACCAAGAAAACATCATAGAAATCTAATGAAGCCAGCTTGACTAAGCCAGCAGTTGGTTAATTTTTTGGTTTAATACAGAAAAACTGTCTTGAGTTTTTCACTGGTAGGTTAGAAAAATCAAGAATATAGACTATTGGAGCCCCAAATACTGAATTCTGGGACTGCTTCCATGGTATATTGACAATCCAGATGGTGTGTATGTATGTGTGTATTTAGTCTACTCAATTTTTATCACATGTATAGGTTCATATATTTACCGCCACAGTCAAGATATAGAACAGTTTCAATACAGGGATCCCTCACACTACCCTTTTATAGCTACAGTGGGTTTTTTTTAAAGGTATGATTCAGGAACCACCTGCATCAGAATCATCTGCAAGTGGGGGCCAGGTATTGCTTAAACAGGGCCTCACTCAACAACAGCTGAGTCATGAGTCAGAGATGCCAAAGACTGGATCTGGAAATCTGCATTTTAACAAGATACCAAAGAAATTTTTATTTATACAGTACTAAGTTTTGAGAACCTTTGTCTTATTTCAGCATTCTGTCTAGAGTGTATATTTTACTTAAAACTAGGCCTGAAGATATCCAGAACTTTTAAATTAAGGTACAATTAGAATTGTTGCATCTAAATATAATGAATCTAGTCCAAGCTCAAATGGAAAGGCTATTTTGGAATTAGAGGAGAAAAGCAATGTGTATAGTGTAGAGAAAAGCCATGTGTATAGCTGCATATAGAGTCAACTAAAATTGCAAAGTTTAGACTGTAAATTCCAAAATAGACAATATCAAACAAACCTCTTTACTAGCTCCTACCTAGGCACTGTGCTAGGTACTTCACAAACACAAGGTATTTCACCTTCATCTTAACTCTGTTGTGGGTCTGAAGGTTCACATTTTACAGATGAAGATACAAAGGCCCAGAGAAAAACTTATCCAACAGATACAGAGCTGGTAAGCAGCTGAGCTTGGGTTCAAATATACTAATAGATATGCCTGACATCAATATTCAACTCCGTGATGCCAAGAATTATATATAAAACACAGGACAGTAGAAACAGGTTGGTATGAATACTCTCCAAATGTCCTTTTTTTTGTGATTGAAATTTTATTCTCATTAAATTTTACTGCTGTTGTCATCCTTTTTGTTTGGGGATAGGATCACGATAGGACAGGACAGTGCCACCCAAAGTATCTGTTACCAGACTGCAACTTAAGTATAAAAATTGGGAGTAACCATTCAGAAACTTTCATAGCAATTTGACATTAATGTGACATCCAAGTGAATGATCAGCGGATTTGTCTCATTAAACAAAACAACGGCCAGTGCAGAATGCCAAACTTGCAGGGTGACTCCCACATGACTCAATACATACTGATCATACACAGCAGTACCATGCATGGGTCTGTGACGGGTTTAAAAAAAAAACAAATGGGTCTTTCCCTACAGATAGCTTAAAAAGCACTAGGCTTTGCAGTTGAAGTTTAAAGGTGTAATAAATGTACTCTGCTTCCCATTTGTCCCTGGTACAGGGCAGATACAAGGTGACCAGCCTCTCAGAAGCTGCCCAAGCCCTATAGAGCCTCCTTTGGGGACTTATCAAGGTGTCCTCAGACTAGTGACCATGACACCAACTATGCTGTTCTTTCACCAAGGTCAGTTCTTAACATGTTTAATTATTTCATAGAGAGTGGGCATGTAAGGGAAACCTAAGAGGGGAGGAATTGGAACTTAATATTCATTCCCAAGTATCTCACACATGACTTGCAGTGGCCATCTCTATTTGAAATCTAATGTTAATTTTTTAATTTATATACATTTATGGGATATAAGTGCAATTTTGTTACTTGTGTAGTGATCAAGTCAGGGATTTTAGGGTATCTATCACCCTAAATAACACATGTTGTACTCGTTAAGTAATTTCTCATCATCCACCCCTCTCATCTCCTCACCCTGAGTCTCCAGTGTCTGTTATCCCACTCTCTATGGCCATATGTACACATTTTTAGCACCCACTTAAGAGTGAAAACATGCGGTATTTGTCTTTCAGTGTCTGAGTCATTTTACTTAAGATAATGATGTCCATTTCCATCCATGTTGCTGCAAATGACAGGATTTCATTCTTTTTTTTAGTCTGAATAGTATTTCATTGTGTATATATATACCACATTTTCTTTATCCAGTCATCTGTAGATGGATGCTTAGGTTGATTCCATATCTTTGCTATTCCAAATAGTGCTGTGGTAAACATAGGAGTGCAGGTATCTTTGATATATTGATTACTTTTCCTTTGGATAGATACCCAGTAGTGGGATTGCTGGATCAAATGGTAATTCTATTTGAAAAATCTTCATACTGTTTTCTATAGAGGTTGTACTAATTTACATTCCCACCAACAGTGTATAAGAGTTTCCTTTTATCCACATTGTTGCCAACATCTAATATGTTTTCTTTGTAGTAATAGCCATTCTAACTGGGTTAAGCTAATCTCATTATGGTTTTCATTTGCATTTCCCTGATGATTAGCAATGTTGAACATTTTTTGCACATATCTGTTGGCCATTTGTATGTCTTCTTTTGAGAAATGTCTATTCGTGTCCTTGGCCTGCTTTTTAATGGAATTATTTGGGTTTGTTGTTGTTGTTGTTGTTGCTGAGTTGTTTGAACTTTTTGTATATTCTGGATATTAGTCCCCTGTCTGATGAATAGTTTCAAATATTTTCTCCCATTCTGTGGTTAATTTGTAGGCAGTTTCACTTGTGGTGGTTAACTTATAGGCAGTCACTTTTGTTGTGATGGCTGGTCTTTCCTTTGGCCTAATTTTATTGTTAGTCAACAAGGCTTTGGATTCAGAATCTGACATCCCTTGTCTCACCCGCCCAGTCTCCTCCGTCTCCGTTTATCTAGCACACGTTACTTACAGCATCAGCATCATCATTACAGCAGCTACAATAGACTGAAAACCAATGTGTCAAACATGGGGCAGGGACTTTATGTAAATTATTTCATTTAACTCATAAAAACTACATAAAGTACATATAATTATCCCCATTTTCCATAAGAAGGAACTAAAGCTTAGGAAGGTTATTTTTTCTGGGTGACATGGTTAATAAGAAGCAGGGCAAAACTTTGATTTCAAACCCTGTGCTCCTAACCACTTCAGGTAAGTAAATATTCAACATTGTTAATATCTCCATGTAGTTAGTAGTAAGTATCTCTACTTTAAAGATGAGAAAATTGGCATAGAGAGAAGGTAAGACACCCAGTAATAAGGCAAGTGAGTTCTCCTGACTCAGAATGATGTCCTTCAGGCTAAAGCTCACTTAGAGATTGCTTTTTTCCTTTTGTTACTGTTATCCACAAATGTTCTACTATGCTGTTTTTAAGTCATTCATTGTACTGTATACATGGAGATTTACTTGAGCTGAATATCTCAGAAAAGGCAACAACGAAACACGTCGATTTACTTTAAGTTGTGAAATCCTAGTGCTTCTAGACTGTGTTTTTTTTACTTTGGTTAATATTTGATTAAGGCTCCTTATAGTTTGAAGGCAAAATGAGATTGTGTACAAAGAAAGCAAGCTAAACTACATTACAAGGAATAGGACAAAAATGGAAGAACATTAGTTCTCAAAAATTATGGTGGCTATGTTAAAAATTCTATGGTCACAATGAAAATATCACATAGCACTTATGAGGGCATTGACAGTTTTTTGAGGTATAAAATTTGGCCTTCACTAAATTTTTAATGTCAATATGGAATACTGAATCTAAATACTGGGATTCTAAAAATAAGCCCTTAAAAAACATTTCTCTCTCTCTCTCTCTCTCTCTCTGTGTGTGTGTGTGTGTTTGTGTATTTTTTCCCCACAACCAGGTGATTCATTATTTTTTCCAAATACATGGGTAGAGAAAGGAAAATTGCCGATTAGACCTTCCTTTTCCAGGCTCCCAGGACAGCTCGTCTCTCTCCTCACATGGCTTTTGATTTTTCTGTTGGAGCCAAGGTACTTAATGTAGTCCCTAGAAAGTAACTCTAGAAAGAGGGATTAAGTTTGTTAGGAGGAGCAGGATGAAGGGTTTCTAAGAGAATTTCTTACATTTTAATGTTTGTGGTTTTATTGCACTAATTCCTTTATTTTTTCATAACAATTCCCCAACTTAAGAGTTCACTTGACTAAAGTCTAAGGTGTCACTTGAACTTGTTCTCCCCAAAGAGGACTCCTTAACCTTATTAACACCCTCTCCACCCTCCCTTGCTCCAGCTCCAGCTGATTGGAAGAAAGTAACTTGAGTCCATCGGTCGGCTCTGCTAGGACACTTGATGTGGAGATGGAAAGCCCTGAGGTTTTTTTTTTTCTTTTTTTTCTTTTTTTTTGAGACGGAGTCTTGCTCTGTCGCCAGGCCGGAGTGCAGTGGTGTGATCTCGGCTCACTGCAACGTCCGCCTCCTGGGTTCAAGCTGTTCTTCTGCCTCAGCCTCCCGAGTAACTGGGACTACAGGCGCACACTACCATACCAGGCTAATTTTTGTATTTTTAGTAGAGATGGAGTTTCACCACGTTGGCCAGGATGGTCTCAATCTCCTGACCTCATGATCCACCCGCCTCGGCCTCCCAAAGTGCTGGGATTACAGGCGTGAGCCACTGCACCTGGCCGGAAAGCCTTGTCTTTTGTAGGGAGCCAAAATGGTCTTCACCCATGAGGGTCTGAAACAGCCATTTCCTATTGTGTTTAAGAAACACTGACACCTCAGGAAAGCACAAATGAACCTGCTGTTGCTACAGCAGAAGCAGGAGAGTAGGTGTGTCACTACCTGGGGAAGCAAGTAAAAATGCCTCCTTAACGGGCAGTCATGTGACCAGGGCTCTCTCTACTAACTCTCACATTGCTACTGATATTCTCTTCACTCCTCCCTCAGGCGTCAGGATGCTCAGGGGATTGGCTTTAGTACTGAGAACTGCCGGGGAGAGAAGAGAGATTTTGCTTTCAAGGCACAGCCACATGTTCATGTTGGGGCTGCGCCTGTGGCCTCATTATGATATGCACTATTTCTTGGGTGTTCTGGTAGTCTTTGATGAAGTGGTGGTTTCTGCAAAGATGGCATGTATAATCTTCTTGGGATTGTGTTCAACTGTACACAAGCCCCGCTATCACTAGGACTCCTCCAAAGGAGCTGCCATGTTTTCCTTAGGCTGCCCAGTGATTAGATTCTCCTCTGGGTTGGATTCCCCAATACTTGGCCCAGTAAGTAGCACCTGGGCAGCCCCATGGCTCAAGGCTGTCTACCAGCTTCCCTGAGCCTTTACAGGGAGTAGTAGGGTCCTCAGAGGCACTCTTCTGTATCCTCTGAGGGCTGAGGAGATGAGTATGGGGGAGGGGTTTCCTAGATACCTCACACCATGGTCTTTTCAAACCCTGTTGGCACAAGCTGCTTTCTCAGGCCTTCACACATCTCTAGACCAGACGCAGGTGTTCCTTGATCTGTTTCCCACAACTCTCAAACTTCAGGGAAACCATGTAAAACTCCCCCTACCCACAAAGAATTCTCTTACATACCACTTTGAGGGCAGCACCAAGAAGGGACTGTGAGTTCTTCAGTTCAGGGAGCTGCTGCCCTTCTTCCAGGCTACCCAACCTCTTCCTGATTCTCCACCTGTCCCTCTTCTTTAGGGTGGAGGGGAGAGAATAGCTCCTATTTTCCATAAACACTGGCCTCCACCCAGGGTAGCTTCCTCCCATTTGGCCCTTTTCTTATATTGTCTAGGGTGGGAGGTATCTGTACCAGTTCTATATGATTGGTGTCTGAGCAGCCTTGAAAGAAAGCTCTCTGTCCCCAAATGGGACTGGCTCATGGGCAGCTCCATGGATTGAGAATGTGTGTGACAAAGATTTCCCTTCCCTCTCAGGATTAGTCCAATTACCAGGACAATAGGAAAAGCTCCTCTAAACATCCTCTACACAGAGATAAGATCCTTTACAATGACTAACCCAATGCTTTTTTTTTTTTTTTTTTTTTTTGAGATGAGTCTCAGTCTGTCACCCAGGCTGGAGTGCAGTGTGCGTGATCTCGGCTCGCTGCAACCCTGCCTCCCAGGTTCAAGCGATTCTCCTGCCTCAGCCTCCCAAGTGTCTGGGATTACACACACATGCCACCAGGCCTAGCTGATTTTTTTGTATTTTTAGTAGAGATGGGGTTTCACCATGTTGGCCAGTCTGGTCTCGAACTCCTGACCTCAGGTGATCCATCCACCTTGGCCTCCCAAAGTACTGGGATTACAGGCTTGAGCCACCACGCCTGGAAAACCAATGTATTTTAATGTTTGTAACTTAGATGTTGGTTCCCTTGCATCCTTCTTCCTGTGAGGTTTATCACCCAAGGGTATAAGAGAGCTCATACTTAGGAAAACTTCAACAAGACCACAGGTTTCACTCAGGAACCAGATTTATTAAATTATTCTAGCTCCCTTTCAAGGCCAGCTTTATGAGTGCATGACCCGTGCATGGAGCCTCCCGAGATTCGTAATAAGTTCTGAGAAAAGGGCCTTGCCTTTCATCTTGTATCAGGGCTCATGAATTATGTGGCCTTCCTGCTCCTGTTAGTGTATTCCACCTAGCACAGGCCTCACGGCCTCTGGGTATAGCAAAGATAAGAATCAGTGAAATAAAAAAGAAAGAAAAATCAATATTTTCTGGTCAGAGGAAACCAGGAGGCAGAGACACGTAGGAAAGCAACCTGACTGATCAGCAGTGTGTCCTGATTTCCCTTCTCTGACTGAAGCCCAGAGAGGGAAAGGAACATAATAAGATAGGTTTGGAGGAGCCAGATGGAAGAGGCTTCGATTCCTGGTCCTAATCAGAAATCTGGCAAGAGAGTCAGTCTGCCCCTTCTCAAAGGGAGCCCGGGCCCAGCAATGTAAACTTCGTGGTGTGGAATGGTTCAGCACAGGGGAGACGTGAAAGCTCTCTAGCCAGCCTGGCTCCTGTCCCATGTGGATTGGAGTCAGTTGTTCCCTTGACCCCCAGGAGCAGACTGGAAAGCCTTCAGTGAACCCAATTTAGTGGCCCTCCAATCCACCCTGGACCCACCACAGGGCTCGCTGTGTTGGCGGGGTTCTAGGCCAAGACTAGGGAGGCTTTCCAGTGGGGGGCCCTGACGAAGGGGCTTCAGCCACGGAAATCTAAATGACAATGCAGGGTGAATCTGAGAACCCTGGCACTCTGCCAGGACAAATTCCCATGAGCCCCACTCCTGTCATAACCCAGAGAGTAGGGAGCAGAAATAAGAGAGGCAAGCACAATCTAAAAGGCCTATTTTAAATGATGGTCTAATCAGTTCAATGTGGGGTTGACAACTGCTTCTTTCTCACTCCTTTGTAGGTGGGAGTTTGTGAGGAAGACTGGGTTGATCATAAACAAAAATAATATAATTAAATTTCTTTTGCACCCCTAAGCTCATAACACTGCTATATTTTATGTTGTCCCAAGTGCTCCATTGACATTTTAATTATGCATTATAAAAGAACACAAAGATAGGTGTAAGTCAAATCCACACATATAATCCCCAAGCTATAATTTAATAATTCCAAATTCTCTCTTACCAAAACTTATGCTTCATAGTTTACTGCAGTTTTACTAAATTGCTTTCACAAACATTGTCTTATTTGACCTCACAATGATCCCGCAAGGCAGGCAGGAAAAATAACATTGTCCACATTTCGCAGGGGACTCAAGGATGCTACATGACGTGTCTAAGGCCACAAAGCCATTAAGAGGCACTGCCAGCCTCGGAGGCCAGGCTAGACTCCATGTGCTCTTCTATCATACCACGCCATTCATACCTGTTCAACACGTTATTATCAGACTGCTACAACGTGACAAATGTAGTGATGCCTTACTCTTTCTGACTCTGCTAATCCACTTCCCTTCATGGTCAGGGAACTTTTGCAGGCAGTTGCCCTGTTTTCCATTTCATTAATTCCTGCTCTGACCTTTATTATTTCCTGCCTTCTGCTTACTTTGATTTCATTTTCTCCTTTTTTTCTAGTCTCTTAAGATGGAAGCTGAGATCTTTGATTAAAGCTTTTTTAATATAAGCCTTTAATGCCACACATTTTCCTCCAAATACTGTTCTAGCAGTGTCACACACCTTTTGGTGGTATTTTCCTTCATTTCATTTTCATTTCATTCAGTGCAAATTTCAAAGAAGACATTTTTGATCTATGGTTTTCTTTTTTTAGAAGTGTGTTAGTCTCCAAATATTGACAAGATTTTCTAGATACGTTTTTGTATCTGAATATTGGAATGAAATTCCAATTTAATTCCAATGGAAGCAGAAAACATACTCTGTATGACTTAAATCTTTTAACATTTCAGACTTATTTTTATTGCTAGGATATGGTCTATCTTGGTAAATATTCTGTGTGTTTTCTGCTGTTTTGTATATATAAATGTTATATAACATATAAATATTATATAAATATTGATTAGGTCAAGTTTGTTGATAATGTTGTTCAAGTCTTCTATATCCTTACTGACTTTTTATCTACTTGTTCTGTTATTTTTGTTTTTTGAGACAGGGTCCCACTCTGTTGCCCAGGCTGGAGTGCAGTGGCATGATCTTGGCTCCCTGCAGCCTTGACCTCCCAGGCTCAAGCAACCCTCCCATCTTGGCCTCCCAAGTAGTTGGGACCGCAGGCATGCACCACCAAATCTGCCTAATTTTTTTTTTTTTAATTTTTTGTAGAGACAGGTTTTCACCATGTTGCCCAAGCTGATCTCGAACTCCTGAGCCCAAATGATCCTTGAACCATGGCCTCCCAAAGTGTTGGGATTACAGGCATGAGTCACCATACTCAGCCTTGTTCTATCAATTATTTAGAAAGGGATACTAAAATATTTGACTATAATTGTGAATGTTTTCATTTCTCTTTGCAATTCTCTGAGTTTTTCCTTCATGTATTTTGAAGTTCTATTATTAGGTGCGTGAACATCTAGGACTTTTATTTCCTCTTGTTGAAATTGATCCCATTATCATTATGAAGTGACCTGCTTTATCTCTGGTGTTACTCTTTGCGCTGAAATTTTTGCTTGATATTAATATGGCCAGTGACATGAGTTTTCTATTGATTAGCATTTTCATGGTTTATGTTTTGCCACATTTTTACTTTTAATCTCTTTGTGCTCAAATATTTAAAGCAGGTTTCCTGTAACAGCATTATATTTAGGTCTTGCCTTTTTATCTAATGTGACAATCTTTCAATTGGGATCTTTATTTACCTTTCACTCTAACATGTTGATATTTGTTTTTATTAGCGCCATCTGTTCTATGTTCTGTTTTTCATTTTTTACTGTCATCTTTTAGATGAAGTGAGTTTTTTAAATGATTATATTTTATTTTCTTTTTTGGCTTATTAACTATAATTCTTTGTTGTTTTACTTATTTGTTTTTATCAGTTTCTTTAGAGTTCATGGTACATGTCTAAAACTTATTATAGTCTACCTTCAAGCAATAATATGTCACTTACATGTATACTAAGAACTTTACAATAATATACTTCCATTTATTTTCTCCCAGACTTTATGCAATTTTTATCATCATTCTTACTTCTACTTTTGTTATAAACCCCAGACTATACTGTTGTTTTTGCTGTTAACAATTATCTTTTAAAGATACTTAAAACATAAGAAACATTTTACATATTTAGTCACATAGTTACCATTTTCTGTACTCTTCATTCTTTTATGTAGATTTGGATTTCCACCTAGCATAATTTTTCTTCTGTTAGAGTCCCCTGTGGTTCTTCAGTTGACAAATTCTGTCAGCTTTGGTATGTGTGATAAAGGCTTTATTTCTCCTTCATTTAGAAATTTTTTTTCTGGGTATAGGATTATAGGTTCATGTGTGTGTGTGTGTGTGTGTGTGTGTGTGTGTGTGTGTGTTATTTTAATACTTTTAAAAACGTTGCACCACTGGCTTTTCACTTGCATTATTTCTGGTGAGAAATCTGCAGACACTCTTATTTTTTTCTCTGTAAATAATATGTTTTTTTGTCTCTGGCTGCTTTTAGATTTTCTCTTTATCAATGGTTTTGGACAATTTAATTATGATACGCTTTAGTGAAGTTTTCTTCATGTTTCTCATCCTTGAGATTTGTTTAGTTTCCTGGTTTGGTATATGTGAACACTAATTACCCATATATATGCCTTTTGAAATTGTTGTACAGTTGAGTAATACTCCATTACTTTATTTTTTTCTTAGTCTTTTTTCTCTGTATGTATCATCTTGGATAGTTTCTATTGTTATAACTTCAAGTTGATGCATATTATCTTCTGTAATATCTAATTTGCCAATAATCCTATTCAGTATGTTTTTTATCCCAGATATTATAGTTTTCTCTATGATTTGATTCCAGTCATATATATATATTCCATGTCTTAACATTGTCAATATTTCTTCTAGCTTTTCAAATATATGGAATATAGTTATAATAACTGTCTTAATGTCCTTGTCTGCTAATTCTAATGTCTGTGTCAGTTTTCTTAATGGATTTTTCTCTTTATTATGGGTCATATTTTTGCTTATTTTTAAGCGTGGTAATCTTTGACTAGATGCCAGGTGTTGTAAATTGTTGGACTTTGGATTTTTCTTTTACTGTAAAAACCCTTAACATGAGATATACTCATTAAAAAATTCTATATAATAAATTGCAATATTGTATAGAAGATCTCTAGAAGCTATTCTTCTTGCATAACTGACAGTTTATAATCATTGAACAGGAACTCTCCATTTCCCCCTCCGCCCAACCCTTGGAAACCACCATTCTATCCTCTTTCTATGAGTTTGACTATTATAAACACCTCATATAAGTGGAATCATGCAATAAATCTAATTCTGTGACTGGTTTATTTCACTTAGCATAATGTCCCCTGGAATCATCTATGTTGTTATATATGTCGGGACTTGCTTCTTTTTTAAGGCTGAATAATATTACTTTGCATGTTTATATCATATTTTCTCTATTCATCTACTGATGGACATTTAGATTGCTTTCCCCTCTTGGCAATGGTGAATAAAGCTGTAATAAATATGGGAGTACAGATAATTCTTTGATATCCTTATTTCAGTTATTTTGGTTATATACCCAGAAGTGTAACTGCTGGATCATATGGTAGTTCTATTTTTGATCTTTTGAGGGGCTGGGCATGGTGGCTCACATCTGTAATCCCAGCACTTTGGGAGGGTGATGTGAGTGGATTGCTTGAACCTAGGAGTGCAAGACCAGCCTGGACAACATGGTGAAACCCCATCCCTACACAAAATACAAAAATTAGCTAGGCATAGTGGTGCATGCCTGTGATCCCAGCTACTAGGAAGACTGAGGTGGGAGGATCACCTGAGCCCAAGAAATTGAGGCTGCCATGAGCTATGTTTGTGCCACTGCACTCCAGCCTGGGTGACAGAGCAAAAAAAGAAAAAAAAAATTCTTTTTTAGGGAACTGTATACTCTTTTACATAGTGGTTACATAGAGACATTTTACATTCTCAGTAGCAGTGTACAAGGTTTCCAATGTCTCCAAACTCTTGCCAACACTTATCTTTTGTTTCGGTCAGTGCTACCCTAATAGGTATAAGGTTTTGATTTGCATTTCCCTGGTGATTAGTAATGTTGAGCATCTTTTTATAAAACTGTTGACTATTTCTATATCTTCTTTGAAGAAATCTCTATTCAAGTTCTTTGGCCATTTTAAAATTAGATTATTTGCTCTTTCTTTGCTTGTTTTTTTTTTTTGTTTGCTTTTTGCTATCGAGTTTAAGGAGTTTTCTAATATATTTTGAATATTAATTCTTTATCAGATATATGACTTGCAGTTCTTTTCATTTCTTTTTACTCTGTTCATTGTTTCTTTTTCTGTGTCACTTTTTAGTTTGATGTGGTCCTGTTTACTTATTTTTGCTTTTGTAGCCTGAGATTTTGGTGTGATATCCAAAAAATCATTGCCAAGTCCAATGTCAAAGAGCTTTTTCCCAGTTGTTATCGTCTAGGAGTTTTATAGTTTTGGGTCTTGCATTTAGGTCTTTTTTTCGCTTTGAGTTCATTTTTGTGCATGTTGTAAGATTAGGGTCCAATTTCATTATTTTGCATGTGGAAATCCAGTTTTCCCAACATAATTTGTTGGCAATATTATTTTTTCCCCATGTGTAACATGGCACCCTTTTTGAGAATAAGTTGACTACATATGCATTGATTTATCTCTGGACTGTCTATTTTATTCCATTAGTCTAAATGTCTGTTTTTATGCCAATACCATACTGTTTTTATTACTGTACCTTTATAATATATTTCAAAATTAGCAAGTGTGAGGCCTCCAGCTTTGTTCTGGCTATCCAGTATCTTTTGTGTTTCCATACAAATTTTATAATTGTTTTTTCTATCTCTATTGTGTGCTGGATATTTTTGTATTCCTACAAATACACTTGAGCTTTTTTTCTGAGACATAGTTCAGGTGCTTAAAAACAGTTTATCCTTATTTGGGTCTTGCTTTTAAGATTTATTAGTCAGTATCAGAATAGCATTTAGTGAAGCAATAATTATTTCCTATTATTGAAATAAGATCCTAATGAATATTCTCCCAATGCCCCTTAAATTATGAGTTTTTTTCTGTCCTGCTGGTGTGAATAAGCATTATTTCCAGTACTGTGTGAGTCTCAGATACCAATAATCATGTAAGAAGGCTCTTTCCAGGGCGCTGGGTAGTTTCCTCACATGTTTATAATCATCAATACTTTTTGAATACTCAAGACAGGTGCTCAGAAGATCTCTCCATTTCTCTCTCTCTCTGTATAGTTCTCTCCTCTCCGGCACTCTACCCACTGACATCTAACCACATTGGTTTTTCTACATTCTTAGCTCTATCTCTTCACCTCAGGGAATCAGACTCTGTGTGAGTCCCCTCTGCTTGTGCTGCACACAGGAAACTCTCTCTCCAGGAATAAGCTGGGGTGACTGTGAGACTTGGACCATCTGTTTCCCATCATTCAGAGATTATTGGCCTTCATTGCCTGAAATTCAATGTCTTGAAAACAGCGGTTGCATATATTTTATCCAATTTTTAATTGTTTTAGGTAGAAGGATAAAGCTGGTCTCCATGACCTCATCTTGGTCAGAAGCAGGCATCTTTTCTGATCAATCTTGATGTACATATCTGCAAGCGTTCTCTTGGCAGGGGAAACTGTTTACTTTCTAGAATATCTACTATTATTTTAAAAATCCTACAACTAGGTGAAATGTAAAGGGATAAAGAATGATAATGCCTATAACAAGGAAAATTGTAAAAATACATTATAAAAGTCTACATAATGAAGACTTAGAACAAAAATTGTGTACAAAGTTAAGTTTTAGGAAGAGTAAGTTATTACAATAATTTCTGATATGCACTGATTTGTAAAATATCAAAGCTCCCTACTGTACATTAAACTATCTATTTTGTATAGGTTTTTATACATTTATTACCACATAAATAATTCTCTCACAGAGACATGAAGTCAATAAAGCAGATTTTAAAAAAATAGAAAACACTATCAGCGCATATTCTTAACCAGAGACTAAAGGCATTTTTCCTTAAATAAAGCATAAAATTGATTTAAGATTAGCGCAAAAGATCTTGTGAAGGGAACTATTTTAGCAGGAGAATACAATAACACAAATGTTGAATGACCCTGGCAAGAGGGAATACCACTAATATTTGAGTGTTCTTGGTTGTAAGCAACAGAAACCTTCTCATGTTACTTAAAAAAAAAGATGGAATTTGTTAAAAAGGTGTTGAGAGGCTCACAGAACTGATGTGAAAGCTGTAGTGCCTATCTAGGAAAGCAGGCTGAAAACAAGGAATTTGGGAGGTTAGAGCTACTGCTAAAACATTCCATAGGTCACAGCTGGAAACACCCCTACTCCCGGTGAAATGAATTCAAACCAGGGCTACTTTTTTATATTACTCAATCAAGTTTCAAAGTCTTGGGCAAGAGCATTAAGTTGGATAAATCTAATTCATGTGCCTGCATTCCTGCTGCTAGGATTGAGAGAAAACATGAAACGCTGCCTCCCTCCCAAACTCTCCCAGTGATAGATTCCCTGACTAAAGAGAATAGGTTCAGGTGCTGCACAGCATAATAAAACAACAAGTTCCTCTATATCTATCATTCTGGAACTTTCATTTTGTTCTGTTTGAAAAAATTGTACAAGACTTGGACAAGAAGCAAAGGGATTAGTGAGAACCCATTCTATGTAGTGCTAGATCTTATCTAGCAGGCTGATTTTTCTAGGGAATTTTACCTTTATTCACCTTGCTACTTGCTATTGATTAGGATATTTTACAACTCTGTAAGGGTAGATACTAATTGTAGAAAACAGAGTGATGCCAATTGCTATGGTTTGAGTGTCCCCATCAAAACTCATGTTGAAATTTAATTGCCATTGTGACAGTATTTAGAAGTGGGAACTTTAAGAAATGATTAGGCCATGAGGGCTCTGCCCTTATGAATGGATTAATGCCATTATCATGGGAGTGGTTTAGTTATCATGGGAGTGGGTTCTTGATAAAAGGATGAGTTCAGCGTCTCCCTTTCCTCCTCTTTCTCTTGCATGCTTCCTCACTATATGATGCCTTCTACCATATTATGATGCAGCGAGAAAGCCCTCACCAGATGCAGCCCCTTGACCTTGCCAAATAAGCTTCTTTTTAAATATGTTACTCAGTCTGTGGTATTCTCTTACAGCAGCAAAAAAAGGACTAAGAAACAAATGATTCTTGTCTTGTAGCAATGCAAAAGAATTGGTTCAGTAATACAAGTAATGTTTATCTAAAAGAAAAGAGAGCCCCAACACTGTAGTTTTACTGTCAAAAAGTTTTACTATTTACTTATAGAACATTAACCAATTTTAAAATCTAAATTATCAATCTTACTCATTGTTTGAGTGAATATAAGCATTTTAGTTTCCCCAGTTCTCTTTGAACTAGCTTTCCCATCTTGCTAGTTCCATCATTAATGTGTTAAGTTTTAGCTATGCATTCACTTTATATGTGTAAGAATCATGTCCTTTTGAAACTTTTTGTAATTTATACTTTGATGATGCTTTCTGCCAATATCAATATACTCAGCTTCAAGAGATACCTTGATGTTTCAAGTTTCTCTAGCTTATTTGTTGACAAAAGGTATAAAGATAAAGAAATTTGTTTTCCTTAGCACAACTAAGACATACTAGAGAATATTTTTAACTCATACAGATATGAGGTAAAAAGAATATCAAATATTCAGAGGCATAATAATACAGTGTTTAAGAGTGCAAACTCCAGAGTCAGAATAGTTGATGTTTATTGGTTTTGTAACTTAAGATTACAAGTTACTCAATCTTTCTTTGCCTCAGTTTCCTCTTCTATAAATTTCTGATAATGTCTATTAAGCTGTTTTGAGGATTAAATGACTTGGTGCCTAGAAAGAACTTAAAGTGGTGCCTGAAACACAGAAAGCAGTATACAATTATAGTTAATATCATTAATGTTTATGCTTCAGGTTTACAAAGCACAGATGTATAATCCTTTAATAGCCAATGGTACCACTTTTCAAACACACAGCTTTTCTGCCATTCCATATTATGGTAGCTTGTATTTTCCAAAGATAGATCCAGTGATATTTCTCATCGCATTTACTGCTTTAGAATGTGAATGTGGTACACCCTTGCCAAGAAGTGTTACCAAGAAGTGTTATCTAATTAACCTACCCATTAAACCTCAGCAGACTTTAGTGACTACTTGACCAATAAAATGTGACACAAGAAACATTCTGAAACTTCCAGGTTAGATCACAAGAAACCTTGCAACTTCATCTGTATCTGTTGAAACACATGCTGTTGGGATGCTCTTTTTTAGAATCCAGCCTCCATTTCCTGAGACGCCCAAGACACAATTTCTAGCCAAGAGCCAACATCAACTGTCAGCCATGTGATTGAGTAATTTTATATGTCCACCCCATCTGAGCCTGAAGTTTCATGACAGATTCCAAGCAACAGCCTCCCAGCTGAACCTAGCAACCCATAGAATCATGAGAGATAATAGTAAATTGTTGTTTTTAAGCTGTCAGGCTTTAAGATGATTTGTTATGTAGCAATAGTCAACTAACACACATACCCTTTTGGTCTCCTTGCTGTAGGTTCTAAAAAAAAAAGAGAGCCACTTTGGTTTATCTATCTGTAAGTTGATCTACCCAAACACTATGCTGCAAGCAAAGGCAAATTAAAATTCTAGCTGTTTCAAACTGCCAAGTCTTCTTGGATGTGATCTGGACAGAATATACATTCACAGCTTAGTTACAGTGATTTTCAGCACAAATATTTGAAAATAATTAGGTCTTTCAAGTGGTTCCCAGCTTAAACTCTTCCCTGTCTTCAGGAATTCTAAATTGCCTTTTTATCAAAGTAACACTGGCTGCTACTAAGCTCCAGGATTTTTAAAACCCTACATGGGTAAAAACAGAATAATATAGCATTTAAATATTGTAAATGGTTTTATGCCACTTTAGGAAAATGTAAATACTGAATTGTATGTGTGTGTAGCAGATGACCTTGGTTTAGAGCAAGAAAAGCCAATGGACCTTCAGTTATGCAAAAGTATAACTATGATTACTTTCTAAAAATATGAAGGTTTGAGGCTGCCACTCCAAACAACTGAGCGTTCTGTACAACAATGTAAAGTTTTGTCTTACAGGAAAGCAGAGGTATAGCTTTGTAGATAATATTATCTTTAAAGTAGTGATTTTCAAACTTGAAACCACTTTTAAAATAAAAATTATTGGAAATCCTCAGCACTGTTTTAAATTATTATAAAATTATTTAAACATGTATAGACACAAAAGAAATATACATTGAGTGCCAACTTAATCTCAGGCACTGATCTAGGCGCTGCTAACAGACTATGTCCCCGAACTCAGGAAGTATATAATCTGGTGGAACTATGATTATAAATGGAGCACACAACTTACTTTCCACACATGGTTTTATTCAAGATAGGAAAATACAGATTTGGGAAAATGCATTAATGCTGTGCTATTGTAATCTGATGTCTTTGAAAGGCTAAAGGGCAAGATGTAGATAGGAGTGGAGATTCTCTTGGAGAGATTAGATGCTCGTGCTGTGAACTGTCCTGAAAAAGGGCTAAGCCAGGGGTCAGAAATGGGGATTCAGAAAGTAGGCCTTACAGGCAAGATAAAGATCCCCTCTCTACAGGTTCCCGTCAGTCAGATCTGGAGTATGAGGCAAAAAGTTGGCCACAAAGCCCATTCTGCATTGAGAACCACAGACACGAGCATTTTAAAAACCAATAAAAATGTTTGAAAATTGAGGAAAAATTATTAGTTCCAAAATTTGAAGACTGGTAAATGAATATTAATAGACGTTTGATTAAATGCCTACAAAATGTAACATTACATCAACAGTATTAATTTTTAAAAATTGTATTCATTCAAATTACATTTAAAAATAATTACTGGGTCAGATTATCTCATTTTACAAGAATTCTCAGATATGCACAATAGCCGAGATATCATTGCCAATCATAAATTAAATGAGTTGCCAGATAATTTCCAAAGGAAACGTAAAAATCCACTCATATAGTCAATATGAAATTAATATGGGCTATAAGTATGTGTCAAAGCATTTGATAGGAAGTGGGGTATGGTCTCTAAAAGTTTGAGAACTTACAGGCAACAAAGATCTTAAATGCTCAGCAAAGGCCTGGTTTCCCAGAGCCCTTTCAGCAATGGTAAGTGCTTCCCTAGCCATGTTGAAGCAGGCCACGTATTAAGTGAGGAGAGGTATCAGTAAGAGGCCACCGGAGCCACTGTAAACCCATAGACTGCCTTTGTGTGATTTAGAAGAAGGTGACCCCCTTTAGGTAAATGAAGCCCCAGCCAGGGTACAGCTCTTGATGAGTTAGTTGGGAGTAGAATGGGTTTCAGCTCCTATTTGCCTATAGCCCAGGAGGCACATAAAGGCTGAAATCCATCCTACTCACTACTCATCAAGAGCTGTACCTCTTTATTCAGAATACAACATGTACAAGCATTCAGGATAGCCATGAATAGTATTCTGTGGAAATGCTTCAGTTTGTGTAGTAACTGTTGATTACCCTGTGGCTCTACTTCCTTCTCATGGTCCTGAAACTTCAGTTAAGTATTCATGGAAAGTTTTGGCCTGGTCACTACTTTGCTGTAGGAAATGGAGGGGAAGGATTTGTTCCACTCTTGGGTCAAAAAGAAGAGGAAGATTCCCTGTCAGAACAGTGGAAATGAAGATAGTTGGGTGCAGTAGAGTGAGAATATGGCTCTCATTGTCAGCCAAGGCAGGCTAGGCCAGAGCCTAAGAGCACAGAAAGCCATTCCTGAGCAAAAGACAGCAAACCCTAGAACCCTTAAAGTAACTGGGGGACATTTGTGAGCACAGTGTATGACAGTCAGGTGCCTGAGGCTTGAGCACTATACATTGGGTACTTAAAATGAAATTCAAATTTATTTTATAGTCATAGGCTAGTGCCAAGTCAAAATACTAAGCTATAGCTTCTCTCCTTCACAGAAGCTCTAGTCTAACAAGAAATTCAAGCAGAATTAAAAGTGTTCAATAAAACATAAAAATAAAAACAAATATTGCCTTCTCCACTTAAGCTTTAATATATCAATAATTACCTTAAATGTAAATAGCCCAAATATACAAATCAAAAGACAGAGAGTGATAGATTATATAATAAAACACAGCCCATCTATATGCTGTTTACAAGAAATTCACTTCGAATTCTACAAAAAGGAGTGTATACACTAATATCTAATAAAGTGAATGAGAAAAAGAGGCACATTACTTAATAATAGAAGGATCAATCCATCAGGAAGACATATGATTCTAAATATGTGCTCACCAAACAACAGAGCCTCAATATATATAAAACAAACAGATGGACCTGAAAGAAGAAACTGAAAAATCCACAGTTAGAGTTGGGGATTTTGACACTCACCTCTCACTAACTGATAGAAGTACTAGACAGAAAATCAGCAAGGACATAGAGGATCTGAACAATACAATCAACAAATATGATCTAATTGGCATGTATAGAACTGTACAGTCAATAACAGCAGATTTCAGTTCTTTAAATTTGTTACATGGTCCTATATTCTGGCCATAAAACAAACCTAACAAATTTAAAGAATTAAAATCATACAATTTTTTCTGATCAAACTAGAAATGAGTAACAGAAAGAAAATGACATAATCTCTAAATATGTGGACATTAAACAACATACTTTTACATTATGGATCAGAGACAGTCTCGAAGAAACTTTTAAAGTACTTAGAACTGAAATGAAAATACAACATATCAATATATGTAGGATACAGTTAAAGCAGTGTCAAGAGATAAATTTATTGTACTAAAATGCTTATATTAGGAATGCAGAAAGGTCTCACATCAACCAAGAAACTAGAAAAGGAATAGCAAAATAAATCCAAGCAAATATAAAGATGGAAATAAAGATAATAGAATAAATAAAATTGAAAATAGGTAAATAATAAGAATCAATTGAAACAATCTTGATCATTGAAAAAAATCAAGAAAGTTAATAAAACTCTAGCAATACTGGCAAAAACAGAGAAAAGATACAAATCACCAAGATCAAGTATGGAACAAAGGATATACTAAAAATCCTTCAGCCATTAAAAGAATAGTAAGGGAATCCTACCAAAAACTATATACACATACGTTCAACAACTTAGAAGAAATGGACCAGTCTCTCAAAAACTTTTACAACTCTATCAAGGTGAACTAGATAACACAAATAGTCCTATTACCATTACAGAAACTGAATTCATTATTTAAAAGTTCTTGGAAAAGAAAGTTTTAGGTTGATGTTCACTGGAGAATTCTAGATGTTTTAAACACCAATTTTCCATAATCTCTTCCAAAAAAATAGAAGAGGAGGAAATATTTTCTAACTCACTTTGTGAGGCCAGTGTTATCATGACACCAACACGAGATAAGACAATATACAAAAGATGAAATATGAATTTTTCCAGATTTCCCATTGGGTTTACCTACATCAAAATGCTTTTTTCAGTTTATCCAATAAATATGGGGATGTATTTTTAAAAACGTATTTGCCTTCCTAACTTAGACTCCTGGTTCCACTTTTCAGAGGAAACTATTTCTAAGAGAATGCAATGAGCATTCCCTTTTTAGTCAAAGAGGTAAGAAAAGAGATGTCTTTCCAAAATGCAACCCTGTTCTCCAAAAGTGTCCTGTGAATAACAAGGCCCACAGAAGAGTAAGCAGCAAAATATACTGGGGGTGAGGCTTCAAAAGTTAATCTCTTATCTTTGATCAGAAGTCCTCGTGGATTCACTAACCAAGCCTCCATGAACCGCTCCTACAAATCCAAATTCTCGAAATAATTCTTCCTAAAGAAAACCCTTTGCATTAATAGCAGATCACAATTTCTCTTTATTTGCTTGCATTTGGGGTTAACATAAATTATATATGGAATGACAGAGGAAAAGAAAACTTAAATATCCCAGCCATGGGGATACTATTAAAAGAGTCAACCTTGGGTTCTTGGTTTTTTTTTTTTCTTCTTTCTGAGACGAAGTCTTGCTCGGTCGCCCAGGCTAGAGCGCAGTAGCGCAATCTCGGCTCACTACAATCTCTGCCTCCCAGGTTCAAGCAATCCTCCTGCCTCAGCCTCCTGAGTAGCTGAGACTCCAGGTGTGTGCCACCACGCCAGGCTAATTTTTGTATTTTTAGTAGCGATAGGGTTTCACCATGTTGGCCAGGCTGGTCTCAAACTCCCAACCTCAACTGATTTGCCTGCCTTCACCTTGGTTCCCATTTTTTAGTTGCTCTAAAGAGTACTGTTTGTAAGGAATTTCCAGAAAACATCACCCTTAACTTCTGAGAGCAAGGCAGCTAAACTATCCCAGGAATATTAGCATGAGCCCAAATACTTAAGAGCAACCCTACTAAGAACAATGCACAGCTTTTCCTAATAAGCCATTTTACTGCTCTGCATCACTACCCTGTTAATAGCCTCCAGCACCCGTGCTGGGCTTCCATTAGCAAGAACAGCCATGGGCTCAACTCACCCATGGGTCTGAGCACCCTCCTTTTCAAAATAATTGCTTTGAGCTCAGCCTCAAGACCTAACGTGCATGTTTTCCTTGCAACTGCCTCTATGCAAAACCAGGTGAATTTATTCTCTGAAAAAAAGACATGCCAGAATGTTAAACATTCTTCCAAAGAAATACAAAATTGGGGTGTGAATCTGTGCAGGTGCAATCAGCCAAAACCTCATAAAATAATGCCATAATTTCAGTGTCACAAATCCATCATCTTAACTATTTATTTTAACATTTAATGAATGGAAACCTGCCTTTCTCATTTTAGAAGATGAATTCATAAATTCTAGTAAAAATTATCATCTCTGAAGAGAGGCTGCACAGGCCCACAAAGACAGGCATTCAACCAGAAAAACTTAGTCAGTGCTAGAAGAGCCACATCATCCCCTGCTACAGGGCCCCTATGGAAAGTATGGAAAAGTGGACAAAGGATACTTTATACAATGTTTCTTGGGTGCTTAGGGATTCTGTAACAGACATGTACTTCAGCTTTTGAAAGAAATGAAAATGAATTTTCTGCTTGTTTCTTTATAAGACCTGATATAAGGGTTTTAAATGGATTTTGATCACAATTTTTCACAGCCTGAGGGTGAGCATTTTTTGAAAAAGAGTGGTCATATTTTCAATATTTTACATATGCTTTGCATTAATCATTTAAAACACCATCTGCCTTCTTTGCCAAGGGCCCCAGTTCTGAATTTAGAAAAGAAAGTACAACCAAAACCCCACAGAAACAAAATTTAAACTCTGTTAAGAACACTAACCCAGAGATTCATTCTGTGTACAGTAGAGCAGGGTTCCAGGTGACTCCTCTGGATCAGTGAGATGGAAGCTGGCTCTCCACTAAGGGAAGAGCCCATTAAAATGCTGTTCACCATGGGCATGGAAGTGCACTCAGAGGGCCATTCCAACAGAGAAGCACCGAGGTCACGGGGCTCTTCCTGTCCGACAAGTGATGGCAGTGCCAGGTTGAGGGTTACTAAATGACAGGATATCTGTCTATGGTCTATTTCTGTGTAATTGGTAGTATGCCAGCTTGCAGCATTTGAGGTTGTTTCGTATGTATGTTGTAGGGGTCGGGGAGTTGTTGGGCATAGTTTGTTTTGCTTTCACAGTTCAAAGGTCAGAAATACTGTATTTTCAGCTTAGTCCTCATCACTGAGATAAGGGCTATACTATCTCAATGAACAAGTCTCCCAGAAAAAGCAAGCATAAAATCAAGCATTGTGAGGAGTGGAAAAAAAGACAAGGGCAGGGCTTAAACTCTTGGACTATTTTTCACCTTCACAGCCTCTCTCTTCCTTGGGAGCTCTCCAAGGACCCTGAACTGTGAAGGAGGGTTTTTCCAGTGCAGGGGTGGGCAACTGGGATTTGCATATTTGTGATTTGCAAGGATTTTCAAGTCAAATTTCATATGTGCCTTTCTCTGTGGCCAGGAAAAGAATACAAGTCTTGGTATTTTTCTAATCCAGTCAATGCTTGGAACTTTCAGGACAATTTATTATCGTGTAAGTTACAGTATAGGATAGTACAATCTTGGCTTTGCATTTAAAACCATGGGAAGGATTTATACCCAAAACCCTATTTGGTCCTGCATACTCAGGGGATAAGATTTCTTCACTTCAAATGTCTTAATATGAAAAACTGAGGCACTAGTATTTCACATGTCAAAACTTCACTGGCCAATTGTAAATTTCAAATCAAGCCTTCCCCCATGGAATTCTCACAGGAACTCTGTCTCATAACCAATTTCTGTATCATTTCAGGGCCTGACTGCTTTTTTAGCATAGATGAATTCTTTTGGAGAGTATAATTTCACCTCATATTCTTCTAAGGACTCTTCTACACCTCTAGTCCCTCCAAGTCCATTAAGTGAGATCATTTTCCTCACTCTGCACTTATTAATTGTACACTTACCTGACTGAAAATCTCACCTCACCCACTTCACCTCCATTTGTGTTCCTACATCATAGTTCCGTTTAATATGTCTAAAAACTCATTTCTCATGTGCAGTCTCAAATTTCTCTGCCTTCCATCCATAAGTGGGGCTGAAAATATGCTCCACAGGTTACAAATGACTTTGGACCAAAGGTGCTGTGAAGCTGTAATCAAATTGCATAAATACTACAGTACCATGAATAAAGAAACTAGCAGGCGATATTTTCTGTCAACATAAAAAAGAAGGTTAAAACTTGGCTCTATACACATAGAATCTGCTACAAATTGTTTTCCTGAAGTTATAGGTTGTCACTTCACAAATTTTTTCAACTTTTAATTAATTAATTTATTTACTTATTTATTTATTTGAGACAGTGTCTCGCTCTATTGCCCAGGCTGGAGTGCAGTGGTGTGATCACAGCTCACTGCAATCTCTGCCTTCTGGGCTTGAGTGATCCTCCCATCTTAGCCTCCTGAGTAGTTGGGACTACAGGCATTTGCCACCACACTAACTTAAACAAAATATTTTTTGGAGAAACAGGATCTTTCTGTGTTGTCCAGGCTGGTTTTGAACGCCTGCGCTCAAGCACTCTTTCTGCTTTGGCCTCCCAAAGTGCTGGGATTGCAGGTATAAGCCACTGTGCCTGGTCTGAATACTTTTTTTTTTAAAGCATAGCTATCTTTTGTAGATAAGGGTATCTGTGCTTCACCATATGTTCTCATAGGTAATTTCACTTTGCATAGTATGTGTTATCTTTGACATTATAATCCCCTTTCAAATCCTTACTTATCCCTGTGTCTTCATGCACAACTACACATCGAAATAGGAAAACATATCTGTGAAGCAACATCAAAAAAATGCACTTGAGGCTTAATATAATATGCTGTGCTATACATGCTTTTAGCCACTTTTTCACTGTCAGAAAGCAAAATGCCATGACTTAGCCGAAGAGGAGAAATTTTGCTCAAATTTTCTCCTCTGGATTATGGAAGAAAATATAATGACAAATGTCAAACTCAGGGAATAATTCCTGGAATAAAATTCATATAGTGAAACCAGACAATTAACTGCTTTCCTGAAGCCAATTATGTATGCTAAATAGCCTTCACTGTTTTTTTTGTTTGTTCTTTTAGTTTTTATTTTTTTTGATTAGGGGGTACATGTGCTTGTTTGTTATATGGGTATATTGCATACTGGTGGGGATTGGGCTTCTAGTGTATTTACTACCCAAATAGTGAACATTGTACCTAATAGGTAATTTTTCAACCTTCACCCCACTCTCACTTTTCTCCTTTTGGAGTCCCCAGTGTCTATTATTTCCATCTTTATATGTACCCATTGTTTAGTTTCCACTTATAAGTGAGGACATGTAGTATTTGATTTCGGGCTTTTGAGTTAGTTCACTTAGAACAATAGCCTCTAGTTCCATCCATGATGCTGCAAAGGATGATATTTCATGGCTGCATAGTATTCCATGGTTTATATATCACATTTATTTATTTATTCAACTGCTGATGGACACTTAGGTTGCTTCCATGACTTTCATATTGTGAATAGTGCTGCTGTGAATGTATGAGTACCGGTGTCTTTTTGATATAATGATTTCTTTTCCCTTAGGTAGATAACCAATAGTGGGATTGCCAGATCAAATGGTAGTTCTATTTTTAGTTCTTTGAGAAATCTCCGTACTGTTTTCCATAGAGGTTGAACAAATTTACATTCCACCAACAACATATAAGCATTCCCTTTTCTCCATATCCATGCCAACATCTGTTGTTTTTTTTGACATTTTAATAGTAACCATTATGACTGAGGTAAGGTATCTCATAATTTCTCTGATGATCGGTGATGTTGAGCATTTTTTCATGGGTTTGTTGGCTGCTTGTATTTCTTCTTTTGAGAAATGTCATTCATGTCTTTTGCCCAGCTTTTAATGGGGTTATTTGTTTTTATTCTTGCTGAGTTGAGTTCCTTGTTGATTCTGGACATTAGTCCTTTGTCAAAGGCATAATTTGCAAATGCACTGACTAGTTTTTGTTGAGGTATGTGCTATGCAGATGTACTGTACACATATACATAACTCACCAACTCTACAAGGAAGTTATTACTGAACCCATCTTATGAATGAGGCAAATAGCATCATCTATTCCATTGAGATCTTACAGTTAATATGGGACAAAGCCAGTAAACAGTTAAGTGTTACATTTAGTACGGAATAAAGCCAAAATTCACACCTAGGTCTGTCACCAAGGTCTGTGCCATTTCTCTCTGCCACTGTGAAGAGATATATTTTATTGGGAAAATTAGCCTACTATATTTGGCTACAACTTTTCCAGTGTAGATCCTGGTCACTCAACTTTAAAAAACAACAGGCTGCATAAAAATAGATTTTTTAAAAGCAGAAAATAGACAAAAAAAAAAGGCTCTAGAAAAACAATTGTTTAACATGACCTGAAACATGAAAATAATTAACAGTTCATCAGTTGTTTATGGCAATTGCCCAGGTACTTCAGGTTACTGTGAAAGTACAGTCACTTCCATGTCATCCCCAGATCTCTAATAGAATCCCTCAGAAGTTCGTACTAACTCTAGGCCCTGAGAAATTGGTATGCACTAGTCACAGGAGCCCATGTATTAAATTCGTGCCACAAGAAAAATATCTCCCAGACCTTGCCTTCCTTTAGGAATACAAGGAGAAAATTATAAAATGTTTAGTGGAGTTCAGAAAACAAAGCAATCCAAATAAGACCAGTATACCTTGACAATCTTTGATACACCATCCATGTATTAAAAAGTAGTGCAAGTGGAAGACTTCTCCAGGGTTGCCTATGAGATGCAGCCAGGAGGAACATCTCCAAACGAGGGAAGGGGACATAGGGATGACTGGCAGGCTACTAGCAGATCTTTAGAGGGAAGGCACTGAGAGTGAACAGAGAGGGAAGACACAGATGCTGGGCTGAAAGGGGAGGAAGCTGGAAACCCTGCATGGGGCTACCACACCCCAGGACTTGTTCCTGGCCCCCACTGACTCCTGTGGGAGGAGTGAGTTGAACAGGCAAGGAGAAACCCACTCTCACCCTGAGCCTCTGAATGCCCATGCAGGAGACCTCTTGACCACCATGGACACTTGTGTTGGCATGGAGAGCTTCTTAGAGAAGTGGTAGGGGCAGAACTCCAACTGGTGCAGAGTCCAGAGGGCTTAGTGTGAGAGCATCTGTAGTGCAGCACAACCAGGGATGCCCATCCCCCTAGGCTCGACTTGCTCCTATGGGAGACTTTAGCCCTAGGGGAACTGTCTGACCTGAACCCTGCGAGGTAGTCTTGCCCATGAGACCGGGCAGTCCAATCTGAGAACCCCATAGTCTGCTGGCCTTTCTCAGGGCCTCCAGCCTGGCCACACCTGCTTGCAGTACAGCCCCTGGGGGCCTGCATCATAGCTTCTGTGCTGGTGGACTGCACCTGACCGGAGCTCCAGCAGAATGCCCCTGCAAACACTCACCAGCCCACCTGCTCCCTCCTCCATTGCAGCCTCCCCTGTGCCACTTTGCCTGCAAGCACTTGCCCAGAGCCACATCCTGCATTGCTTTGAAGGCATGTGTGTGTGCCAGCAGATCTTGCCTTCCCTTCCTGCCAGCACGTTTGTGCATGTGCACCACGACAAGCCACTGCTGCCAGCATAAGTGCACTCTGCTCTTCTACCCCCCACCACACCACCATTGTCATTGGAACCTTATCAGACATGGAGCCTGCCAGCACCGCCCCCACCAGCACTCCACCATAGTGGCCACACTGCCACTAGTGCAAAACAAGGCATGGAGAACAGTGGACCCAACGACCTCCTGAGTGAATGCACACAGAGTGTGCAAACAGTCCTGTGCCCACCAGCACCCCACCCCTGTGCTAACACCATCACCAGTGCACATGTGCACACAGTAGCAGGCGGGGATGCCAAAACCCAAGCCATGCTACCACCACCACTGCTGGGAACACCTGCATGGAGGCCAGAACCCCAGCACCCACTAGCACCCTGCTGCAGCCGATAAGTGTGCACCTCACCACACTGCTGCTGCCACTGCTGCTGGCACCTGTAAACAAGGACAAATCCTACTGCTACTGCCCTATGAAGTGTTTTGGCTGGCACCAGCCATTGGAGTCTTGGAACCAGTGGTCCAGGAGCAAGCACCTCAGCCCCTCCGGTACAGCAGGTTCCTAACCTGGAGGAGCCAGATAACAAAGCTGAGGTCAATATCAGTCCCTCAGAATTACAATATGCAGTCTAGGAGTTCTGAGCTGAGCCTTGGCTCTTTAAGGTTTTCCAGAAATGAAGCCAGTCAACTGAACCCATCTTATACCACAATCAAACCCTCAAGGTCATCAATGGGATAACAGAAATAAAATCCATCCAAAGGAAAGCAACTTCAGAGATTGAAGGAACATCTGCTCACAAAGATGAGAAAGAACCAGCACAAAAACTCTGACAACTCAAAAAGCCAGAGTGTCTTCTTTTCTCCAAATGATTGCACTCGTTCTTCAGCAAGGGTTCTTAACTGGGTTGAGATGGCTGAAATGACAGGAATATAATTCAGAATATGTATAGAAATGAAGATCATTGAGATTCAGGAGAACACTGAAACCCAATCTAAGGAAGCTAAGAATCACAATAAAATGATACAGAATCTTACAGACAAAATAGCCAGTGTAGAAAAGAATGTAACTGACCTGACAGAGCTGAAAAACATGCTACAAGAATTTCATAATGCAACTGCAAGTATTAACAGCAGAATAAACCAAACAGAGGAAAGAATCTCAGAGCTCGAAGACTGGTTTTCTGAAATAAGACAGAAGAGAATAAAAGAAAGAAAAGAAAAGGAATGAACAAAACCTCCAAGAAATATGGGATTATGTTAGGAGACCAAATCTATGACTCACTGGTGTTCCTGAAAGAGATGGGGTGAATGGAAGCAACTTGGAAAATTTATTTCAAGATATCATCCATGAAAACTTCTCCAACCTAGCTAGAGAGGACAACATTCCAATTCAGGAAATGCAACAAACCCCTGCAAAATACTTTACAAGAAGATCATCCCCAAGACATACAATTATCAGATTTTCTGAGATCAAAATGAAAGAAAAAAACATTAAAGCCTGGGCATGGTGGCTCACACCTGTAATCCCAGCACTTTGGGAGGCCACGGGCGGATCACGAGGTCAGGAGATCAAGACCATCCTGGTTAACATGGTGAAACCCCTTCTCTACTAAAAATACAAAAAATTTGCCAGGAGTGGTGGCACGCGCCTGCAATCCCAGCTAATTGGGAGGCTGAGGTCAGAGAATCGCTTGAACCCAGGAGGCAGAGGTTGCAGTCAGCCAAGATCATGCCACTGCACTCCAGCTTGGGCAGCAGAGCAAGACTCCATCTCAAAAAAAAAAAAAAAAAAAAAAAATTAAAGGCAGCTAGAAAAGTCAGATTCCCTAGAAAGGGACACCCATAAGACTAACAGTGGATTTCTCAGCAGAAACTCTATAAGCCAGAAGAGAGTGAGGGCCTATATTCAAGATTCTTAAAGAAAATAAATTCCAACCAAGGATTTCATATCTGGCCAAATTAAGCTTTGGAAACACAGGAGAAATAAGATCCTTTTCAGACAAGCAAATGCCGAGGGTCTCGTAAGAGCTGCCTTACAAGAGCTCCTGAAAGAAGCACTAAATGTG
This sequence comes from Homo sapiens, assembly GCF_000001405.40. Classification (NCBI taxonomy): domain Eukaryota; kingdom Metazoa; phylum Chordata; class Mammalia; order Primates; family Hominidae; genus Homo; species Homo sapiens. The sequence goes on from NC_000014.9 coordinate 57,776,958, forward strand.
GAAAGGAAAGATGGTTATCAGCCACTAAAAAACACACTTAAGTACACAGATCAGTGACACGATAAAGCAACCACACAAACAAGTCAGCATAATAACTAACTAACAACACGATGACAGGATTAAGTCCACACATATCAATACTACCCTTGAATGTAAATGGGCAAAATGCTCCGAGTAAAGAAAGGATGTGGAGAAATAGGAACACTTTTACACTGTTGGTGCGAGTGTAAACTAGTTCAACCATTGTGGAAGACAGTGTGGTGATTCCTCAAGAATCTAGAACTAGAAATACCATTTGACCCAGCCATCCCATTACTGGGTATATACCCAAAGGATTATAAAACATGCTACTATAAAGACACATGCACATGTATGTTTATTGTAGCACTATTCACAATAGCAAAGACTTGGAACCAACCCAAATGTCCATCAATGATAGACTGGATTAAGAAAATGTGGCACATATACACCATGGAATACTATGCAGTCATAAAAAAGGATGAGTTCATGTCTTTTGCGTGGACATGGATGAAGCTGGGAACCATCATTCTAAGCAAACTATCACAGGGACAGAAAACCAAACACTGCATGTTCTCACTCATAGGTGGGAGCTGAAAAATGAGAACACATGGACACAGGGCAGGGAACATCACAAACAGAGAGGCCTGTCGCGGGGGTGAGGGGCTGGGGGAGGGATAGCATTAGGAGAAATACCTAATGTAAATGACGAGTTGATGAGTGCAGCAAACCAACATGGCACATGTATACCTATGTAACAAATCTGCATGTTGTACACATGTACCCTGGAACTTAAAGCATAATAATAATAATAATAAAAGGCAAACAGTGGCAAGCCGGATAAAGAAAGGCAAGACCCAATGGTATGCCATCTTCCAGAGACCCATCTCACATGGAATGACACCCATAAACTCAAAAAAGAGATGGAGAAAAATCTACAAAGCAAATGGGGAACAGAAAAAAGTAAGGTTGGTGACATGGTTTGGCTGTGTCCCCACCCAAATCTCATCTTGAATTGTAACTCCCACAATTCCCACATGTCATGGGAAGAACCTGGTGGGAGGTGATTGAACTATGGGGACAGGTCTTTCCTATGCTGTTCTCATGTTAGTAAATGAGTCTAACAAGATCTGATGGTTTTTAAAAAAAGGAAATTTCTCTGCATAAGCTCTCTCTCTTTGCCTGCTGTCATCCATGTAACATGACTTGCTCCTCCTTGCCTTCTGCCATGATTGTGGCTATGCCAGCCACATGGAACTATAAGCCCAACTAAACCTCTTTCTTTTGTAAATTGCCCAGTCTTGGGTATGTCTTTATCAGCAGCATGAGAATGGACTAATACAGTTGGAATCCTAATTTCAGACAAAACAGACTTTAAACCAACAAAGATCAAAAAAGACAAGGAAGGACATTAACTACATAAAGATAAGGGTTCAATTCAACAAGAAGAGCTAACTATCCTAAATATATATGCGCCCAACACAGGAGCACCGAGATTCATAAAACAAGTTCTTAGAGACCTTCAAAGAGAGTTAGACTCCCACATTAAAACACTGGAAGACTTCAATACCCACTGACAATATTAGATCATTGAGGCAGAAAATCAACAAAATATTAATACCTGAACTCGACACTGGACCAAATGGACCTAATAGACATCTACAGAACGATACACCCCAAACCAATGGAATATATGTTCTTATTGCCATATGGTACATACTCTAAAATCAACTACACAATCAGATATAAAACAATGCTCAGCAAATTAAAAAAAAAACAAAATTATACCAAGCTCACTCTCAGACCACAGCGCAATAAAAATAGAAATCAAAACTAAGAAAATCACTTGTAACCATACAATTACATGGAAATTAAATAAACTGCTCCTGAATGACTTTTGGGTAAGTAATGAAATTAAGGCAGAAATCAAAAAGTTCTTTGAAACCAATGAGAATAATGATACAAAATACCACAATCTCTTGGACACTGATAAAGCAGTGTTAAGAGGGAAATTTATAGCACTAAATGTCTACATCAAAAAGTTAAAAAGATATCAAGTTAACAACCTAACATCACAACTAAAAGAACTAGAGAAGCAAGAAGCAACTAATCCCAAAGCTAGCAGAAGACAAAAAAAAATAATAATAATAATAACCAAAATCAGAGCTGAAGTGAAGGAGATTGGGACACAAAAACCATTCAATAGATCAGTGAATCCAGGAGTTGGTTTTTTGAAAAAATTCATAAACTAGACAGACTGCTAGCTAGACAAAGAAGAAAAGATCAGAAGGTCCAAATAAACATAATTAGAAACGATAAAGGAGATATTACCACTGACCTCACAGAATACAAATAACTATCAGAGACTACTATGAACATCTCCTTGCAAACAAACTAGAAAATCAAGAAGAAATGGATATATTCCTGGGTACATACGCCCTCCCAAGACTGAACCAGGAAGAAATTGAATCCCTGAAAAGACCAATAACAAGCTCTGAAATTAAATCAGTAATAAATGTACCAGATGTACAAAGAAGAGCTGATACCATTCCTACTGAAACTGTTCCAAAAACCTGAAGAGGAAGGACTTCTCCCCATCTCATTCTATGAGGCCAGAATCATCCTGATACCAAAATCTGGCAGAGATACAACAAAAAAATGAACTTCAGGCCAATATCCTTAATGAACATTGATGCAAAAACCTTCAACAAAATACTGGCAAAGCAAATCCAGCAGCACATGAAAAAGCTAATCCACCATGATCAAGTAGGCTTTATCCCTGGGATGCAAGGTTGGTTCAACACCAATAAAATCGATAAATGTGCTTCATTGCATAAACAGAACTAAAGACAAAAACCACAAGATTATCTCAATAGATGCAGAAAAAGCTTTCAATAAAACTCAACACCCCTTCGTATTAAAAACTCTCGACAAACTAGGTATTGATGGAATATACCTCAAAATAATAACAGCCATTTATGACAAACCCACAGTCAACATCATTCTGAATGGGAAAAAGCTAGAAGCATTCCCCTTGAAAACCAATATAAGACAAGGATGCCCTCTCTCACTACTCCTATTCAACAAAGTATTGGAAGTCTTAGCCAGAGCAATCAGGCAAAAGAAAGAAATAAATGACATCCAAATAGAAAGAGAATAAGTCAAACTATCCCTGTTTGCAGATGACATGATTCTATATCTAGAAAACCCCATAGTCTTGGCCCAAAAGCTCCTTCAGCTGATAAATAACTTCAGCAAAGTTTCAGGATACAAAATCAATGTACAAAAATCATTAGCATTCCTATACACCAACAACAGCCAAGCCAAGGGCCAAATCAACAATGCAATCCCATTCACAATTGCCACAAAAAGAATCAAATACCTAGGATTACAGCTAACCAAGGAGAGAAAAATATCTCTACAATAAGAATTACAAAACACTACTCAAAAAAAAATCGGAGATGACACAAACAAATGGAAAAACATTTCATGCTCACAGATAGAAAGAATCAATATTGTTAAAATGGCCATGCTCCCTGAAGAAATTTACAGATTCAGTGTTGTTCCTATCAAACTACCAGTGACATTCTTCACAGAACTAGAAAGAACTGTTTTAAAATTTCTATGGAACTAGAAAAGAACTCAAATAGCCAAGGCAAAAGAACAAAAAGAACAAAACAAGAGCCATCACACTACTTGACTTGAAACTATGTTACAGGATTACAGTAACTAAAACAGCATGGTACTGGTATAAAAACAGACACATATAAAACATAAGACACATATAAAAACATAGACCAAGGGAACAGAATAGAGAGTCCAGAAATAATGCTGCACCCCCACAACCATCTGATCTTTGTCAAAGCTGAAAAAAACAAGCAAGGCCATATGCAGAACATTGAAACTGGACCACTTCCTTATGCCATATACAAAAGCCAACTCAAGATGAATTAAAAACTTAAATGTAAAACCCAAAACTATAAAAACCCTGGAAGAAAATCTAGGCAATATTATTCCGGACATAGGAATTGGCAAAGATTTCATGAGGAAGACACCAAAAGCAATTACAACAAAAGCAAAAATTGACAAGTGGAATCTAATTAAACTAAAGAGCTTCTGCACAGCAAAACAAACTATCAACAGAGTAAACAGACAACCTACAGAATGGGAGAAATATTTGCAAGCAATGCATCTGACAAAGGTCTAATATCCAGCATCTATTAGGAACTTAAACAAATTTACAAGGAAAAAAACCCACTATATTAAAAAGTGGGCAAAAAAACATGAATGGACACTTCTCAAAGAAGACATACATGTGCCCAACAAGCATATTTTTAAAAGCTCAATATCACAGATCATTAGAGAAATGCAAATCAAAACCATAATAGGTACCATCTCACACCACTAAAAATGGCTATTATTAAAAAATCAAGAAATAACAGATACTGGTGAGGTTGCAGAGAAGGGGAATGTTTATACACTGTTGGTAGGAGTGTAAATTAGTTCAACCATTGTAGAAAGCAGTGTGATGATTCCTCAAAGAGCTAAAAGTGGAGCTCATATTTGACCCAGCAACTCATGACTGGGTTATACCCAAAGGAATATAAATCATTCTACCATAAAGACACATGAATGCATATGTTCATTGTAGTATTATTCACAATAGCAAAGACATGAAATCAACCTAAATGCTCATCAATGGCAGACTGAATAAAGAAAATGTGGTAGATATACATCATGGAATACTATGCAGCCATAAAAAAGAACAAGATCATGTCCTTTGCAGGAAAATGAATGGAGCTGGAGGCCATCATCCTTAGCAAACTGATGCAGGAACAGAAAACCAAATAGCTCATATTCTCACTTACAAGTGGGAGTTAAATGATGAGAACACATGGACACAAAGAGAGGAACAACAGACACTAGAGTCTACCTGAGGGTCCAGGTTGGGAGGAGGGAGAAGAGCAGAAAAAATAACTATTGGTTACTAGGTTTAATACCTGGGTGATAAAGTAATCTGTATATCAAACCCCCATGACACAAGTTTACCTATATAACAAACCTGCACATGTACCCCTGAACCTAAAAGTTTTTTAAAAAGAAAGTAGTACAAGTAAAAAAATGTTTATCACAATTACCTTTTAGTTATCAAGGACAGTTTAACATATTCATCACTAACAGAGTAATCTGTAAGACATATTTTAGAAATGTTATCAGAATTAATTTATATGAGTCAGTTACATTTACCCAAATGAGTGCAAGTACAGTTGGCCCTTGAGCAATAATGAGTTTGAACTTCACACATCCCCTTATACATGGATTTTTTTTCAATATACTGGGAAATTTTTGAACATTTGCAACAATTTGAAAAACTCCCAGAAAAACTGAGTAGCCTAGAAATATCAAAAAAAAAAGAAAAAGGCATGTCATGAATGTATAAAATATATGTAGATACTAGTCTATTTGGACATTTAACACCATAAAACGTACACAAATATGCTATGCAAAGTTAAAATTTATTAAAATCTATGGGTAAACAGAGACCATACATGGTGGTGTTTGCAGTTAAGAGCATGTAAATAAAGACAGAGCATTAAATTGTAACTGCATAAAACTAACTTTAGTACATACTGTACTACAGTAATGATTTTGTAGCCACCTCTGGCTGCTGTTGCTGTGAGCTCAAGTGTTGTCAGCATCTGCTTAAAACACCCTGCGTAAGCAGTTTGTCCTCCAGTAAATTGTGTATGACAGTAAAAAACTGATCTCTCCCAGTTCACACACATTTTGCAATGTGTTTAGTGCAATACCATAAACTTTGAATAACACCATTAGAACCATATAAAGTGCCACTAGTGATGCTGGAAGTGCTCCCAAGAAGCAGAGAAAAGTCATGACATTACAAAAATAAAGTTGAATTGCTTGAAATGTGGCATAAATTGAAGTCTGCAGCTGTGGTTGCCGGCTATCTCAAGATAAATGAATCCTGAATAAGGACAATTGTAAAAAAGGAAGGAAGGAAGGGAGCTGGGAGGGAGGGGAAATGTGTGAAGCTGTTGCTGCAGCTATACCAGCAGCCATGAAAACCTTGCATTTTTTGCAAGTTACCTTTTAAAATCATATTAAAAATGCTGCTTTTATGTGGGTGGAGGATTGCTATCCAAAAAGTATACCTGTAGACTCTAATATGATGTGAGAAAAAGTGGTCATTATATGACAACTTAAAGCAAAAGGAAGATGAAGTATCTAAAGCTGGAGGATTTAATGTCAGCAAAGGATGGTTTAACAATTTTTTAAAATATCAAGCAGCTTCTGTCCACCAAGAGGCAGCAGAGAGTTCCCAGATGCCACTAAGAAAATTATTGAAGAAAAAGGATAACTGTCTGAACACGTTTATAATGCAGACAACAGTCTCCTATTCTGGAAAAAAAAATGCCACAAAGGACATTTATTAGTAAGAAAGAGAAGCGAGCACCAGGATTTAAGGCAGGAAGGAATGGGCTAACTCTACTGTTTTGTGCAAATGTAGTTGGGTTTATCATCAGGACACCCCTTATCAATAAAGTTGCTAACTCCAGAAGTTTGAAGGGAAAATACAAACACCCAGCAGCCAATCTTTTGATTGTGCAACAAGGCCTGGACAATAAGAACCATTTTTCTGGGTTGCTCCATTGATGCTTTGTCTCTGAAGTCAGGAAGCACCTTGCCAGCATGGGATGACCCTTTAAAGTCCTTTTGACATAAGACAATGGCCCAGCCACCCAGAATCTCATGAGTTCAAAAATCAAAGATTGTTGTCTATTTGCCCCTAAACACAACATCTCTAATTCAGCCTTTAGATCAGTGGGTCATAAGAATCTTTAAGGCTCATTACACAAGATATTCTATGAAAGATTGTCAACACTATGGAAGAGAACCCTGACAGAGAGAAGATAATAAAAATCTAGGATTACATTATAGAAGATGCTGTCGTTGATATAGAAAAAGTTGTGAAGGCCATCAAGCTCAAAACAATAAATTCCTGCTGAAAAAACTGTCTGATGTTTTGTATGACTTCACAGGATTTATGACAGAGCTAATCAAGGAAATAATGAAAAAGATATGGAAATGGCAAAAAAGTGATTAGTGAAGGGTTTCAAGATGTGTGTATTGGAGAAACTGAAGAGCTAATAGGTATCACACCAGAGGAATTAACTGAAGATGACATGATGGAGATGAGTGCTTCCAAACCAGTGCTAGAGAATGAGAAAGACATAGAAGAAGCAGTGCCAGAAAAAAAATGATTTTAGACAATCTGGCTAAAGGGTCCCAATTATTCAAGACTGCTTTTAACTTCTTTTACAACATAGACCTTTTGTGTGGTACAGGCACTGAAACTAAATTAGATGGTAGAAGAAGGATTAGTACCATATAGAAACATTTTTAGGGCTGGGTGTACTGGCTCATGCCTGTAATTACAACACTTTGGGAGGCCAAGGCAGGAGGATTGCTTGAGGCTAATAGGTCAAGACCAGCCTGGGCTACATGGTAAGATCCTGTCTCTATAAAAAAAATTTTTTCTTAGTCAGGGGCGTGCCTGTAGTCCCAGCTACTTGGGAGGCTGTGCTGGGAGAATCTCTTGCGCCCAGGAGGTTGACGCTGCAGTAAGCTATGATTTCACCACTGCACTCTAGCCTGGGTAACAGAGACTCTGTCTCTTCAAACACAACAAAACAAGAAACATTTTTAGGGAAATGAGAAAGAAAAAAGTCAAACAAAAATAACGATGCATTTTTATAAAGTTACACCAAGTATACCTAACTCTCTTGCCTCCCCTTCCACCTCTGCCACCCATGAGACAGCAATACCAACCCCTCCTTGTCCTCTTCCTCCTCAGCCTGCTCAACATGAAGATGATGAGGTTAAAGACCTTTACAATGATCCACTTCCACTTAATGAAGAGTGGGATGTTTTCTCTTCCTTATGCTTTTCTTAATAACATTTTTTCTCTACCTTATTGTAAGAATACTCTATATAATACACATAACATATACATTTTATGTTAACTGACAGTTCATATTATTGGTAAGGCTTCCAGCCAACAGTAGGCTATTAGTGGTTAAGTTGTGAAGAAGTCAAAAGTCATAGATTTTTGACTGCACAGGGAGTTTGTGCCTCTAACCCCTGCCTGTGCAAAGGTCAGCTATGGTTTAAATATTTTGATGATTAAAAATTAAGCCTCGGTTACCTGAAGTTTATACTACATGAAATATCTCTGTCATGGTGCCAGATATCATAATTTAACCCAGATGGCAGCTATGGTATCACACTGACTCTTGGCCAAGGGCAACAAACTTCTCTCCTTGATGATAGATAATCGAGCCCTCCATTGCACGGCACCCCTGCCTGCTTCCCCTGACAATGAAATGAGACAGTAGTACATAAATTACTTTTAAAAAGCACTCAGTAAGGCAGGACTACATTGCAGTTCTGTACAGAGCAGTATGCGGAGGCTTGTGTTGTGAATTTTAGCTCCAGATAACTGTAAGAACAAACCAGCAATCCCGAGAGGACCCACAGACCCTCTGAAGGAAGCAGACTGCTCATACAGGACCCAGGAGACACCCCAAATACTGTGAGTGCCCCAACTGCAGAAGTGGGGAAGGGAGACCCTCCTCTCCCAAATGCACACCCCTACTGGAGAACCTGAAGGTCTGTTTGCAGGAAAAGTTTCTGACTTTACCTGGAGCTGAGTCCATTTAGAGAGCTGAGTGAAATACTGGGGAAGAGGAAGCAGCAGAAACGCCCTGGGAGCTTTCTGGGTCCCCTGGCAGGCAATTCCTGCCTAGTACCACAGGGATCCATTGGGAGGGTGGCCAGAGAAGCAGGGGTAAGACTCTGCAGGGAGAAGGAATTCTCTAGCTGAACTTGGTAACAATTTGAATGGGGCAAGAAGCCTCCTGGCCAGAACCTGGGGGAGGGCGCAAATCCAGTGTGCAGACTCCACAGGCAGGGGAAGAACCAAGGCCTTTTCTTTGGCAGCTGGAAGACGGGTAACCTGGGGCAAGTTTTCAAGCCCCCCTCACCCTCTGCCTGGAAATAAACTCAGGGCTGTTGGGGGTAGGGCACAGTGGGAGTGAGACTGGCCTTCAGTTTGCGTGGGAGCTGGGTGAGGGCTATGAGTGCTGGATTTCCTTCACTTCCCTGACAACCTGCATGACTCAGCAGAGGCAGCCATAATTCTCCTAGGTACACAACTGCGGTGACTTAGGAACCTCACTCCCATACCTCACAGCAGCTGCAGCAAGATCCGCCCAATGAGTGTCTGAGCTCAGATATGTCTAGCCCTGCCCCCACCTAATGGTCCTTCCCTATCCACCCTGGTAGCAGAAGACAAAGGGCATATAATCTTGGGAGTTCTACGGCCCCGCCCACTGCTGGTCCCTCTCCACACTACTACAGCTGATGCTCTCTGGAAAGTGCCACCTCCTCACAGGAGGCCAACTGGCACAAAAACCGAGCATTAAACCACCAAAGCTAAGAACCCTCACGGAGTCCATTGCACTCCCTTGTCATGTCCACAGAACAGGTGCAGGTATCCTGGCTGGGAGGTCCATAGATGGTTCACATCACAGGACTCTATGCAGACAATGCCCAGTACCAGCCCGGAGCCAGGTAGACTCACTGAGTGGCTAGACCCAGAAGAGAGACAACGATCACTGCAGTTCAGCTCACAGGAAGCCTCATACTTAGGAAAACAGGGAGAGTACTACATCAAGGGAACATTCCATGGGTCAAAAGAATCTGAACAGCCTTCAGCCCTAGACCTTCCCTCTGACAGAGCCTGCCCAAATGAGAAGGAACCAGAAAACCAACCCTGGTAATATGACAAAACATGGCTCTTCAGCACCCCTCAACAATCATATTAGTTCAGCAGCAATGGACCCAAACCAAGAAGAGATCCCAGATTTGCCTGAAGAAGAATTCAGGAGGTTAGTTATTAAGCTAATCAGGGAGGCACCAGAGAAAGGTGAAGCCCAGTGCAAGGAAATCCAAAAAACGATACAAGAAGTGAAGGGAGAAATATTCAAGGAAATAGAGAGCTTAAAGAACAAAGCAAAAATTCGAGAAACTTTGGATACACTCTTAGAAATGTGAAATGCTCTGGAAAGTCTCAGCAATAGAACTGAACAAGTGGAAGAAAGAAATTCAGAGCTCAAGACAAAGTCTTCAAACTAACCCAATCCAACAAAGACAAAGAAAAAAGAAAAAGAAAACATGAACAAAGCCTCTAAGTAGTCTGGGATTATGTTAAACGACCAAACCTAAGAATAATCGGTGTTCCTGAAGAAGAAGAGAATTCTAAAAGCTTGGAAAACATATTTGGGGGAATAATTGAGGAAAACATCCCCAGCCTTGCTAGAGACCTAGTCATCCAAACACAAGAAGCACAAAGAACACCTGGGAAATTCATCGTAAAAAGATTGCCTGATCACAATGTCATCAGGTTATTCAAAGTTAAGATGAAGGAAAGAATCTTAAGAGCTGTGAGACAGAAGCACCAGGTAACCTATAAAGAAAAACCTATCAGATTAACATCAGATTTCTCAACAGAAACGCTACAAGCTAGAAGGGATTGGGGCCTATCTTCAATCTCCTCAAACAAAACAATTATCAGCCAAGAATTTTGTATTCAGTAAAACTAACCTTCATATATGAAGGAAAGATAGTCTTTTCCAGCCAAACAAATCCTGAGAGAATTCGCTATTACCAAGCCACGACTACAAGAATTGCAAAAAGGAGCTCTAAATCTTGAAACAAATCCTGGAAACACATCAAAACAGAACCTCTTTAAAGAATAAATCACACAGGACCTATAAAACAAAAATACAAGTTAAAAAGCAAAACAAAAAACCAAAGTACACACGCAACAAAGAGCTGGATGAATGTGATGGTACCTCTTATTTCAATACTAACATTGAATGTAAATGGTCTAAATGCTCCACTTAAAAGATACAGAACTGCAGAATGGATAAGAACTCACCAACCAACTATCTGCTCCCTTAGGAGACTCACCTAACACATAAGGACTCACATAGACTTAAAGCAAAGGGGTGGAAAAAGGCTTTTCATGCAAATGGACACCAAAACAAGCACGGGTAGCTGTTCTTAGACAAAACAAACTTTAAAGCAACAGCAGTTAAAAGAGACAAGGAGGGACATTATATAATGGTAAAAGGCCTTGTCCAACAGGAAAATGCCACAATCCTAAACATATGTGCACCTAACACTGGAGCTCCCAAATTTATAAAACAATTACTAATAGACCTAAGAAATGAGATAGACAGCAACACAGTAATAGTGGGGGACATCAATACTCCACCGACAGCACTAGACAGGTCATCAAGACAGAAAGTCAATGAAGAAACAATGGATTTAACTATACTTTGGAACAAATGGACTTAGCAAATATATACAGAACATTTCATCCAACAACCACAGAATACACATTCTATTAAACAGTGCATGGAACTTTCTCCAAGATAGACCATATGATAGGCCATAAAATGAGTCTCAATAAATTTAAGGAAATTGAAATCACATCAAGCACTCTGTCAGACCACAGTGGAATAAAACTGGAAATTAACTCCAAAAGGAACTTTTAAAACTATACAAATACATGGAAATTAAATAATTTGCTGTTGTGGATCTAACAGACATCTACAGGACTCTCGACCCCAAATCAACAGAATAGACATTCTTCTGAGCACCACATAGCATTTATTCTAAAATTGACCACATAATTGGAAGTCAAACGCTCCTCGACAAATGCAAAAGAACGGAAATCAAAACAGTCTGTCAGACCACAGTGTAATCAAATTAGAACTCAGGATCCAGAAACTCACTCAAAACCGCACAACTACATGAAAACTAAACAACCTGCTCCTGAATGACTACTGGGTACATAACGAAATGAAGGCAGAAATAAATAAGCTCTTTGAACCCAATGAGAACAAAGATAAAGTGTACCAGAATCTCTGGGACACAGCTAAAGCAGTGTTTAGAGGGAAACTTGTAGCACTAAATGCCTACATGAGAAAGTGGGACAGATCTAAAATCGACAACCTAACATCACAATTAAAAGAACTAGAGCAAAGAAATTCAAAAGCTAGCAGAAAAGAAGTAACTAAGATCAGAGCAGAACTGAAGGAGATAGAGACACACAAAACCCTTCAAAAAATCAATGAATCCAGGAGCTGGTTTTTTGAAAAGATTAATGAAATAGACCACTAGCCAGCCTAATAAAGAAGAAAAGAGAGGAGAATCAAATAGATGCAATAAAAAATGATAAAGGGGAGATCACCACTGATCTCACAGAAATACAAACTATCATCAGAGAATACCATAAACACTTCTATGCAAATAAACTAGAAAATCTAGAAGAAATGGATAAATTCCTGGACACATACACCCTCCCAAGACTAAACCAGGAAGAAGTCCAATCCCTCAATAGATCAATAACAAGTTCTGAAATTGAGGCAGTAATTAATAGCCTACCAACCAAAAAAAGCCCCGGACCAGATGGATTCACAGCTGAATTTTACCAGAAGTACAAAGAGGAGCTGGTACCATTCCTTTTGAAACTATTCCAAACAACAGAAAAAGAGGGATTCCTCCCTAACTCATTTTATGAGGACAGAATCATCCTGATATCAAAACCTGGCAGAGACACAACCAAAAATAAAATTTCAGACCAACATGCCTGATGAATATCAATGTGAAAATTCTCAATAAAATACTGGCAAACTGAATCCAGCAGCACATCAAAAAGCTTATCCACCATTATCAAGTTGGCTTCATCCCTGGAATGCAAGGCTGGTTCAACATACACACATCAATCAATGTAATGCATCACATAAACAGAACCAATGGCAAAAACCATATTATTATCTCCATAGATGCAGAAAAGGCCTTTGATAAAATTCAGCACTGCTTCATGCTAAAACACTCAAGAAACTAGGTACTGATGAAACTTGCCTCAAAATAATAAGAGCCATTTATGACAAACCCACAGCCAATATCATACTGAATGGGCAAAAACTGGAAGGATTCCCTTTGAAAAGTGGCATAAGACAAGGATGCCCTTTCTCACCACTCCTATTCAACATGTTATTGGAAGTTCTGGCCAGGGCAATCAGGCAAGAGAAAGAAAAATGGTATTCACATAGGAAGAGAGGAAGTCAAATTATCTCTGTTTGCAGATGACATGATAGTATATTTAGAAAATCCCATCATCTCAGACCAAAAACTCCTTAAGCTGATAAGCAACTTCAGCAAAGTCTCAGGATACAAAATCAATATGCAAAAATCACAAGAATTCCTATACAACAATAATAGAGAGACAAATCATGAGTGAACTCCCATTCATAATTGCTGCAAAGAGAAAAAAATACCTAGGAATACAACTTACAAGTGATGTGAAGGACCTCTTCAATGAAAACTACAAACCACTGCTCAAGAAAATAAGAGAGGACACAAACAAATAGAAAAACATTTCATGCTCGTGGATGGGAAGAATCAATACTGTGAAAATGGCCATACTGCCCAAAGTAATTTACAGATTCGATGCTCTTCTCATCAAGCTACCATTGACTTTCTTCACAGAATTGGAAAAAACTACTTTAAATTTAATGTAGAATCAAAAAAGAGCCCACATAGCCAAGACAATCCTAAGCGAAAAGAACAAGCTGGAGGCATCACACTACCTGACTTCAAACTATACCACAGGGCTACAGCAACCAAAACAGCATGGTACTGGTACCAAAAATGTCATATAGACCAATGGAACAGAACAGAGGCCTCAGAAATAACACCACAAATCTACAACCATCTGATCTTTGACAAACCTGACAAAAAATGCAATGGGGAAAGGATTCCCTATTTAATAAATGGTGCTGGGAAAACTGGCTAGCCGTATGCGGAAAACTGAAACTGGACCCATTCCTTACACTTTATACAAAAATTAACTCAAGATGGATTAAAGATTTAAACATAAGACCTAAAACCATAAAAACCCTAGAAGAAAAGCTAGGCAATACCATTCAGGACATAGTCATGGGCAAAGACTTCATGACTAAAACACCAAAAGCAATGGCAACAAAAGCCAAAATTGACAAATGGGATCTAATTAAACTAAAGAGCTTTTGCACAGCTAAAGAAACTATCATCGGAGTGAACAGGCAATCTACAGAATGGGAGAGAAATTTTGCAGTCTATTCATCTGACAAAGGTCTAATATCCACAGTCTACAGGGAAGTTAAACAAATTTACAAGAAAAAAAACAAACAACCCCATCAAAAAATGGACAAAGGATATGAACACTTTTCAAAAGAAGATATTTATGGCCAACAAACATGTGAAAGAAAACTCATCATCACTGCTCATTAGATACATGCAAATCAAAACCACAATGAAATACCATCTCATACCAGTTAGAATGGCGATCATTAAAAAGTCAGGAAACAACAGATGCTGGAGAGGATGTGGAGAAAGAGGAATGCTTATACACTGTTGGCAGGAGTGTAAATTAGTTCAACCATTGTGGACGACAGTGTGGTGATTCCTCAAGGATCTAGAACTAGAAATACCATTTGACCCAGCAATCCCATTACTGGGTATATACCCAAAGGATTATAAAACACATGCACATGTATATTTACTACAGCACTATTCACAATAGCAAAGACTTGGAACCAACCCAAATGCCCATTAAAGATAGACTGGATAAAGAAAATGGGGCACATATACACCGTAGAATACTATGCAGCTATAAAAAAAGATGAGTTCATGCCCTTTGCAGGGACATGGATAAAGCTGGAAACCATCATTCTCAGCAAACTGACACAGGAACAGAAAACTAAACACCACATGTTCTCACTCATAAGTGGGAGTTGACCAATGAGAACGTATGGGTACAGGGAGGGGAACATCACACACTGGGGCTTGTTGGAGGGTGGGGGGCAAGGGGAGGGATAGCATTAGAGAAATACCTAATGTAAATGACGGGTTGATGGGGGCAGCAAACCACCATGGCACATGTGTACCTATGTAACAAACCTGCACTTTCTGCACATGTATCCCAGAACTTAAAGTATAATTTAAAAAAAAAGGAAGATATATGAATGGCCAGAAACATATGAAAAAATGCTCAACATCACTAATGATCAGGGAAATGCAAATCAAAATGACAATGCGATACTACCTCACTCCTGCAAGAATATCTATAATCAAAAAATAAAAAACAGTAGATATTGGCATGGATGTGGTGATCAGTGAACCCTTCTACACTGCTGGTAGGAATGTAAACTAGTGCAGCCACTATGGAAAACAGTGTGAAGATTCCTGAAATAACTAAAAGTAGAACTACCATTTGATCCATCAATCCCACTACTGGGTATCTACCCAGAGGAAAATAAGTCACTACATGAAAAAGACACTTGCACATACATGTTTATAGCAGCACAATTTGCAACTGCAACAATATGGAACCAGCCTAAATGCCCATCAACCAATGAGTGGATAAAGAAAATGTGATATATATATGTATATATGCACACACATACCATGGAATACTACTCAGCCATAAAAAGGAATGAAATAATGGCATTGGCAACAACCTGGATGGTGTTGGAGACCATTATTCTAAGTGAAGTCACTCAGATATGGAAAACCAAACATCGTGTGTTCTCACTTATAAGTGGGAGTTAAGCTATGAGGACACAAAGGCATAAGAATGATAATGGACTCTGGGGACTCAAGGGGAAAGGTGGGAGGGGGGTGAGGGATAAAAGACTACACACTGGGTGCCGTGTTCATTGCTTGGTGATGGGTGTACCGAAATCTCAGAAATCACCACTAAAGAATTTACTCATGTAACCAAACACCACCTGTACCTGAAAAACCTATGAGAAAAATTAAATCATATAAACCTATAATTAAGTGTATTTTATTAAAATGGAATACATTAAAAAAACTTTTTAAATTAAAAGCACTCAGCAAAATTAAGGGGTGTAACTTAAAAAACAAAACCAAAATATTAGAAACTGGTGTCTAGAAAACACAGAAGAAAATTCTCCAAAGGCCTAACCTCGTCTTATCACAAAACTTACCAAATCCTGAAAATGTGCCCAGGCTCCTCTGAGTAACAGAATGCAAAAGAATTAATAGTAAAGGGGTGAATCTGAGAAAAATAACACCTGCTCCACCTTTTTTATGCTCATTTTTTAAAAACTTTTATTTTTTTTTTTTCAATTGCTTTAGGGGTACAAGTGGTTTTTGGTTACATGGATGAAACTGTACAGTGGTGAAGACTGGGCTTTTAGTGCACCCATCACCTGAATGTTGTACCAAATAGGTAATTTTTTATCCCTCACCACACTCTTACCCTTCTACCTTCTGAGCCTCCAATGTCCATCAAACTGTCCTGTATGCTTTTGCATACCCATAGCTTAGCTCTCACTTATAGGTAAGAACATTTGGTATTTGGTTTTCTGTTCCTGAGTTACTCAGGATAATGG